>NC_000022.11:50275365-50575365 GCF_000001405.40 Homo sapiens | reverse complement strand
TCAAAGCAAAAGAAGTAGAATATAAGCACATAAAATAGCTTATAAAAAGGCAGCTCGGGCCGGGTGCAGTGGCTCACGCCTGTAATCCCAGCACTTTGGGAGGCCGAGGCAGGTGGATCACAAGGTCAGGAGATCGAGAGCATCCTAACACGGTGAAACCCCGTCTCTACCAAAAATACAAAAAATTAGCCGGGCGTGGTGGTGGGCGTCTGTAGTCCCAGCTACTCGGGAGGCTGAGGCAGGCAAATGGCGTGAACCCGGGAGGTGGAGCTTGAAATGAGCCGAGATCGCACCACTGCACTCCAGCCTGGGTGACAAGAGCGAGACTCTATCTCAGAAAAATAAATAAATAAAAATTTAAAAATAAAAATAAATAAACAAATAAAAAGGAAGCTCAGAGCCAGGCGTGGTGGTGCATGACTCTAATCCCTGCAACTCAGGAGGCTGCAGCAGGAGGATCACTTAGGGCGAGTAATTTGAGGCTGCAGTGAGCCATGCTTGTTCCGCTGCACTCCAGCCTGGGCGACAGAGCAAGACCCTAACTCTAAAAAATAAAGAATAAAGCAGCTCAGGCTGAAGCTGGAGCAGAGGGTTACTGCGATCAGTTGTGCATTTCTGGAGGTTCACCCCGGCAGCATGTGCAGGATGTACTGGAAGAGGGAGACAGAACACCTCAGGCCCCCGAATAGATTGGTCCTTGGGTCAGCAAGACTCAGGTGACACCCAGACAGAGGCCCCCACCCCGCGGGCTCTGTTCCTCTGTAGGACCTTGTGCTCATCAAGAATACAGACGTGCAGGCAGCCCGCCTGGGAAACATCATCCACGCCATGATCATGTATCGCCGTAAACTGGACCGTGAAGAAATCAAGCCTGTGAGTTGCGTCAGGGTTGAAGGTGGGATGGGAGGGGAGACCTGAGTCTGAGCCATGCTGGGCCTTCCCTCAGGTGATGGCACTGGGCATAGTGCCTATGTGCTCCTACCAGATGGAGAGGATGTTCAACACCACTCGGATCCCGGGCAAGGACACAGGTAACTGAGCCCCCTCGCTGCTACCTGTGGGCCATCTGGCTGGCTCGCTGCCCTCCTGCCTGCTCATCACCAAGCGTCCCCAGTGTCTCAGGGTCCTGAAACTGTGAACAGTAGTCAATTGTGACAGATACTAGACATCCATTGTTTACAGGCATGATGCTGGCGCAGGGACCCCACAGGGCCCAGAGCAGAGCCCCTCCCCTCCGGGGCTCACTGCGCATGGTGAAGGGAGTCCTGCTGCAGCCCAAAGCTTAGGACAGACCCGGCGCTGCCATGGAGCCGGCAGAGGAGGGGAGGGGCGCACCCAGGGGTCTGGCAGAGGCAGCAGCCTTCCCTGCTTCTGACACTGTATCCTTAGGCGGTTTGCACAACCCTCTAGTGCGTCGTTTCCTCTTCTGTGAAATACTTTATAGGATTGTTGGTGTTGCGTGAGAGAGAGTGGAAGCACCCAGCACAGGGCCTGGTTTAGGACACACGGATCCCATCCAGGGGGCAGGAAGGCCCAGGCAGAGGCCGAGCAAAACAGGGTCTGCAGGGGTCACCTAGTGCATGGGAGGTGGGCCCTTCCCAGGATGTAGCTGGGGGCCCCGCCTCAGCTTGCCCGTGGCCTGTATCACAGATGTGCTACAGCACCTCTCAGACAGCCGGCACGTGGCTGTCTACCACAAGGGACGCTTCTTCAAGCTGTGGCTCTATGAGGGCGCCCGTCTGCTCAAGCCTCAGGATCTGGAGATGCAGTTCCAGAGGATCCTGGACGACCCCTCCCCACCTCAGCCTGGGGAGGAGAAGCTGGCAGCCCTCACTGCAGGAGGAAGGTATTGGCCTCTAGGAAGGGACTGTCCCCACCCTGAGTTCAGGGCTCCGTGAGGAGAGGAGCGTGGCCCTGCCTGCCACCCTGGAACTGGAGGCTGGAGGCACAACTAGGGGAGGGGCATTGGTGGTCATGGCAGCAGGACAGCCAGCATAACCTACCTCTGACGGGTGGCAGCCAGGTGAAGTGTGCAGAGGGTGGGGACACCCTCCAAAATAGCTTGGCACCCCCCACCTCCAGGCCCAGCCTGGCACACACACCCCCACCTCCAGGCGCAGCCTGGCACGCACCCCAACACCTCCAGGCCCAGCCTGGCACCCCCACATCTCCAGGTCCAGCGTGGTACCCCCCATCTCCAGGTCCAGCCTGGCACCCCACCCCCATCTCCAGGTCCAGCCAGGCCCTCAGAGGCACCCTCATCCCAAGTCCACGTGCCCACTGCTTACCCTGCCCCATGCTTCAGGGTGGAGTGGGCGCAGGCACGCCAGGCCTTCTTTAGCTCTGGAAAGAATAAGGCTGCCTTGGAGGCCATCGAGCGTGCCGCTTTCTTCGTGGCCCTGGATGAGGAATCCTACTCCTATGACCCCGAAGATGAGGCCAGCCTCAGCCTCTATGGCAAGGCCCTGCTACATGGCAACTGCTACAACAGGTACGGCAGCCCCAGCCCCACAGGTTACAGCTTAAGGTTAAAAGTTAGGGTTATGGTTAGAGGATTAAAGATAAAAGAAGGTAGGGTTATGAGCTGGGTGCAGTGGCACACACCTGTGATCCTAGCACTTTGGGGGCCAAGGCAGGTGGATCACTTGAGTGCAGGAGCTCAAGACCAGCCTGGGCAACGGAGCGAGACCCCTTCATAAAAGTAGTTAGGATTGTGATTAGTGGTTGGGTAGGGCTAGTGGCTAGGGTTAAAAGCTAGGGTTTGGGTTATAGAATAGGGTTAAAAGCCGGGCATGGTGGCAGGCACCTGTAATCCCAGCTAGTCGGAAGGCTGACGCAGGAGAAGCCCTTGAACCCGGGAGGTTATGGGAAGCTAAGATCACACCACTGCACTCCAGCCTGGGCAACAGAGCAAGATTCCATCTCAATTTAAAAAAAAAGTGAGAGAAAAAGAGAGAGAGAATAGGGTTAGTAATTAGGGTTAAAGGTTGGGGTTGCAGGTCAGGCACCTCTGGACATTCCCAGCTTTGGTTCTTCATGTGTCTACTCTTCCTGCAGGTGGTTTGACAAATCCTTCACTCTCATTTCCTTCAAGAATGGCCAGTTGGGTCTCAATGCAGAGCATGCGTGGGCAGATGCTCCCATCATTGGGCACCTCTGGGAGGTAATAGCCTTGCAGAGGGAACCTGCAGGGCAGGCTGTAGGGGATGAGGCCAGCCTCTCAGTCTCATCCTCTCCCTGCAGTTTGTCCTGGGCACAGACAGCTTCCACCTGGGCTACACGGAGACCGGGCACTGCCTGGGCAAACCGAACCCTGCGCTCGCACCTCCTACACGGCTGCAGTGGGACATTCCAAAACAGGTGGGTTGGAAGCTCCCAGAGCAGGTGTGAGACCACAAAGCAGCAGGTGGGTACAGCCCCGACGAGGCCTGAGCCTCCTCCTCCCCTGCTGGCCTCACTGCCTGGCCCAGCCCTCGGGAAGGCACAGGGCACGTCTCAGGATACCTGTAGAGTCCAAACTGGCTTCAGGGAGGACAGAGACCACCCACCGCCCCTGGGGCCATCTGTGTTTAGAGACAGCCATGAGATGGAGGAGGCACTCACAGGCCCCTGGAGCATTTTCAGCACTTCCCTCTTACCCACAAAGCTGAGCCCGGCCTCTGGGGGCTGATTCTCCCTCAGACTGTCTTTTGCGTACCCTCCTCCTGAAGATGTCTTGGCCGGCTGTGCCCTTTCTCCACCAGCTAAACGTCATGCCTCCTAGACATGACCCAGAGTCCTGCTTGGAGAGCCCTACCCTCAGCTGACCCTTCCCATGTCTTGGCAGTGCCAGGCGGTCATCGAGAGTTCCTACCAGGTGGCCAAGGCGTTGGCAGACGACGTGGAGTTGTACTGCTTCCAGTTCCTGCCCTTTGGCAAAGGCCTCATCAAGAAGTGCCGGACCAGCCCTGATGCCTTTGTGCAGATCGCGCTGCAGCTGGCTCACTTCCGGGTAGGAGCCCCGCCTCCCGCTGCTGAGAGGGCAGGGTGGTACCAGGGTCCACCTGCCAGATTCACCCCTCTGTATATCCCAGGACAGGGGTAAGTTCTGCCTGACCTATGAGGCCTCAATGACCAGAATGTTCCGGGAGGGACGGACTGAGACTGTGCGTTCCTGTACCAGCGAGTCCACAGCCTTTGTGCAGGCCATGATGGAGGGGTCCCACACAGTAAGTGTCCTCTGCCCATGTGGGGGTCACAGTCGTCGGGTGAGGTGCCCCCTCTGCCTCCTGTCTGCCTGGAGGGCCAGGGCTACTCTTCACCCCTTTACTTCTGCCCCGCAGAAAGCAGACCTGCGAGATCTCTTCCAGAAGGCTGCTAAGAAGCACCAGAATATGTACCGCCTGGCCATGACCGGGGCAGGGATCGACAGGCACCTCTTCTGCCTTTACTTGGTCTCCAAGTACCTAGGAGTCAGCTCTCCTTTCCTTGCTGAGGTCAGCACCGTTGTTGGGTGTGTCCTTTGTCCCACTGCCCTCCTACACGCAGGGCTTGGGCCATCTCATGATGGAGCACGGCCTGTTTTCCTGGCTTGCTCCCCTGAAGCTCCCTGGAGTGCTGGGCCAGCTTTCCCGCCCACACCCCACCTGGGCCTGTGGTCCTGGGACTGAGCAGGAGCAACATCCTCTTTGTGGTGTTGGTGTCCTTGTGACAGGGAACAGACAAATATATGATCTGTCAGGTGGTGACAGCACTACTGAGACTAGTGAGGCTATGTGGGGGAGAGGCAGAGCAGAGGGAGGGCTGGGCAGCTCACACAAGCCTTATGTGGCATGATGCACAGGGGACCACGGGGTGGTGGCCAGGGAGCTCCTGCACCCTCAGCAGAACCGTGTCTGGCTCAGAGTAGGTCGCAGACACCACGTGTTGGACAGGTGCTTTGGGTATGTGGCCTCTGACCAGCTGTGGCCTCCATTGCAGGTGCTCTCGGAACCCTGGCGTCTCTCCACCAGCCAGATCCCCCAATCCCAGATCCGCATGTTCGACCCAGAGCAGCACCCCAATCACCTGGGCGCTGGAGGTGGCTTTGGCCCTGTGAGTGCTCCTGAAGGGGGTGGGTGGGCAGCACCAGGGCCCTGAGGGTTTCAGTGGCGAGTGCAGGCCCTGAGGTCAGACGAGAGGCAGGAGCACCTTGCTTAGAGGAGAGCATAACCCCAGACCTGCATGGAAGCAGAATGTTAGCTATGGACTCAGGCAGCCAAGCACCTGGGACCCACCCATCCCAAATACCTCCCTGCTGAAGCATGACCGTGGTTTCCGGGGTACTGAAGCATGACTGTGGGGCTGGTTTCCAGGGTACTGGGCAGTGCACTGGGTGCTTCTGAAGTCTACTTATCCAAGAGAGTGCAGCTGTCTCCCACAGAAACCTTCACATGGGCTAGCTTGTCAGAAGGCTAGAGAACCCTCTGGAGAGAGACGGAGTGATCTAGAGAATAAGCCCCCTGAGGGAAACTGGGAGGTCCCAGATCCCTTGGCGGGGTCTGGGCAGCATTCTTTGGTTTTCACAGTTTCCTGGGGGTGGTCCTCAGGAAAAATGCAGTGTCTAGGGCTGGGGCCCGTTCCTGCAACTCTTGTGGGAAGAACAAGTACAATATCAGCTTGGCTTTCAGATCTTCAAGGTTTGATTTATGCCTTCTTCACCCTTCTTGTTGCCCTCAGGTAGCAGATGATGGCTATGGAGTTTCCTACATGATTGCAGGCGAGAACACGATCTTCTTCCACATCTCCAGCAAGTTCTCAAGCTCAGAGACGGTGAGTCTCCTGCCACAGCTCAGGCCTGAGGAAGGGGTGCCACCTGGGGCTGCCCAGGAACACAGGTGTCTTTGGCTGGGGAGGCATCCTTGCTTGTGGGAACAGAGGGGTGGGTACATATCTGAAGGTGCATCTGAACTCTTGGCTCCCACAGAACGCCCAGCGCTTTGGAAACCACATCCGCAAAGCCCTGCTGGACATTGCTGATCTTTTCCAAGTTCCCAAGGCCTACAGCTGAAGGTTGGAGAAATGCCAGCTGCCCTTTCGTCCCCACACTGTGGAGGAAGGGACCTGTGGCAGCTCACAGGCATGAGGGGTGGCCGTGCACAGGTGCCCAGGCTCCAAGGACAGCTCCGGCAGCAGGTCCTCGCTGGGCAGATGCTGCTCCCTGAGGGCCCAGGTGGTGGAGGTGGGGTTGGAGCAGGAAGGGAATTTTGATTTTTTTTTTTCTTGATAGATACTAATAAAAATAAGGCTGTGTAATTTTCTCTCAGCCCTTAGGTACCTGTGTTTTGTTTGGGAACTCGGAGGCCCTCCCCCTCCCCCAGCTCAGACCACAGAGGTGGCAAGAGAAGGGCTGAAGCTGGAAGACTGTTCATGAGGGACTTGTGTGACCTGCTTTGAAATGTGTGACTCTGCTGAGTGACGTAGGCTCTGAGATAGCTGTCCACGCCCACGTGTTTGCTTGGAATAAATACTTGCCTCAGAACCTTCACCTGTTCCCTGGGGCCATTTCTGTTTGTCTGTCTGCTGGAGAGTGAGCCCACCTCCTCCCATGCAGGGGCATGTGTGAGGCACCCCTCTTGGCTGAGGCACAACCCTGCACGGGCCCCGCAGCTTCTTGTCAGCATGGAAAGGGGCTGCAGGCCCAGGCCTGAAGTCTTGAGGCGCCAGGTGGTCATGTCTGCAAGAGGGCACGCAGGATGACCTGTAGCAACAGACACTCCTTCACTGAGGTTGGCTCGGCTGCTAAAATCATGTTAAGAGTAAATACAAAATAATTATTCTTTGTTTTTAAGGCGGAGTTTCGCTCTTGTTGCCCAGGCTGGAGTGCAGTGGCACGATCTCGACTCACTACAACCTCTGCCTCCTGGGTTCAAGCGATTCTCGTACCTCAGCTCCTGAGTAGCTGGGACAACAGGCGCCCGCCATCACGCCCGGCTAATTTTTTGTATTTTTAGTAGAGGCAGGGTTTTACCATGTTGGCCAGGCTGGTCTCGAATTCCTGACCTCAGGTGATCCACCTGCCTCAGCCTCCCAACGTGCAGGGATTATAGGTGTGAGCCACCGCACCCAGCCATAAAAAATAATTTTTATGAAAAGTATAAGTAGGCCCTCAATTACTGTAATTGAAGTGAATTAGATTCAGTTCTGGACCTTCATTTAGGAACCAGTGTCTTCATCTGTTTTTGTTTTTTTCTTTTTTTTCCCATGAGATAGGGTCTCACTATGTTGCCCAGGCTGGTCTCGAACTCCTGAGCTTAAGTGATCCTCCCACCTCGACTTTCCAAAGTGCTAGGATTTCAGGCGTGAGCCACCGTGCCCGGCCAGGAACCAGTGTCTGTTGAACACCCACCATAGACTTGGCCCTGTGCTGGGGATTCAGTGGTAAACAAGGTCCTATTCCTGCCCATGTCGAATTCACTGCTGGGTGAGGCAGGTGTGGTCAGGGGACAGAGCAGCTGGCAGGAAACCAGGAGGCTTTTGGGATAATCCACTTACCAAGTACAGGCATGGGTTGCTTAATGAAGGGGATACATTCTGAGAAGTGCATTGTTAGGCGATTTTGTTGTGCAAAGATTCTAGAGTGCATTTACACAAAGGTAGATGGTGCAGCCTACTACAGACCTGGGCTATGCTGCTTACCCTGTTGCTCCTAGGCCGCATGCCTTTACAACATGTTACCATACTGAATACTGTAGGCAACTGTAATACAATGGGAAGTCTTTGTGTATCTAAACTTGTCTAAACATAGAAAAGGTATAGTAAAAATGTTATATAAAAGATTAAAAATGGCACCCTTATGGCCAGGTGCAGTGGCTCACGCCTGTGATCCCAGCACCTTGGGAGGCCGAGGCAGGTGGATCACGAGGTCAGAAGATCGAGACCATCCTGGCTAACACGGTGAAACAGTGTCTCTACTAAACAAAATACAAAAACTAGCCAGGCATGGTGGCGGGCGCCCGTAGTCCTAGCTGCTTGGGAGGCTGAGGCAGGAGGATGGCGTGAACCCAGGAGGCGGAGCTTGCACTGAGCCAAGATGGCACCACTGCACTCCAGCCTGGGCAACAGAGCGAGACTCCGTCTCAAAAAAAAAAAAAATGGTACCCTTATATAAGACACTTATAAGACACCATGGGCTGGGCGCAGTGGCTCACGCTTGTAATCTCAGCACTTTGGGAGGCCAAGGCAGGTGGATCACAAGGTCAGGAGATCAAGACCACGGTGAAACCCTGTCTCTACTAAAAATACAAAAAATTAGCCAGGTGTGGTGGTGGGTGCTTGTAGTCCCAGCTACTGGGAGAGGCTGAGGCAGGAGAATGGCGTGAACCTGGGAGGTGGAGCTTGCAGTGAGCCAAGATCGCGCCACTGCACTCCAGCCTGGGCGACAGAGCAAGACTCCGTCTCAAAAAAAAAAAAAGAGGAAAAGTAAGTGGAGAGACAAAAGGAGAGGTGGGTGGCAATTTCAGACAGTGGCAAAAGCAAGCCTTCCTGATTGGGGTCCTTTGACCACAGGCCTGAAGGAGACGAGGAGCAAGTCATGTCCCTCATGTCCCTCATGTTCCGTACCTAAGGGCAGAGTATTCCTGGCTGAAGGAACAGCAAGAGCCAAAGCTTTGCGAGCGGTGTCTGCTGTGATGAAGGATGTGGCTAGTGTGGAGTCAGGGATGGGAAGAGCAAGCGGGGCAGCTAGATCGGGGTAACAAGGGCCTCGTAGGCCAGATTCTGGATTTTCTGAATGACGGGGGAAGCTGTTGGGCTTTGAACAGAGGGTGGCATAATCTGTCCTAATTTTAAGGGATCACTGGCTAACCAGGGTGGCGTTAGAACAAAGTAGGACGCAGTAACAGTGGAAGCAAGGAGACCCGCTGGAGAAGTGCTCCTGGTGGTGGTGGAGCTGGAAGAAATGAGCGGCTTAAACTAAGGCAGTGCCATAGGAAAGTAGAATTAAGGAGCTTGGAATGTCAAACGTAGGACTGACAAGTCTAATCAGGAGGAATCAAAGATAACTCATATTTTCTATATTGGGTGATTGGGTGATTAAATTAGGTCTTTAAATGTTGAATTTGACTTGCCTATAAGAAATAGCTGTGAAAATGTCTCAGACTCTTGAAAATATAAATGAAAAGCTAAGGAGAGATCTAGGCTCCTTCTAACAGTTTTGAAGACAGTTAAAACCTTGAAAGTGCATGAGAGGATTCCCAGGGCAGAGGCTCCTCACCTCCTTCAAGTCTTCATGAGCTATAAGAGTATGCCTCTTGGGGCCGGGCGCGGTGGCTCACACCTGTAATCCCAGCACTTTGGGAGGCCGAGGCGGGCAGATCACGAGGTCAGGAGATCGAGACCATCCTGGCTAATACAGCAAAACCCTGCCTCTACTAAAAATACAAAAATTAGCCGGGTGTGGTGGCACGTGCCTGTAGTCCCAGCTACTCAGGAGGCTGAGGCAGGAGAATCGCTTGAACCCAGGAGATGGAGGTTGCAGTGAGCTAAGATGGTGCCACTGTACTCCAGCCTGGGAGACCGAGACTCTGTCTCAAAAAAAAAAAAAAAAAAAGAGTACACCTCTGCCTGCAAAATGTTACATTCCATATCAGAGCGTTCTTCAGCTTCCAAAAGTATTTCCAGAGACCTCTACCTGTTTGGGTGCCAGTAAGCCTCCCCTGGGAAGGTGCCTGCGTTTTGGTAGTCTTCTGGGGACATCAGCTCACCCCGTCCTGAGATAGCAGTAAACAGAGTTTCCAACAAGCTAGCTTTCAATTAACATCAAAATTCAGCATTAAAGTTCTTTTATCTCATTTGTTCTGGGTTAAAATAGTGAGATGAGGAACAACAGTGGTAAACCAGGGTATAAACCTCTGGAGACTGCTGGGCATGGTAGCTCACGCCTGTAATGCCTGTGCTTTGGGAGGTCTTGAGCCCAGGAGTTCGAGACCAGCCTGGGTGGTGCAGTGAGACCCCATCTCTACAAAATTAAAAAAAAAAAATTAGCCAGGCGTGGTGGCACTTGCCTGTGGCCCCAGCTACTCTGGAGGCTGAGTTGGGAGGATTACTTGAGCCTGAGAGATTGAGGCTGCAGTGAGCCATGATTGACCCACTGCATTCCAGCCTAGGTGACAGAGCAACACCCTGTCTTAAAAAAATAAATAAACCTCTGATGACAACCCAAACCCCAATTAGTTCCCCATGTCCCATAGGTCTGCAGGTCTGCATTAATAAAAGCTAGCAGCCATAACATAAATCCTGAAACCTCATGGCTCAACCCAATAGAAGCTGGACTGTTGGTCAGATAAAATCCAGTTGGCTGAGATGAGGGCTCTGCTCCATACTGTTATTCAAGGATCTATGGTGACAGAGGCCCTGCCTTCAGCAGGTAGTACTCAAGCTGCCTTGGGCATCAACATCATAAGTACGTGGGGAGAGAAAGAGGGGGCCACCTGTGGGAGGCTTTGATGGCCTCAACCTCAAAGTGATACACAGCATTTCCCTCCACACCCTCTGGCTAAAGACTTGTATTTCAAGAGAATCTGAGAAGTAGAGTCTAGCTGTGTGTCCAGGGCGTAAAGGAAACATTTAGTGACAGTTGGTCTCAGATACACAAGGGCATGGGAAGACCAGCCTGACATCTTCCTGGGCTTCATGGCCTGGAGTTTGCAGGGTAGCCCACCTCCAGCTCCTGAGCAGGGTACTCAAGAGCCTGCACATTCCAGCTCAACTGATCTTTCCCGAGTCTTCTCTGTCCCTTACCAAGAACCCTGAGCCCAGAACACACTCGCCATTCCCCAAAGGAGGCAGGCTGAGCCACACCTTCGCCTTTGCCCTAGATGGGCCTTCTGCCTGGAATCCTGTGCCCTTTCTCCTACTCTCTCGGAAGCTGTCTTCCTTAGCCATCAGAATTATTCCTGATTCGGGCCAAGCACAGTGGCTCACACCTGTAATCCCAGCACTTTGGGAGTCCGAGGCGGGTGGATCACCTGAGGACAGGAGTTCGAGACCAGCCTGGCCAACATAGCGAAACCCGGTCTCTACTAAAAATACAAAAACTAGCTGGGCGTTGTGGCATGTGCTTGTAATCCCAGCTACTAGGGAGGCTGAGGCAGGAGAATCACTTGAACCTGGGAGGCGGAGGTTGCAGTGAGCCGAGATCGTGCCACTGCACTCCAGCCTGGGCAACAGAGCAAGACTCCGTCTCAAAAAAAAAAAAAAAGAATTATTCCCTATTCATGTTTCTCTGGGCTGCTGTAACAGAAATCGGCTCTGGGCTGTATAAGCAAATGGAAGTATGAAGAGCAGCTCACAGGTGGAAAGGGATGGCCAGAAAACCGGGTTCAACCGGGGCAGGAACCTGGCAGCTGGCGGAGGGAGTGTGGCCCAGGCAGCAGCCTCCTCAATAAACAAGCGAATGCTCACTCCTTGCCCAGAACTGTCTGGCTCAACCCCAGCCATTTTTCCTCCTCTGCAATCAGGCTGCTAAGAATCAGAATCCCTGAGAGAAAATTCAGGGGGTCTAAGGTTTGTCAGGATTCTCAAACACAAGGTGTTCAAAATCAAAGTTAACCTTCCAAGCTAGCTTCTCCCACTCTTCCACATCTCTGCCAGTGGTATCACCCCGGCCATTAGCCCCTTGCTTCTTTCTCCCTCCCTCCCACATTACCAAGCCCTGTCAAGTCGACCTTGGAATGGCTTTGACCCTGTCCACCACTCAGCCAAACAACAGCAACGGCCGGCCCCGTCGCCACCCGCCTCGGCAGCCAGAGACCTTTTAACTCTGCCACTCGCCTACTTACCACCCTTCTAGGGTGCCCACGTCCCTCTGAAAAAAAAGGCTGAGCTCAGACTGGCCTCTGGTCAGCCTCCTCCCAGCCAGAGCTTTCTGTCACTGCCCTTCTAGGTGTTGAGTGGCTCTGCTTCCAGTTCTTGCCTGGAGACCAGGAGCGCCCGGGAGGCCCCAGCACTTTCCAGCCCACATAGACCTGCGTGCACCTCTGCCTCGTCTCCCTGAGCCCGGGCTGCCTCCTCTGTAAGATACATGCCACATAATGTCCGCCACACATGATCGCTGTGACAGTGGAAATAGCTGGGCGTTCAGCGACTCATTCGACAAATGTTTACCAGCACCTTTGGTACCGGGCGCTGTCCTGGACACTGGGGACACAGCAGGCAAACGGGGCCCTGCGTATAAATCCTTAAGCTCAAGAAGGAGGTGGGGGCAAAACTGTCAGGCCGGGAAGCTCTTCATCTCCGCAGGATTCTCCCTCAACCTCAGGACGTCCCCAGCACCGCACCTGCCAGTCCCAGACTCGGACGCCGCAGACCTGTGGGAGCAGCGCGGAATGCCCCGCCCCTTTTCCCGAGGACACCCAATGAGGGCGAGAGGTCACTTCCGGGGAGGGTTCGCTAACGGAAAGGGCGGGGCATCCCTCTCGAGGAGCGGCCTTGTTCCTCAAGCGGCCGCTGGGGGCGCCAGAGCAGGACCGGAGCGCGGGCCAAGCTGGAGGTGAGCGAGGCCGCGCCCCCCTGGGCCCCGGCCCTCCCAACGCGCCCTGACGGCTGGGCTCCGCCTGACCCTGTCCTAGCGTTCGCGGTGGCACCAACCTCAAGCCAGACCCTTGACTTCGACCCAACTCCACTCACCCGACTCCACTCACTCCACACCCCATGCCCCTCCCCCGACGCCCCTCACCCCGCCTCACCCTTCACCCCTCATCGCTCACGTCACCGCTCACCCGCCTCCTCACCCAGCCTCGCCCCTCACCCCTCACCCCGCCTCACCCCTCACCCCGCCTCACCCCTCACCCCTCATCCCGCCTCACCCCTCACCCCTCATCCCGCCTCACCCCTCACCCCTCCTCACCCCGCCTCACCCGCCTCGCCCCTCACCCCTCACCCCTCCTCACCCCGCCTCACCCCTCACCCCTCACCCCGCCTCACCCCTCACCCCGCCTCACCCCTCACCCCGCCTCACCCTTCACCCCTCACCCCGCCTCACCCTTCACCCCTCACCCCGCCTCACCCCTCACCCCTCACCCCGCCTCACCCTTCACCCCTCACCCCGCCTCACCCTTCACCCCTCACCCCGCCTCACCCCTCCTTACCCCGCCTCACCCGCCTCGCCCCTCACCCCTCATCGCTCACGTCACCGTTCACCCGCCTCCTCACCCAGCCTCACCCCTCACCCCGCCTCACCCCTCACCCCGCCTCACCCCTCACCCCTCCTCACCCCGCCTCACCCCGCCTCACCCCTCCCCCGCTCCCCTCACTGCACACTCCATACCCCACTCTCCCCACCTTACATCCCTCACCTCAGTCCTTCACCCCCTTAACCTAATCTCCATGTCCTCACACCATACACTCCTGATCCTGAAGTCTGCACACCCTGGGCTTCTCATTCCGTGCAGCCTGCCCCTCTTACCCTCACACCTGCCACACCTGGGACCCCGGAGTCCACACACCACCTCACACCCCAAGTTCCCACACGCACCTCTGGCTTCCTCCACCTGCACTTCAGGACCCGCCCAGACTCTTCATAGCCCAACTCCAAGACTTCTCTCCCACATCACAGGTGCATTCCCTTCCTGTGCTGCTCTCATCCCGTACAAAAGAGCACATCTCTGCACCAAGCATCCCTCTTATCCCCTCACATTCCTTGTTCTCAGAGGGATCCCAGACTCTGTTAGAAACTCTTCGTACCAGGCAAGACACTCAGACCACAAACCAGACTCTAGGCTCTGACTCGCTCAACCCCCGTCCTTCACACCTAAAGTGATACCCAAGCCAGACCCTACACTCCCGCCCCACGCTCCCGCCCCACACTCCTCCCGCCCCACGCTCCTCCCGCCCCACACTTCCGCCACCCATCCTAAGCTCCGTTCCATTGTGCTTTGGTGCGGGCTCAGGCCTCTTTCTCCACCCGTTCCCAGTCATCCCAGGCAACCTCATTAGGCAAGAAATGCCGTGAATTCTAATCCTGTGGCTGCTTCCTCCACATCAGCTCTCACACCCTCTCCCTGGATCTCCTTTTCAGATCCATCCCTCTTCTGAGATCCAGTGCCACTCCGGCCCAGCCTCCATCCTTCTAGCAGTCTCATGCTCTATCCCCAAATCTACCTGTGGCCACCCCAACGCCCCACTTATAGAAACTACATGTCTTTTCTATGCCTCTGCTTCACCCCAACCATCAACCACCCCTTAAGCCACTCTCATACTTGTGCTCTCAGTGTCCTTACCTTGTCCATCCACTGCATGTATGTTTACGTTCCCAGGCCTTCTACACTCCATCCACTGTCTCTGTGCCGTCTTAGGGTCCTGAGGACACTGTGGCCATGTGGCCTCAGTCACATGCCTAGGTGCCCCTAGGGAGGCATGCAGCTTTGATAAAGCTTTATCGTTCTCCTCAAACCAAGAATGTCTGTTGTTACAAGAAGAAACTTTTCATTGCCATTTATTAGGGAGTTAGAGACCATCGGGCCTGAAATCCCCCCCTTGCCATCCTACCTTGACCTCTACCTACCTTATTCTATCTCTACCTCCTTACCTTCCCTTACCTTCATAGGGTGAAATGACCCCTTACTTGTCTGAGACCAGTCCCTGCACCATCAGTTGCCCTTTCTTCTGATTCTTCAGGCTTTTCTGTCCAGGTAGCTCTTTCCACACAGCCTAGAAACGAAGAATTCAAAAAACAAAAAACCTTGACTCTGTATCACCTTCTAGTTACCTCCTGTTTTTTTCTCCCCTTCCCATCTAAATCTGTACACACAATCCATTTTGTCTAATGATCCATTAATTATTTAATTCATGAAATATTTTTACTTTTATGGCTCTCCTGAAACGTCTCACCGAGTTGACCAGTGACACCCAAATCAAATATCTTGAATTTACTGAGCCCTTTTTTTCATTTTGCAGAGGGGATCTTCCAGATCTTCCTCTGTAGCCTAGTCTAGAGTGCTGTGGCACAATTGTCCCACCTCACCCTCCTGAGTAACTAGGACTGGAGGTGCGCACCACCACACCCAGCTATTTTTAAATTTTTTTGTAGAGACTGTTGCCCGGGCTGGTCTGAAACTCCTGGCTTCAAGCATTTCTCCTGCTTTAGCCTCCCAAAGCACTGGGATTCCAGGCATGAGCTACCATGCCTGGGCCTGCCATGCCCAAATACTGTAATCTTTGACACTGGTGTAATATCTCCCAACTTAAAATAAAATACCCCTGTGACTCTACATTACATTCCAGGTACTGGCATGTTTCTCTGCTTCTCTTTGAAGTAAAACTCACCAGTTTCTACTTCTCCTTCCCTCTCTTTAGAAACATTTCGATTGGGCTCTTGTTCCAGCCACTCCATGAAAACAGCTCCTGTCAAGATTGCCAGTGTGACCTCCAGATTGTCAAATCCAGTGGTTACTTTTTATTTATTTTTGTTTTTGTTTTTTTGGAACAGAGTGTTGCTCTGTCACCCAGGCTGGAGTGCAGTGGCATGATCTCGGCTCACTGCAACCTCCACCTTCTGGGTTCAAGGGATTCTTCTGCCTCAGCCTCCTGAGTAGCTGGGACTACAGGCGCCCGTCACCATGCCCAGCTAATTTTTGTATTTTTAGTAGAGATGGGGTTTTGCCATATTGGCCAGGCGGGTCTCGAACTCCTGACCTTGTGATCCCCCGCCTCTGCCTTCCAAAGTGCTGGGATTACAGGCATGACCGACTAAGCCTGGCGGCTACCTCCACTTCTAACACTCTGGTCCAAGCCTCATCATTCCTTACCTGGAGTTTTGCAGCTGCCTCCTAAATGATGTCCCTGTTCCATGCTTTCCACCCCTTAGTCTATTCTCAACACAGAAGCCAGAGTGATCCTTTTAAGTCATTATTCAAATCACATCACCTTTGTCAGATTTTTCCAGTGTTTCCTCATCTCATTCAGAATAAAAATCGAAGTTCTGGCCAGGCATAGTGGCTCACACCTGTAATCCCAGGACTTGGGAGGCCGAAGCAGGCGGATCACCTGAGGTTCAGGAGTTTGAGACCAGCCTGGCCAATATGGCGAAACCCCGTCTCTACTAAAAATACAAAAATTATCTGGGCATGGTGGCGGGCACCTGTAATCCCAGCTACTTGGAAGGCTGAGGCAGGAGAATTGCTTGAACCTGGGAGGCGGAGGTTGTGGTGAGCCGATATGACGCCACTGCACTCCAGCCTGGGCAACAGAGTGAGACTCCGTCTCAAGAAAAAAAAAAAAAGAGTGTGTAGTGAGAAGAGAAGGGGCTAAAAGGACCTTCCTTGACCCATTAGAGCCAGTAAAGGAGAGAGCCAAGAAAGAGCAGGGAAGGAACTACCACAGGTGGACAGAGTTTGGAGAGAACAAGGTTAAAACATCAAGAGAAGAGAATTTTGAGCAGGAGAAAATGGCCAAATGTCAGTGCTGCAGAGATGTTAAATAAAAGAAAGACAGAAAGTGCCCTGGGTGTGCCAGTTATGACTTTGGTGAGAGCATTGTCAGTGAATGTCAGAGACAGATGCCAGATGACAGTGGAGTGAGGAGGACAGACAAACGTGTGAGGCCTGGCTGCTAAAGGAAGGAGAGGGAATAGCTATAGGAGAGGGTTAAGGAAGGTGTTCTGGACATTTCTTCCTCCCATCACCCACTATTAGCCCCCTGCCCTGCCACCTGCCTGTACCTCCCCACTTACTCTTAGCAAACTATTCCTACTTACCAAAAAGCAGGACGGAGTCCCTGCACGTGGAATGGCTCCATGCCCACAGAAGTACCTCCTTTACAGATCCCGAAAGACCATACACCCTGACCCTGCACCCTCATTCTCAGATCTGCCTGTCAGGCCTCCTGGAGGGCCCTTTGCTCCTCCCTCAGAATCTCTACCCTTAACAGGGAGGACGGCAAGAGGGGAAAGATAATAATTTTCTTTCTTTTTTTTTTTTGAGATGAAGTTTCGCTCTTGTCACCCAGACTGGAGTGCAATGGCACAATCTCGGCTCACTGCAACCTCCACCTCCCGGGTTCAAGCGATTCTCCTGCCTCAGCCTCCCCAGTAATCCCAGTAGCTGGGATTAGGCACCTGCCGCCACACCCGGCTAATTTTTATATTTTTAGTAGAGACTGGGTTTCACCATGTTGGCCAGGCTGGTCCCAAACTCCTGACCTCAGGTGATCCACCCACCTCGGCCTCCCAAAGTGTTGGGATTACAGGCATGAGCCTCCGCGCTTGGCCACGATCATGATTTTCTTTCAGAATTAGAGCTTTACAATGGTCAACTCCTTTATTCAGCCAACATTTATTAAGCACTTGCTGTTTTCCTAGCTCTGAGCTGAACACTAGGAATAGTTCATTGGAAAGATGGCCTCTGCTTTCCAGGACCCCACAGTCTAGTTGGGGAGGTAGAGGAATCCACAATCACAATACCAGCTAAGAGGCACCGTGATGAGGGAGGCCCAGGAAGTCACAGGAGAACTGAGTGGAGGCCCTTAACTCTGAAGTAAAGACCAGGAAGGCTTTCCCCACATGTACAGTGGGAACAATACCGCAGCATCTGTGGCCCATCCCTCCCTGTTTTATGCTTACCTGGCTCATTCCTTCACCTTCATGAGGTTACAAGTTCCCTGGCAGCTCTTACATTATTTATCTATTTCTCTCTTTTCTTACTAGTGCCTTGTAGATAAATAGGTGAGCATCAAATATTAACAGAATGAATTAATGTATATTAATAAAGGTGAGGAGAGGATCTGGAGTGATGTAATTACTGTTCAACATTTTAAATAACAACGGATATGATTTATTAAGTGCTCATTACGGTAGGTACTGTGCTGAACAGTATATAATTTATTTCAATTAATCCTCACAAAACTCCACAAGATATAGGTAATACTAATAATTCCCGTTTAAAAAATACAAAACTTGGCTGGGTGTGGTGGCTCACATCTGTAATCTCAGCACTTTGGGAGGCCGAGGTGGATAGATCACCTGAGGTCAGGAGTTTGAGACCAGCCTGGCCAACATGGAGAAACCCCATCTCTACTAAAAATACAAAATTAGCCGGGCGTGGTGGCACTTGCCTGTAATCCCAGCTACTCAGGAGGCTGAGGCAGGAGAATCACTTGAACCCAGGAAGCAGAGGTTGTGGTGAGCCGAGATCGTGCCACTGTGCTCCAGCCTGGGCAACAAGAGCAAAACTTCGTCTCAAAAAAAAAAAAAAAACTCAAAAAAATTACCAAAAATTTGTCGAGAAGATGTGTAAGTTGCCAAAAGTAACACTGCTGATATGAGGTAGCGCCAAGATTTGAACCCAGGCAGCTCAATTCCAGAACCAGGACAGTCTCTATGGGGCACTGCCTCTAATGCCCAGGAGAATTCTTCTGGAAAGTTAAGTTGATTATAATTTTTTTTAATGTATGAATCATTTCATATTTTAAAATTAAACGTACCCGCCTCCAGGCTCCCATCGCTTGATGTCTGTAATTATTACATTAACTGCTTCGACATCTGTCACATCCTGGTTTGTCATATGGTGTGTGTGACTTACTCCCATATTGCACTAGAAATTCCTTAGGTACAGGAATTGTATCTTTGAAACACATCAGCACAATAGCTTGCATCTTAGTGGGTACTCAATATGGTTTTGCAAGAAAAAATTCCATGTCACCATTATGACAGACTTTTTTCATTATAATGAAGATGTTTTCTGTGTTAATGACTCCAGCCTTCAGCTACGTTTGTATGGCAAAGATGGAAGAAAGGGGAAGGACAACTTATATGTGCCGAATGCTATGCTGGGGCCTTTAGACATGTTCCCATTTAACCTTCACAACAGCCCTGTGGAGTACGTGGTATTGTCTGAATCTGAGAGATGGGGAAAGAATTCCTTAGAGAAATCACTGAGTTATAACCAGTGGAGCTGGATTTGAAATGTAGGTCTGTCTGACTGCAGCTTCTTTCTGTGCATTGCCTAGATGGATGATGCTGACCCTGAGGAAAGAAACTATGACAACATGCTGAAAATGCTGTCAGATCTGAATAAGGACTTGGAAAAGCTATTAGAAGAGATGGAGAAAATCTCAGGTAGGATGTGTGAACCCAAAAGTATCTGAGACAGGTCTCAATCAATTTAGAAAGTTTATTTTGCCAAGGTTAAAGATGCACCTGTGACACAGCCTCAGGAGGTCCTCAGGACATATGTTCAAGGTTGGCAGGGTACAGCTTGCTTTTATACATTTTAGGGAGAGAGAATACATCAGTCAGTACCTGTAAGATGTACACTGGTTCGGCCGGGCGCGGTGGCTCACTCCTGTAATCCCAGCACTTTGGGAGGCCGAGACGGGTGGATCACGAGGTCAGGAGATCGAGACCATCCTGGCTAACACAGTAAAACCTCGTCTCTACTAAAAATACAAAAAATTAGCTGGGTGTGGTGGCAGGCACCTGTAGTCCCAGCTACTCGGGAGGCTGAGGCAGGAGAATGGCATGAACCCGGGAGGTGGAGCTTGCAGTGAGCCGAGATGGTGCCACTGCACTCCAGCCTGGGCGACAGAGTGAGACTCTGTCTCAAAAAAAAAAAAAAAAAAGATGTACATTGGTTCGATCTGGAAAGGTGGGACAACTCAAAGGGGGATGATTCCAGGTTATAGATAGATTTAAATTTTTTCTGATTGGCAATTGGTTGAAAGAGTTATGGTCTAAAGACCTGGAATCAATAGAAAGGAATGTCTGGGTTATGACGGTAAGGGGTTGTGGAGACCAGAGTTTTATCATGCAGATGAAGCCTCCGGGTAGCAGGCTTCAGAGGGAATAGATTGTAAAAAGCTTTCTTATCAAACTTAAGGTCTGTGTTCATGTTAATGCTAGTCACCTTTTCCTGAATTCCAAAAGAGAGGCAGGTATAACGAGGCATACCCAATTTCTCCTTCTCCTCACGGCTTGAACCAACTTTGGCCAAGCAATACACCCACCTTGGCCTCCCAAAGTGTTGGGATTACAGGTATGAGCCAGCGTGCCTGGCCAAATAGCTTTTATTCACTAGAGCAGACTTTAGAAAATTTCTCCTTAGAAATGTTTGCAATTTTTTGCCTATGTACTTTTGAACTATGAATAGCTGAGACACGTATCAGTTAATTTAGAGAGTTTATTTTGCCAAGTTTGGGGACACTTATCTGTGACACAGCCTCAGGGGGTCCTAATGACATGTGCCCAAGGTGGTCAGAGCACAGCTTGGTTTTATTTATTTATTTATTTATTTTAAGACAGAGTCTCGCTCTGTCGCCCAGGCTGGAGTACAGTGGCGTGATCTCGGCTCACTGCAAGCTCCGCCTCCCGGGTTCATGCCATTCTCCTGCCTCAGCCTCCCGAGTAGCTGGGACTACAGGCGCCCGCCACCACGCCTGGCTAATTTTTTGTATTTTTAGTAGAGACGGGGTTTCACTGTGTTAGCCAGGATGGTCTTGATCTCCTGACCTCGTGATCCGCCCGTCTCGGCCTCCCAAAGTGCTGGGATTACAGGCGTAAACCACCGCGCCTGGCCTTGTATTTTTAATAGAGACAGGGTTTCACCATGTTGGCCAGGATAGTCTTGATCTCCTGACCTTGTGATCTGCCCGCCTCAGCCTCCCAAAGTCCTGGGATTACAGGTGTGAGCCACCGCGCCTGGCCTTTTTTTTTTTTTTTTTTTGAGACGGAGTCTTGCTCTGTCGTCCAGGCTTGAATGCAATGATGTGATCTCAGCTCACTGCAACCTCCGCCTCTCGGGTTCAAGTGATTCCCCTGCCTCAGCCTCCTGGGTAGGTGGGATTACAGGCGCCTGCCACCATGCCCAGCTAATTTTTGTATTTTTAGTAGAGACGAAGTTTCACCATTTTGGCCAGGCTGGTCTCAAACTCCTAACCTCAGGTGATCCACCTGCCTTGGCCTCCTGAAGTGCTGGGATTACACGCGTGAGCCACCACGCCCAGCCAGCAAACAGTTTTATGTAGTGAAAAATCTATCAATATTTTCCTTTCTGATTTATTGCCATTATTTTGACACCTAGAAAGTCTTTCCTCAATCTGAGATCAGTGAAATATTTAGTTGTATTTTCTTCTACTTTTCTCCGTATTCCTTTTTAACATTTAATCCTAACCCATCTGGCATGCCAAATGACCTACGCTGCGTATTGCTTTTTTTTTTTTTTTGAGACAGAGTCGCGCTCTGTTGCCCAGGCTGGAGTGCAGTGGCACAATCTCGGCTCACTGCAAGCTCTGCCTCCCGGGTTCACGCCATTCTCCTGCCTCAGCCTCCCGAGTAGCTGGGACTACAGGTGCCCGCCACCATGCATGGCTAATTTTTTTTGTATTTTTAGTAGAGATGGAGTTTCCCCGTGTTAGCCAGGATGGTCTCAATCTCTTGACCTCATAATCTGCCTGCCTTGGCCTCCCGAAGTGCTGGGATTACAGGAATGAGCCACCGCACCCAGCCGCATATTGCATTTTTATATAAATCTGCTACAGGCTGGGCACGGTGGCTCACACCTGTAAACCCAGCACTTTGGGAAGCCGAGGCAGGAGGATCACAAGGTCAGGAGTTTGAGACCAGCCTGGGCAATATGGTGAAACTCCATCTCTAATAAAAATACAAAAATTAGCTGGGCGTGTTGGTGGATGCCTGGAATCCCAGCTACTCAGGAGGCTGAGGCAGGAGAATCACTTGAACCCAGGAGACGGAACTTGCAGTGAGCCGAGATCATACCATTGCACTGCAGCCTGGGTGACGGAGCGAGACTCTCTCTTCTGTGATAGTCCCTGGGCATAGAGGGAGGGTGTTTGTATCGTTTTAGCAGCAGGGCATTTGCAGTGTAACAGATCCGGGCCCAGTGCGATGCCAAATGAGGGAGATTCATATCTTTGGTCATCTGCAGAATACCATGATTTTAGTTTCCTTGGAAGCAAAATGAGGGGAGATAAGTTTGACAATTATAAGAGTAATTTGTGCATTAGAACAGAAAAAGGAACCTATTCCATTAGGGCACCAACGAAAAATATGAGGAAAAGTTACAATCTGGTCCTCTCTAGAGGATTATTGTAGCCAAGAAACAATGATTTAATTTGCACTCAAAAAAACGTTATGGCTGGGCGCAGTGGCCTGTAATCCCAGCACTTTGGGATTTTATTTATTTATTTATTTATTTTGAGACAGGGTCATACTCTGTCACCCAAACTGGAGTGCAGTAGTGCAATCTTGGCTCACTGCAACCTCCACCTCCCAGGCTCAAGGGATCCTTTTTTTCATCTCAGCCTCCTGAGTAGTTGCAACTACAGGTGCACACCACCATGCCCAGCTAAATTTTGTATTTTCTGTAAAGACAGGGTTTCAACATGTTGCCCAGTCTGATCTCAAACTTCTGAGCTCAAGTGATCCACCCACCTCAGCCTCCCAAAGTGCTGGGATTATAGGTACCAGCCACCTTGCCCGGCCAGCCACCTTCTTGTATCCTCACATAGAGCCTCACATATCCTTGCATAGAGTGAGAGTGAGCTCTTGTGTCTCTTCTTTAAGGGGTGCTAATCCCATTCAGGAGGGTCTACCCTTAGGACCTAATCATCTCCAAAAGACCCGACCTCCTAATACCATCACGTCGGGGGTTAGGATTTCAACAGGTGAATGTGGGAGGGACACATTCAGTCCATAACATGTGTGCCAGGCAGTTTACATATATCACCCATTTAATTCTCACAGTAAGCCATGAGATTGGTAGGGTCTCCAAAGATGAGGAGACTGAGATTTATGTATATATAACCTCCACCTTCTGGGTTCAAGCGATTCTCCTGCCTCAGCCTCTCTAGTAGCTGGGACTACAGGCACCCACCACCACACCCGGCTAATTTTTATATTTTTAGTAGAGATGGGCCAGGAACACTGGCCATGTTGGCCAGGATGGTCTCAATCTCTTGATCTCGTGATCTACCCCCCTTGGCCTCCCAAAGTGCTGGGATTACAGGCGTGAGCCACCGCACCCGGCCGAGATTGATACATTGCAGACACTTGTTCCAGGTCACAGAGTCGTCAGGTGGGGAGCTGGGAGGCGTACTCTGCTCTGGCCCCAGGTCCCTGCTGCACCTGCTGTCCAGGTAGTCTGCGGCCTCCCTGCACCGGAACGATCTGGGATGCTTGTGAGGATTCCACAAAGAGGAATTTTAAGGGGATGTGTTTGCTATGTACAGTTGGTTGTCATGCAGAGGGGAGATGACCTTTGTTCTGTATAGTTGCAGAGGGCTGAACCACACCAGCCGGTGGACTATGCAGAGAAAAAGTTGGAGGTGGGATTTCTGCACACACTTCTTTGAGTTCACACAAGAAGCATGTGTTCACCTATAGGCCCAGGGAATGCTACCTTCGAGTTGCTGTCAGAGGGAAAGAGCAAGAGAGCCCATCAGTGCATTGGTAGATGGTCAAGGACACCTTCCCAAGAGGAGAAGCCCCAGGCCTGGGCCTCAACGAAAGCATAGAGGTGCCCAGGTGGAGGTGGGCAGGCATCCCAGGCCACTGAACATAAGGTGACATGAGGTTTGGGTCTTGCAGGACTGGAAACAATCAACTCTACCTGAGTGTGTGAGCTTGGGTGGATGACTCCTTAGGGGTCACCTGCAGCCATTGGCTGTGAACTGCTTGTAGGTAAGGAGCTGCGGTTTGCTCTAATTCTCCTCACATTTCGTATCAGACCAGCCTCTAGTTTTTTACATCATGTCTGGTGTATCCAGAAGTTATGCCTTGCATGAGACTAGGAAGCGTCACTATGGATGTTTGTAGGGAGTTTTTATGAGCCTGTAACAAGTAGCCTACCAGCTGTCTCTCCCTAGAGTAATTGGGTGCCTCAGCAGGATCTGGGCCTCCAGATGCTGAGCCCAGCTGGAGGCATCTGACCCTTCTGGGGCACCCCAGAGCTGCAGCCCCTCCCTGTGGCCTGACCAGTCCTGTCTGCTTGTTGCAGTGCAGGCGACCTGGATGGCCTATGACATGGTGGTGATGCGCACCAACCCTACGCTGGCCGAGTCCATGCGTCGGCTGGAGGATGCCTTCGTCAACTGCAAGGAGGAGATGGAGAAGAACTGGCAAGAGCTGCTGCATGAGACCAAGCAAAGGCTGTAGGCCCCACTGGCCCACCACAGCTGCCATGCCACCCTCTGCCCGTATGAAGAGGTCACTGGGGGATGGAGCTGGCACCCACATGAATAGCTGTATGCACTGTACTTGTTTCTTAATAAACTTATTTTTAAGCACAGCCCGAGGACCTCTTCTCTCCTGTGCCATGATCCACCCAGCTGCATATCAAACCTTGTGAACAAAACACAACAAGTGCAAGCTGCAGGTGCTTTCGGTGAATTAAAATGTATTTGGTGCCAGTGGTGCTGAACATAGAATAAAAAACAGAAAAAGGGCCCAGACAGGGACATCCAGGCTGGAGGTTGGAGTGGAGCACAGTCAGATGTATTCACTTTTCTAGCATGGGTTTCAAAGTGCGTAAGGGGAGAAAACGCATCATGGATTGTGCTGTGCATCCTGGACACCGTGCGAGGTGCTCATAGCTGTGATCTTGTCTCCCACAACTCTCTTGGGTGACAGACGTCCACTGTCCACATTTTATAGACAAGGAGAAAGGGAAGTCAAATGTCTCGTCCAAGTCTACACAGCTAAAAAGGGGCAGAACTAGGGTGACGCTCAGGCCTCATTTAGAGATCGGGGGTTGGCGAGAAGTGGGGTGGGCTTCTGGAGGGGCTGGGAGAGCCCCACAAGGCTGCAGAGGGTGGTGAGCCCGGAGTGGGCCTGGCCTGGTGTGGGCTGGGGGTATGGGCAGGAGCTGCAGACAGCAGGGCTGCACCAGCGGACCAGTTTCAGAGGCAAGGGTTCTAGGCCCTTGAGAATCCACAGTGCCAAACAGACCCAGATAGCTACGGGGTTGGTACCTGGGGAGGCCTTAGGACAGGCAGAAAGTCCCAGAGGCGAGGGCGTTGCCTGGGGACGTTTTTGCTCCCTGTCCTGCTGACAGAGCATAGGAAGTGTGAATGTTTTCTACCCCCTCCTCTCTCGGCTCAGCAGAGCTCCAGCGAGCCAAGTCCTTGTCTGTGGAGACGCATCAGTCCCTGGCTCTAGGGAATAGGGAGTCCCACAGACAGGGGGGTGTCAGCAAGCTGAGAGGGTCTGTAAGTAGGTACGGAATTGAGTCAGGAAACAGTCTGGGTGTGGAGTGAGGGGCAGAAAGAGGCTGAGGGAGTCTGGGCTTCAAAATAATCGACAACCTTTAAAGCAGAAGGGGAAAGTTGTCCAGAAACAAGAGCAGGAAGTTCCGATCCCAGCCCCTTCCCTGAGCCCCGGCCTCTCAGGCCCATCCCAGGAGGGTCTCCCTGGAGAGCAGCGAAGCAGCTTTGGTTCTCTGCCTGCCACTCAGAGTGAGGTCTGCAGCCGGTCCTCAGGGGGCAGAGTCAGGATGAATGGACTGAGGACCCCGGTGCTCCCCAAGGGGAAGGGCTGCAGCTCCTTGGCCTGGAACTGGGCAGTCCCCCCAGAGACCGTGAAGGTGGCAGTGACCTGGGGGTTGAGGCAGTAAATGGTGTTGCCCAGGGTGGTGCAGTGCAGTGGGGCGGGGGCGGGCAGGGGCAGGGAGGCAGCCCTGCTCCAGGAGCCGGTCACTGTGTTGTAGCGCATCACGGCGGCGCCCACGCCCCGCAGCAGGTCGAAGCGGTACAGGAAGCCCCCCAGTGCCACGATGTCGCTGGAACGCCGGTGGCTGGCACTGTATGGGCACTCGTCCCAAGCATCCTTCACGGGGCTGTACCTGAGCAGGCGGTAGAAGAGGTGACCCCCGGTGACGTAGATGTCCCCACGGCAGGCCACAGCCTCGTGGGCCACAGGGAAGGTGCCTGCGGGGAGTGGCGCGCGTGGGGTCCAGGCGTCTGTTCGCGGGTCGTAGCACTCCATGCTGTACAGGCATTCGCCACCGATGGCATAGAGCAGCCCGTCCAGGGCCACCAGCTTGAGCTGGGCTCGGGCCTGCTGCATGGGCCGAACCTGGCTCCAGATGTTGGTCAGAGGGTTGTAGCAGAAGACCTCGTTGGAGCAGACGGCCTTGGCACCGGAGCCACGGATGCCCCCCGCCAGAAACAGGTAGTTGTGCATGGTGCAGAGACCGCAGCCCCGAAGCGGGGCCTCCTCGGGCACCTGGGTCAGGGGCCGCCAGGTGTTCTCCCGGGGGTTGAACACATGCAGGTGCGCAGGTAGAGGCAGGGACACAGGGGCCGCCGCAGGAGGCTCCTCGCCACGAGGGCCCCTGGGGAGCCCTGAGCGGCCCCCCTGGTAGAGGCTGGGCAGTACGAGGACGCCCAGCACCGCCCGGCCCCGGCCGGTCCGCAGGCTGAGGATGCGCTCGCGGTCGGCCGCGCTCAGCCGGCGGTAGAGGCACGGGTCTCCCAGCACTCGCAGCAGGTTGTCGCTCATCAGCGCGTAGGTCTCCTGCGCCAGGCCGGGCTCTCCGTGCTGCTGGGCAAAGGCCAGCACGTCCAGGCAACTGCCCAGGTCCAGCCGCCGCCGCAGGGCTGCCGCCGTGGCGGGCTCCAGGGCCCGGGAGCTGGGCTTCCGGGGCCCCTCCACCACCCCCCAACCCCCGGGCCTCTGCAGAAACACCATGAGCTTCCGGGCCTCCTCCTGCTTTTCCGTGAGCGCCCCGCTGCGGCCGGCAGGGCTGCCCCCCTCCCCCGGCGCCTCCCCTTGAGGGTCCCCCGAGGCGGCCGGCCTGACCTCCTGCTCCGAGCTCGGGGCGATTTCGCACCTGCTGCGTTTCCGTAGCTGGGGTACCGGCTGTGAGCGCCTCGCAGAGGAGGAGGCCGCGGGGCCAGGCGGCCTCTGCGCGGGGGGCTGTGCGGGGCCCCTGGGCATCGCGGCTTGGGGCAGCGGGTCTAGACTTTTCTCCCTGGTTCCCTCTCCTCTTAGGCCTGGGGGAGGGTCTGGGCTGGGCGATCCGTTGGTCTCGGAGCTTCTTGGCTGTGGCTGACCTCCAGCCTCAACCAGGCCCCCTGTACCTGTCCCTATGACTGTCCCCACTGAAGAAGAGGGGCCGTGTCTGTCCTCAGAGTGTGTGGAAGTGCTGGGACCCACGGGGCTCCCGGGAACCGCCCTCGGGACACTCCCTTGGGGCCTGTCTTGCCTGGGGAAGGGGTGGCTTCTAAGAACCATGGCAATAAGGTTTCCCCAGCTGGCTGAGACCTGCCCCTCCTGGTAGCGCCTGGGGAGAGCCACACTCTCCTGAGGCTTTGACCCGTCAGCTGGGGCAGGGGATGCGGCTGGGGTTGGGGTTGGGGCTGAGGTGGGGGCTGGGGCAGGGGATGCGGCTGGGGTTGGGGCTGGAGTTGGAGCTGGGCTTAGGGCTGGGGTTGGGACTGGGGTTAGGGCTGGGGATGCGGCTGGGGTTAGGGCTGGAGTTGGAGCTGGGCTTAGGGCTGGGGTTGGGACTGGGGTTAGGGCTGGGGATGGGGGTGTGAGGGTTGGGACTGGGACTGGGGCTGGGGCTGGAGTTGCGGCTGCAGCTGGACTTGGGGCTGGGGCTGGGGTTGAAGTTGGAGCTGAGGTTGGAGCTGGGGCTGGGGCTGAGGTGGGGGATGAGGTTGAGGTGGTGGCTGAGGTTGGTGCTGAGCTGGGGGATGAAGCCAGGGCTGGGGCTAGGACTGAGGCTGGAGCTGAAGTTAAGACTTGGGCTGAGGCTGAACTTGGGGCTGGCGCCGCTCTGAGATTTTCGCCCACGGAAGGATCCTGGGTAACCTCCAGGGGCAAAAAGTCTGAAGGAGAGGGGAGAGTCAGGGCTTCAGGTGGGAACCCCGGGCCGGGAGCTGCGGGCGGGGAGGCGGAGCGCGGGCGAGGCTCACGGCTCCGGGAGGGCGCGCGGCTGTGGCCGGCTGCAGCCGGCTTTGCTTGCTCCGGGGGCCGGGTGGGCCCCAGGTCAGCGGCAGGACTGTTATCTCGGGAGCTGTCAGCCCCGGCCTCGCCGGCATCGTAGGCCCCTGTGGCACCCGGCCCTTGGGACGAGAGTGGGCGACCTTGAGGCGGACTCTCTAGCCAGGGGCGCGTGGAGTCTGGGGCTGGGCCAAAGCTCCGGGTGCCCGGGACCTCCCTGCTGACCCAGGGCCAGCCTCCTCCGGGGGCAGGGACCCCCGAGGCCTCCCTGCTCCAGCCACCCTTGGCCCCAGAGCCTTCCGTCTGAGACCCAGGCTGCAGGGCGCGGGGAGCGGGCAGCGCCGGGAGTGCGGGCTCCTGGGCGAGTGGGGGTCCTGTGGGGAGGCCGCGCGCGTGGGCGTCCAGGGCGGCGGCCCCGTCCACCGCGTCCCACACGCTCCCCGCGGCGCCCAGGCGGAGCGGGTCCAGTTTCCGGGGGCGGCGGGCTCTGTCTCCCGAGCCAGCGTCCATCCGCCGCCGCCGGCCCCGGCCTCTCCCCATCGAGCCCGAGGGCCCCGCGCCCGCCTGCCAGGGGCCAGTGTCCTGTTGCCCCGCGGGGCCTGCGGCCTGGCGAGAGGACGCCCTGACACCACCTGTCTCCGCCTCCGCTTCGCTGCCAGGGCTCCGAGGAGTGAAGTGGATCAGGAGGGGGGCGGACATCCCCCCTGCTTCGCTCCTGCCCAGGAGGGCAGTGCCTGGCCTGGGAGGCTCCTTTCCTTCCGCTCGGGGGGCCGCGGGGGTGGCACTGCCCCGTTGCTGTCCTAATGCCTCTCTGCGGGCCTCCTCGACAGCCGTCTTGAGTGGAAGCCGGGCCATGGCGGCCAGGCCCCCGCCCGGCGCTGCAGCAGGGACAGGGCTCTGCTGGCCGCGTCCTGGGGGCTCTGGTTTCCCCTGCCCTGGGCTCTGCCCCTCGCTGCCATCACTGACCTTAGACTTCGGTTGCAGGGCCAGCTCAGCTCCTCCTGCCTGATGAGGTTGAGCCCCGAGGGCTGTGGACACCGGTTCTGCCGCCTCTTGATCGTGCCCGGAGCCAAACCAGTGTAAGGCCAGCGCTGTGGCAGCCACCACAGCCAGCGCCAGGAGGGCCAGCACAGCACTATCCCAGTCATTGTCACTGTCCCAGTCCCAGCCCCAGAGGGGACCATCTGGCTCCAAGGTGCCCTGGATCATGGTTCAGGGCTGCAATAGAGGCCTGATGGCAGGCTGGCAGTGCATGCAGAGCACAGAGGCCTGGGCTGAGGCACCGGCCAGCGCCTGCCCCAAGGGCTGCCCAGTTAAGGTGGACCAGTCCTCCAGGGCCTGGGAATGGTGGGGTCTCTGCTTGCACTCAGGCCTGGGGGTGTCAGTAGGGCCTGGCTGCAGATATCAGGAGACAGCGAGGCTTATGGCAGGATAGGAGCCCAGGGTCTCTGCAAGCACCCCACCAGCTCCTGCCCTCTTCTCCTCCTCGTAGGCCCCAGGGTCCTCAGGCAGCGTTCCTGAGCTCTGTGCTGTCATCACAGCCAACCTGCTTCTGCCTGGTAGACCCTCACACCCCTAAATTTATTCCACACCCCACAGTCCCTCCTCTCAGCCTGGGCCCAGCTTCAGGGGGCTTGGCAGGGAAGGGTTACCCACAGGGAGATGTTATCTCTAGCTCTAGCAATGTGATGTGGCCCTGATGAAATCACCAGAAACCGGAGAGGCTGATTCCACTGTGGGCCAGCAGGGGAGGGGTGGGGGCCGTGCACGGGAGGGTGCAGGCTGTGCCTGACGGTGGTCTCTCAGGCTGAAGAGGGAGACCCTGGACACGGGTCCTGGCAGTGAGCATTATCATTGCAGGGGTGCTGTGGAGGTTTGTACTGGGGCACAGGGAGGGGGCATAGAGAGGAGACTGAGGCTCCCATAGCTCCTCCTCCAGCAGCTTTTGGACTCCTTACTCTGGGTTTACCAGACATGGGATAGGGTTATCAAGTCAAGAGAAAAAAAAAATTAATGGGATAAATAAAATCCAAACATATTTCTCTCTTTATGGCCAGGCTTATTTCAGCCCACCTAGACCTTCTAGGATCTCCTGGACCCCCTGCGCCCATCGAGAGTGTCTTGACTGCCCAGATGAGACTCTCACTGTGCCCCTGGAGAACCCTGAGCCCAGCCTGCCCCCTACTCCAGTTACCGCATCAGCCAGCACCTGGATCCCTTAGAAACCACCCCCCTCTGGCCCCAGGTGCTCTAATAGCCAGACTCTGGGTGTCTTCATCTCAGTCCTCAGCCTTCCCTTATCTGAGCTGAGGACTCGCCCTCGAGACCACATCCTGGCTGGTACCTCCTAGCCCTGGCTCAGGCCGGCATGTAGGTACTTCTGTTGGATGTGAGCACTTGCTTCCTGAGGGAGAAGCCTGGGCTCCTCCACCTGCTCCTTGCTTAATCCCATCTCAGGAGTGTCTCGGGCCAGGTGCCAGGTGAGGCTCAGACAAGAAAAAGAGCCTGGAGTCCCTGGGACAAAGGCAGGGCTCCCTGGAAAGTACCGTGTGTATTTTTCCTTCCTCTGGGACACAGCAGGCCTGGGGATTTCTCCCTTACTCAAGCAGCAAGGAGATGGCCTAGGAGTGTCCCTGGCACCCAGCCTGAACCCTACTGAGCCTCAGGTAACTCACCTCCCAGCTCCCCCTGGGACTATTAGATGACAGGGAGAGGGTGAGGGTGGGCCCCATGCCTTAAGGTGGACCTCAAGTTGAGGGAAGGCTTTCTAGACCGTGCCCTTATTCTCTGTCCCAGTCTCAGGCTCTGCCTCTTGGTTAAGTTTGGGGTCCAGAAACCTTCAGAGGATGGAGATGACACCCATAAATATTAGAGACTGAGTAGGGGGCGGGAAGCGGTGGCGGCAGCGCACCCCCGGGGTGCAACTGCCCTGGAACTCCAAGTGGTGGCTTCAAAACTGGATTAAAATTTATTTCCGCGAAACCCTGGAGTCACGGTCCGGCGCCGACTGGCGTTTTCTGCCGTAGACTGAGAACGCGTCAGGGATGGCTCCGTTGGCAGCGCGCGCGAGCGCCCCCGGGCCGCGCCTGGAGGGTTGACAGCGACTCGCGGGCGAACTGTGAACCCGCAGCCCCTGGGCTCCGAGCGCAAACCTGGCGACTGGGAGGGCCCGGGGAGCGGGTGAGCCAGCGCCAGCCCCGCCGGCCCCAGGAGCGCGAATTTCTCTACATTTCCGGCTGTGGCCGCAGTTGGAGGATGGGATCAAAACGGGCAAAAAAGTGCGACCTGGGCCGAGGTGTCGGATCGCCTCGAGGTGGGAGGCCGAGGTGTTGGATCGCCTGAGGTCAGCAGTTCGAGACCAGCCTGGCCGACAGGGAGAAACCCTGTCTTTACCGAAAATAGAAAAATTAGCCGGGCGTGGTGGCGGGCGCCTGTAATCCCAGCTACTCCAGAGGCTGAGGCAGGAGAATCGCTTGAACCCGGGGAGTTGCAGTGAGCCGAGATCGCGCCACTGCACTCCAGCCTGGGTGACAGAGCCAGACTCCATCTCAAAAAAAAGAAAAAAAGACACCAGCAAAGGGTTTTTTTCTGTTAATAACTAGGTCCCCCCAACCCCCCAAAAAGGAGGATGGTTAAAAGCAGAAAAGGCAAAAAATAAAGGCTTTTGGCCGGGCGTGGTGGCTCACACCTGTAATCTCAGCACTTTGGGAGGCCGAGGCAGGCAGATCACCTGAGGTCAGGCGTTCAAGACCAGCCTGGCCAACATGGTGAAACCCCTGCTCTACTTTAAAAAAAAAAAAAAATTAGTGGGGCATGGTGCCGGACACCTGTAATACTAGCCACTCAGAAGGCTGAGGCAGGAGAATCGCTTGAACCCGGGAGGCGGAGGTTTCAGTGAGCCGAGATCGCACCGCCACACTCCAGCCTGGGCGACAGAGCGAGACTCTGTCTTAAAAAATAAAATAAATAAACTCTTTTATATTTCAAAATCTGAAGACAAATCACTGTAGTGCAGATAAAATAAAACGTTCATATCATTTTATTATTTTAACGTGTTTCATATTATTTTAACGTGTGACATTAAACAATTTCAGGGCCGGGCGCGGTGGCTCAAGCCTGTAATCCCAGCACTGTGGGAGGCCGAGACGGGCGGATCACGAGGTCAGGAGATCGAGACCATCCTGGCTAACACGGTGAAACCCCATCTCTACTAAGAATACAAAAAAATTAGCCGGGCGCGGTGGCGGGCACCTGTAGTCCCAGCTACTCGGGAGGCTGAGGCAGGAGAATGGCGTGAACGCGGGAGGCGGAGGTTTCAGTGAGCCGAGATCGCGCCACTGCACTCCAGCCTGGGCGACAGAGCGAGACTCTGTCTCAAAAAATAAAATAAATAAAATAAAGTCTGTTATATTTCAAAATCTGAAGACAAATCACTGTAGTTCAGACAAAACCTTCATACCATTTTATTATTTAACGTGTTTCATATTATTTTAACGTGTGACATGAAACAATTTCAGGAAATTGTATTAGGTATTGCGCTCGTGTCTTCTTAGGCGTCCTCATCCCTTTTCACCTCGGAGCTCAGCGTCTTCCTCAGCAGCACTTCCATGTCATCTGCCCCGTGAAATCAGCCTAACGCCGTTTCTCAATGACGTGGATCGCCCTAGGCCACCGCAACCTTCCGGAAGCTCTCTCAGCTCAGTTCCCATTCTCCCACCATCTCTTGGTTCTCCTTCTACCTCACCGGTTGCTAGTCCTCCGCTTCGCAGCTGAAAATGTGCCCGGGGCCTACTGTGGGCCTAGCCAGGCCTGCTTACGCAGTGCAGTTTCCCATGAATGATGCCCAGTCATTATCACATAACCTGTGGCAAGCCAGCAAGATGGCCCTGGTGACAGCAAAAGAAACTGCACTAGGACCTGAATGTAGATCTCAGTCATGTTCCTTACTAACAGCACGTTTTGCAACCATGCGTTAAAGAAACATCTGACTCACAACAAAATTTTAAAGGGTTTATTTGAGTGAAAAGCAATTTATGAATTGGGGAACACCTGACTGAAAGAGCGTTAGTATTCCAGAGACAAAACATCAAGTGCAAGTTTTTATTGGGAAAATGTAGAAGCACAATAAAGAAATTATTTGATTGGTTACAGTTATAGAGTTGCTTTCTTTGGCTTATCCTGTTGGAAAGTCAGTAGTTATATAATCATGATAGTTGGTTACTTATGATTGGGTAGATTAAAATTTATCTCTGTCTAATGGAAGCATTTATCAGAAACAACTCAGCCAGGCATGGTGGCTCACGCCTATAATCCCAGCACTTTGGGTGGGAGGCTGAGGTGGGCAGATCACCTGAGGTCAGGAGTTCAAGACCAGCCTGGTCAACATAGTGAAACCCCATCTTTACAAAAATACAAAAATTAGCTGGGCATGATGGCAAGTGCCTGTAATCCCAGCTACTCGGGAGGGTGAGGTGGGAGAATTGCTTGAACCCGGTAGGCAGAAGTTGCAGTGAGCCAAGATTGCGCCATTGCACTCCAGCCTGGGCAACAGAGAAGACTCTGTCTCAAAAAAGAAAAAAAAGAAATGACTCATGCCTGTAATCCCAGCACTTTGGGTGTGAGGCCGAGGCAGGGCAGATGACTAGTCTTTGAGACCAGCCTGGGCAACATAGCAAGACCTTGTCTCTACTGAAAAACAAACAAACAAAATAATGGCTCAAGTTAAGTTTCACTTATGTTTTCAATTTAAGCAAGGCTGAAGTCACTTACGAGACCTAACTTGTTTTGTCTGCTTAGGGATTCTTCAGGCCCGGTCTCCATTTTAGTTTACTTAAACAGCCCGGGTGCAGTGGCTCACACCTGTAATCCCAGCACTTTGGGAGGCCAAGGCAGGTGGATCACCTGAGATCAGGAGTTGGAGACCAGCCTGGCCAACATGGTGAAACCCCGTCTCCACTAAAAATACAAAAAAATTAGCTGGGCATGGTGGTACTCACCTGTAATCCCAGCTACTCGGGAAGCTGAGGCAGGAGAATTGCTGAACCCAGGAGGCAGAGGTTGCAGTGAGCTGAGATCGCACTACTGCACTCCAGCCTGGGTGACAGAGCGAGACTCCGTCACAAAAAAAAAAAAAAATTTACTTCAACAAATCCCCACTGGGCAAGCTGAGAGGATGACCAGATGGTAGAGCTTTGCTCTCTGTTACCACTGAGTGACGTAGTCACTGGAGTGCAGAGTCGTGTACAGGTGATCACCATCATAGACCTGGGTGGTGGGGTGTTGAATTCTGTAAGTTGTTTAATCCTGATGGCAATCATTTGATGTGAGAGTGGCTGCTGGAAAGTGTTGAAACCCTTGAGAGGATACAATGAAGGAACTGGGTAAACACAATGACTGTAAGAAAAACCACCAAGGACTCAGCAACTCCCTGCAGCTGAGATCCCCAGGAGCCAAGATTTAACCCATTAAATCAACCAACGGCGTCGTCTATCTCATGAGAGACTTACATTTGTTTCTTAAGAGTCTTTAAATTTTGGAAAACAATTTCTAACGTATTGATAAGGAAATTTTCTTATCAAGAACACAAGCTCTTATTTGTTAAGCTCCTAAGGTATCAAGAGCTTCTAGTTTGGAACACTGTTGAGGCTAAGTTGTTCATTTCAGATTGCATTGCATGATGGGGAATTCAAAGTATTGTTCTATGGAAACAAAATAATTTAACAAAGGTTAATCTTTGGAGTAAATTATGACCTTAGCCTTGTTCGTTTTTTTTTTTTTTGACTACCAGTGACTATGATCTTAGTTTTTGAGCCCAGAGATTGCAGCCTCTTCAGATGATGGAATGAAGATGTCAGTTAAAAAAAGACCGGGCGCGGTGGCTCACGTCTGTAATCCCAGCACTTTGGGAGGCGGAGGTCAGGCAGATCACCTGAGGTCGGGAGTTCGAGACCGGCCTGGCGAACATGGAGAAACCCCATCTCTACTAAAAAAAACATATATATATATACAAAATTTTCTTGCTGACAAATTTTGTAACAGAGATAATATGAGTTTATTTGATTAACAAAGCTAGGTAGAATATCCATTTTTACTAAATCACCAATATTCTTATTTATTAAAGATTAATCAAGCCACATGGACTTGAAAAGTATTTGGGTTACTCTTTTTCTGAGAAAATACTTCATATAAACACTTGTTTTTCTTATCTTTTCCTTTTTTTTTTTTTTTTGTTTGAGACAGAGTCTTGCTCTGTCCCCCAGGCTGGAGTGCAGTGGCGTGATCTCGGCTCACTGCAATGTCAGCCTCCTGGGCTCAAGCGATTCTCCTGCCTCAGCCTCCCGAGTAGCTGGGATTACAGGTACGCGCCATCACACCCAGCTAATTTTTGTATTTTTAGTAAAGATGGGCTTTCTCCATGTTGGCCAGTCTGGTCTTGAACTCCTAGTAATCCACCCACCTCGGCCTCCCAAAGTGCTGGGATTACAGGTGTGAGCCTGGCCATAAACACTTTTTTTCTCAGGCTAGTGACAAAAATGTCAGAGATAAGTATTTGTCTGTCTATTTAAGAAAATCAGGAGGCACACTGAAGAAATCACTTGGTTACAGTTATGCAACTTCCTCATTTGGTCTGTCTAGTTGGGAAGTCCCTAGTTACGCAATTGAGCGTTAGCTGGCCGCTTAGGATTGGCTGGAGTTGAGTTTTACTTCTGCCTCACATAACCATTTATCAGAAATGACTCCAGTTAAGTTTCACTTACGTTTTCCATTTAGGCAAGGTTGAGGTCAGTTAGAACGCCTAACTGGTTTTGTCTGCTCAGGGGTTCTTCAGGCCTGGTCTCTATTTTAATATTTAGCTCAGGTAAGGTAATTATGCTGGGGTTTCACAGTAATCTATTATAGTCTGGAAAATTAAGTCTTCCTGGAATACAACAGGACCTCACCGCAGATGTCAAATACGAGTCCACCAGCTTAAGGGTCCCTGGTGAGGATGACAGAAACTTGAGAAGCTACACTTATCAAACATCCCACAACCTAACTCATGAAAGTTGGCTGAGACGCCTAAGTGCTGAGCGTCGGAGGCTGTCACTTGTTTATGATCCACATATCAGAGTGCTTGTTTCTGCCACGTCTCCAGCCCGGGAGTACTGCAGGGCCCTGGGGCTCTTTACCCACGTGCACACCCTCAGTCAGGGGCAGCAAAGTTTTTGTGCGAAGAGCTGGATTGCGGCTGTTTTTGCCTCTGCAGGTCACACAGTCTCTTGCAACTACTCAAGTCTGCACAAAACCAACCTTAAAAAATAAAAGGATGTGGCTGTGTTCCTATAACATTTTATTTTTTATTTTTATTTTTATTTATTTCTTTTTTGAGATGGAGTCTGGCTCTGTTGCCCAGGCTGGAGTGCAGTGGTGGGATCTCGGCTCACTGCAAGCTCCGCCTCCCGGGTTCACGTCATTCTCCTGCCTCAGCCTCCCGAGTAGCTGGGACTACAGGTGCCCACCACCACGCCCAGCTAATTTTTTGTATTTTTAGTAGGGATGGGGTTTCACAGTGTTAGCCAGGATGGTCTCGATCTCCTGACCTCATGATCCGCCCGCCTCGGCCTCCCAAAGTGCTGGGATTACAGGCGGGAGCCACCGCGCCTGGCCCCAATAAAATTTTATTTACAGAAACAGGAGGTGGCTGGACTTGGTGACCCCTGCACTAAGCGGCCCCATCCATTCCCACGGCTTGTGCACGCCTCTCAGTTCAGCATCTCCGACCTGGACCTCTCCGCTACGTCTGCCATGAACATCACTGGGTGGCAGACGACATCTCAAGCCTGCTGTGCTCACATCAGGACTCTTGATTTTCCACTGTGCTGGATGTGGTCCATTGTGTTCAGCTTCCATTCTCACCTCCTTTTGTTTATTTTCCTGTATTTTAGAACCTAAAATACAAATGCGGCAATACTGTGTTTTACAGATCCCCTTGCAGCCACAGTTCCGGGCGAGGCTGTTGGATTCAGTGCAGTTGTGTAAGATGTGAAAGGCAGAAATGACTCGGAGGCCTCCGCCCTGCGCTGACTGCTGGCAGACAGGGCTGTGGACACTCAGCCGTCGCTGAGGGAGGCCTGGGCAGCAGGGGTGCAGCATCAGGATTCCCGGCAGGTTCCTGATCTCAGAATCACAGCTACCCAAGTTTCCTCTTAAGCTCGGTAGTCCCAAAGGCCACCTCTCAGCTATTATACCACCAACTCATCCAGCGATTCTATAATATTCCCCATAATAAATCCATTTCTACCCCTGCCTGATACACTCACCGAACCTCTCTCATCTTCCCCTCCGAAAATCTCTATCACGACTTAGTTCCAAACAGAAGGGAACAGCCACACCAGGAATGTGAACAGGAAAAACATTAACATAGCGAATCGTTACCTAGTAAGATGACGTTAACAGCGGAAGTCAAGAAAAGAGGACACAAAGGGATTCAGAAGCAGCAAATGCAGAAAGATGCCGCGATGGCTGGGCTTCAGGAGCAAGGAAGGGGCCGGGAATGCACAGAGCTGCCAGGGGTGCGTGGCCCAGCCAACCTGGTGCATCAAATTAACTGTCGCATGCGGTTAATACCTAAGAACCCTTTTATTCTTTTCCTGTTTTAGAATTTTTTTGACAATTGAACACATTTTTGCATATGAACTTTAAATTTGTGTTTTCCTATTTTTAACATTGGAAATCTTACTGGAATTAAATATTTATATTCATTTGAGGAGCTGTTTGTTTGTTTGTGACAGAGTCTCGCTCTGTCCCCCAGGCTGGAGTGCAGTGGTGCAGTCTTGGCTCACTGCAACCTCCACCTCCCAGGTTCAAGCGATTCTCCTGCCTCAGCCTCCCTAAGTAGCTAGGATTACAGGTGCCTGACACCAAGTCCGGTTAATTTTGTATTTTTAGTAGAGATGGGTTTTCACTATGTTGGCCAGGCTGGTTTCCAACTCCTGACCGCAAGTGATCTACCTGCCTCGGCCTCCCAAAGTGCCGCGATTACAGGCATGAGCCACAGCGCCCAGTCTCGTCTTCCCATCTTGTTCAGAGGATTACCGGTAGGGTAATGAAAATCGTAAAGCGTTAGCCATCTGAACAGGTAACCTTAACCTGTTCTGTTTTATCAAAAACATAATTTAAATCCAACTGTCCTTTCACACACCCGTGAATTTATATTTTTATGTTTTACTGTTTTTGTTTTTGCTTTTGTTTTTGTTTCGAGACAGAGTTTTGCTCTTGTTGCCCAGGCTGAAGTGAAATGGTGCAATCTCGGCTCACTGAAACCTCCGCCTCCCGGATTTAAGTGATTCTCCTGCTTCAGCCTCCCGAGTAGCTGGGATGACAGGCACGCACCACCACATCTGGCTAATTTTTGTATTTTTAGCAAAGACAGGGTTTCTCCATGTTGGTCAGGTTGGTCTCGAACTCCTGACCTCAAGTGATCTGCCCACCTCGGCCTCCCAAAGTGCTGGGATTACAGGCATGAGCCACCGTGCCTGGCCTACTGTTTTATAACTAAAATTTTCAAGTGAAAAGCCACAAGATCTTTGTGTTGTCTATGTTTTTGTGTCTTTATGTCTATATGTGATTTTAATTTACAAAGAACTCTATTTAATTGGCATAAAGAAAAAAAGCACTTAAATCAAGTAATCTAAGAGCATACAGTGTATACTATTTTTATACTATATTTAAGAAATATAGGGACAAGCACAGTGGCTCATGCCTATAATCCCTGAACTTTGGGAGGCCAATGCAGGAGGATTGTTTGAAGTCAGTTTGATACCAGCCTGGGCAACAAAGTAAGACCTCTTCTCTACAACAAAAACAAAAATAGCTGAGTGTCTCTATTAAAGTATAGATAGATAGATAGATAGAAGAAAATACAAAAATAAAATCATTCTGCAAACTGAGTTCATCATATTACTTCACTCTGTGTCATTCTTTTAAAACCCTGCACCTGCCCAACCTCTGCAAAAGTACAACTGCTAACAAGTAATGCTGGCGCAGCACTTTGACATGATAGGGAACACCTGTGAGACTGATCAAATGAAAGGCCGACTTAACCCAATAGCTACTCCTTCCAAATTTCCTTCCAGCTGCTCAAATGTGGTTCAAATGGTTTTGACACTGACTTAAAATTGCTGGCCATTCTCCCAACATGGCACCAAGTCAACCTGGACAGGAAGGGATAATCGAAACCTAACCACAGGATAATTGATCAGTGATGTCTTCAGAGAATTTTTTTTTTTTTTTTTTGGGGACTGAGTCTCACTATCACCCAGGCTGGAGTGCAATGGCACGGTCTCAGCTTACTGCAAACTCCGCCTCCCGGGATCAAGTGATTCTCCTGCCTCAGCCTCCCAAGTAGCTGGGATTACAGGCACTTGCCACCATGCCCAGCTAATTTTTGTATTTTTAGAGGAAACGTAAAAATTGCCAATATCAAGATGGAGTCACTTGTGTCGAACCCAAACAAAATAAGAGGTTAAGAAGGGGTGGGGGCCTTCATGCACACATGCCTATGAAAAGAACCATGACAAAACTCTCTGAGTGGCTGGACGCGGTGGCTCACGCCTATAATCCCAGCACTTTGGGAGGCCGAGGCGGGCAGATCACAAGGTCAAGAGATCGAGACCATCCTGGCCAACATGGTGAAACCCCATCTCTACTAAAAATACAAAAATTAGCTGGGCATGGTGGCGGGCGCCTGTAATCCCAGCTATTCGGGAGGATAAGGCAGAAGAATTGCTTGAATCCGGGAGGTGGAGGTTGCAGTGAGCCGAGATTGTGCCACTGCACTCCAGCCTGGCGACAGAGCGAGACTCTGTCTCAAAAATATACATATATAGTTATTATATTTTATCTACTACTTTGTGTTAGTTCCTGTTTCATTCCTTTATGTTACTTATTTTTTTTCCATTTGTAAGATATATACTAAGCTTTTTGAATCGTTTCTTCATTAATAATGTAGTCACGAGGCTGGGTGGCTTACTTCTGTAATCCCAGCACTTTGGGAAGCCAAGGCCGGTGGATCTTTCGAGCCCAGGTGTTCAAGGCCGGCCTGGGCAACATGGTGAAACCCCACCTCTCCCAAAAATACAAAACAAGTAGCCGAGTGTGGTGGTGCATGTCTGTGGTCCCAGCTACTTGGGAGGCTGACAAGGGAAGATTGTTTGAGCCTGGGAGGCAGAGGTTGCAGCGAGCTGAGATGCTCCACTGCACCCCAGCCTGGTTGACAGAGTGAGACTCTGTCTAAAATAATAATAATGAAGTCTTTTTTTTTTTTTTTTTGAGATGGAGTCTTGCTCTGTCGCCCAGGCTGGAGTGCAGTGGTGCAATCTCCGCTCACTGCAAGCTCCGCCTCCTGGGTTCACGCCATTCTCCTGCCTCAGCCTCCCGAGTAGCTGAGACTACAGGCGCCCGCCACTATGACTGGCTAATTTTTTTTTGTATTTTTAGTAGAGACGGGGTTCCACCATGTTAGCCAGGATAGTCTCGATCTCCTGACCTCGTGATCCACCCGCCTCGGCCTCCCAAAGTGCTGGGATTACAGGCGTGAGCCACCGCACCCAGCCATAATGAAGTCATCTTAAAATGACTATAAATTTTCCTCAGAACATGTAGGGTCCAGCCGTACGGGGCTTAGTGGGTGTTCTCCCCGTGTGCGGAGATGAGAGATTATAATAAATAAAGACACAAGACAAAGAGATAAAGAGAAAACAGCTGGGCCCGGGGGACCACTACCATCAAGAGGAGGAGACCGGTAGTGGCCCCAAACGGCTGATATTTATTGCATACAAGACAAGGGGACAGGGTAAGGAGGGTGAATCTTCTGAGTGATTGACAAGGTGAAGCATGTCACGTGATCACAGGACAGGGGCCCCTTCCCTTTTAGGTAGCTGAAGCAGAGAGGGAAGGCAGCAAACGTCAGCGTTTTCTTCTATGCATTTCTAAGAAAGATCAAATACTTTAAGACTTTAACTATTTCTTCTACCGCTATCTACTGTGAACTTCAAAGAGGAACCAGGAGTATGGGAGGAGCATGAAAGTGGACAAGGAGCGTGACCAGTGAAGCACCACAGGGAGGGGGTTAGGCCTCCGGATGACTGCGGGCAGGCCTGGAAAATATCCAGCCTCCCACAAGAAGCTGGTGGAGCAGAGTGTTCCCTGACTCCTTCAAAGAAAGGAGACTGCCTTTCGCAGTCTGCTAAGTAACGGGTGCCTTCCCAGACACTGGCGTTACCGCTTGACCAAGGAGCCCTCAAACGGCCCTTATATGGGCGTGACAGACGGCTCACCTCTTGCCTTCTAGGTCACTTCTCACAATGTCCCTTCAGCACCTGACCCTATACCCGCCGGTGATTCCTAGGTTATATTAATGATGCAACAAAGAGTAATATTAAAAGTTAATGACTAATGTCTACACTAATGATTGATAATGTCCATGGTCATCTCTATATCTAATTTGTATGATAACTATTCTTACTGTAACTATTTTCTTTATTATACTGAAACAGTTTGTGCCTTCAGTCTCTTGCCTCGGCACCTGGGTAATCCTCCGCCCACAAGAACACAGCTTTAGCTGCCTCCTGTAGGAGTTCAGTAGGAAGGGAATCTACCTTTGTAGTGTTTGATATGTAGTTTTAAGGAAGGAGACCACCCCTCATATATATGTCTTATGCCCAATTTCTGCCTCCAAAGAAAGAAAAAGTAAAACCTAAAAGACAGAAATAAAATCCACAGGCAGACAGCCCAGTGCCGCGCCCTGGGCCTGGTAGTTAAAGAGGGACCCCTGACCTAACCGGTTATGTTATCTGTAGATTCCAGACATTGCATGGAAAAGCACTGTGAAAATCCCTGTCCTGTTCTGTTCCGTTCTGATTACCCGGTGCACGCAGACCCCAGTCACGTACCCCCTGCTTGCTCAATCGATCATGACCTCTCACGCAGACCCCCTTAGAGTTGTGAGCCCTTAAAAGGGACAGGAATTGCTCACTCAGGGAGCTCGGCTCTTGAGACAGGAGTCTTGCCGATGCCCCCGGCCGAATAAATCCCTTCCTTCTTTAACCTGGTGTCTGAGGAGTTTTGTCTGCGGCTCTTCCTGCTACAGTTTGTAACCAGATTATTTCTGACAAGTTTTGATCCAGGGTTTTTTTTTAAAGATTTGTCAATTTCAAAATATTTGTTTGCTCCTGCTTCCTGTTCTCTCTCTCCCTTTTTTTTTCTTTTTTTAAGACAAGGTCTCACTCTGTCACCCAGGCCGGAGTCTAGTGGTGGGATCACTGCTCACTGCAGGATCCAACTCCCAGACTCAACAGATCCTGCCGACTCAGCCACCGACCCCATAGCTGGGAATACAGATGTACATCATCACACCCAGCTAATTTTTAAAGTTTTTTGTCGAGATGGGTCTCACTGTATTGCCCAGGCTGAGTTTTCTTCTTCTTTTTTTTACATTTTGTTTGCCTAGAATTGTATTTGATTGTAATCAAATCATGTGTCACATCTTTTTTTCAATTTGTGTGATTATTTTGTGGCCCAATACATGATTTTTTTTGCGAATATTTCATGGACTTAAATAGATAAGTCCTCTCTCTACACATAATTAAATGGAGTGTGTGCTTTGCATTATTCAGTTCCTTTATTCCCATCCTTGCTTTTGTCTGCAGATTTGTCCTATTCCAGAATGGGTATACTGAAACTTGGGTAAGGGTGAGGCCAGCGTTCTGGGTGGCCCAGGCTACTATCCCACCCGTGCCACAGAATCCACACAGAGGCCCAGCGGCGGCACTGGGTGGTGGGGAAGGGGGAGGCGGACCCAGGTTGGGGGGGCAGGCAGTCAGTGCGGTTGCCAGGAAGCGGGAAAGGGCCACAATGGGGTCTGGGAGGTGGGCGGGGCGGAGCGGGGATGTCCAGCCACGTCGCTTTGTTTTCCCACGCTAGGAGCTACCACAACAGGTCAGTGCACCTCGGGGCACCGGGTCCCCCACGCAGGCCCTTCCCGGGGCACCCTTTCCCAACAGCACGAAAATCTCCTGCCCCCACCCCACCCCCAGGTGATTCCCTTCACCAAGTCTGGGTCTAGACTTGGCCCCCGCGAGTTCACGTCCCTGCCTAATGCGCCTGGAGTCCGGGTGATGGCCCTGGATCCGCTCCCGGCCCCAAGCTCCACACAGCCGGGAAGGAAGCTCGCGTTTGTTTTGCTGGCGCCAGGGATACGGTCCAGGCCCCGCCCCGCCCCGCGCTGATCCCAGGGTAGTGGGAAAGTGCGCTCCCCAAGAATTTGCGGTGCAGGGGCCGCGGCCACCGCCTTCTGTCCGCAGGTGCTGCGAGCCGTAAGCGCCCCCCACCCGCGCTATGGGCTCGGACGCCTGGGTGGGCCTTTGGCGGCCACACCGGCCCCGCGGCCCCATCGCGGCGCACTACGGAGGCCCCGGGCCCAAATACAAGCTGCCGCCCAACACCGGTAGAAGGGGCAGGCCCCGGGATTGAGGGGTGGGACGGCGCCTGGGGGAGGGAAGGGGAAGAGACCAGGGAGGCCTGCGCTCGGGGCTGAACCGTGCCTGCTAGAGGGGAGAGGGGGTCTGTGCCGGGGGAGGGTCCGTGTTGCAGATGGGGCTTGGGGCTGGGCCCGGCCAGACGCTAACTCGGATGCTCCCAGGCTACGCCCTGCATGACCCGTCGCGGCCGCGCGCCCCCGCCTTCACCTTCGGCGCGCGCTTCCCCACGCAGCAGACGACGTGCGGCCCCGGGCCAGGCCACCTGGTGCCCGCTCGCATGACCGTGCGCGGCACCGACGGCGCCCCCGCCTACTCCATCTACGGCCGCCCACGCCGCTCAGCGCCCTTCCTCACTCCGGGACCTGGTCAGGACCCCCGGGCCCCTGGCCACCCCAACGCCGAACTGCCTCCAGGGAGGCCCACCTGGGAACCCCCGACCTGAACCCCGAGTCCCCCTCGGATACCCTAACACCGCATATTCGGTACCCCCATATCCGGATCTCAAATCCCAAACCCCGAACCCCACGGGGCTTTGATAAATCGTGGCTCAGACTCCCCACTAGTCCCAGGACCCCATCTCGGGTACCCACCAGGCTCCCACGCAGTTCTAGCCCCCCACACCCTTGATCCGCCCCGCAGGCAGGTACTTCCCGGAGCGAGCGGGGAACGCGACGTACCCCAGTGCGCCTCGGCACACCATTGCTCCCCGAAACTGGGGTGTCCAGGCGGAACAGCAGAGCCCAGGTGAGGTCAGAACGGCCCATCCCAGAACTGTGGGCCTTCCCACTCGAGACCGGGGACCGCCCTCCGGGAGCTGGGACCACCCTGCGCCTGTCCGCGGAGACCCACTACCCCCGAGCCCTGCCTCCTCCCCAGGTCCCGCGGCCTATACGGTGCCCTCGCTCTTGGGTCCGCGCGTCATCGGCAAAGTCTCCGCCCCAACTTGCTCCATCTACGGCCGCAGAGCGGCTGGCAGTTTCTTCGAGGACCTCAGCAAGGTGGGGGAGGGGCCGGGGCGGACGCAGGGGGTCCCTGGTCCGCGGCAGTGGAGGCGGCAGCCAGCACCCTCTGCCCTCTCGCAGACCCCGGGCCCCTGCGCCTATCAGGTCGTGAGTCCAGGGGTCTACAAGTCCCGGGCCCCCCAGTTCACGATTCTGGCGCGGACTTCGCTCCCCCAAGACAACACTCGGAAGCCAGGGCCCGCGGCCTACAACGTGGATCAGGTGGCCTGGAGCCCAGGGTCAAGGGTCAGAGTCAGGAGAGTGGGGAGGGCCTGAGGTCGGAGTGATGGGATCAGAGTCCCCGGGGGTCCAGGGGTCCCGGCGCGGAGAGGATGCCGGCCCCGCGAGGTCAGCGGTGTCTCCGGGCCCGCAGCACCGGAAGCCCCGCGGCTGGAGTTTCGGGATCCGGCACTCGGACTACCTGGCCCCGCTGGTGACCGACGCGGACAACTGACCCGCCAGGCGGGAGCGGCCCCACACGTGTTTGCTTAAAGTCTGCGAGTCCGCATCGTGTCCGCCTCTCTCTCTCTCTCTCTGCGCGTCCTGGCGCAAGGCCTGGGGTGGAGCCACGGCTGGGGCCGTGTCCCAACTCCGAACCCAGCGGGGCGGGGCCCGAGCGTCGGGCGAGGCCGGGACCCCAGCGCTGCGCCGCGTCCGAACGTCGAGACCCCACCGAGGGCGGGAGGGGGACTCTCGGGAGCCACAGACGCCCGAGACCCACGCCGGGCGGGACCGGCCAGGGATCACCCCCGCCGACGGCCCCGGGCCCCGACGGCCCGGAAGTTCCGCGTGTCCGGGGGCACCGGGGGATTGGCCGGGGCGCGGCGTGCAAGGCTTCCCGGGGGCGGCGACTGCCGAGCTCCGCCCTCCAGGCGGCCCCACCCGCCTGCCGTCCTGGGGCGCCGCCGCCCCGCCGCCGGCAGTGGACCGCTGTGCGCGAACCCTGAACCCTACGGTCCCGACCCGCGGGCGAGGCCGGGTACCTGGGCTGGGATCCGGAGCAAGCGGGCGAGGGCAGCGCCCTAAGCAGGTACGGGCGGGGCTCAAGTCGCGAGGCGGGGAAGCGGGAGGCAGACACGGACGAGGGCGACACAGACACGGGACCGAGGGGCGGACACCGGAGAGACACGGGAAAGGGGTCGGGACAGGAGCACGTGGCTCAGACACCGACGCCGGGAGGCCGCAGACCCCGGACGTGTCAGGCATCCCCGCAGGCCCGGAGCGATGGCAGCCTTGATGACCCCGGGAACCGGGGCCCCACCCGCGCCTGGTGACTTCTCCGGGGAAGGGAGCCAGGGACTTCCCGACCCTTCGCCAGAGCCCAAGCAGCTCCCGGAGCTGATCCGCATGAAGCGAGACGGAGGCCGCCTGAGCGAAGCGGACATCAGGGGCTTCGTGGCCGCTGTGGTGAATGGGAGCGCGCAGGGCGCACAGATCGGTGCGTGGGGAGGGTTGGGCGTTCCTGACCCCGACTGGGAGGTCAGCCCGAGAGACTTTGGGTCCCTGGGGGTGCGACGGTGCCCCACTACCAGCACCGGCCCCAGGGTGCCCCACCGCTGTGGGCTGCCACCCTCACGCGTACCCCCACATACCAGGGGCCATGCTGATGGCCATCCGACTTCGGGGCATGGATCTGGAGGAGACCTCGGTGCTGACCCAGGCCCTGGCTCAGTCGGGACAGCAGCTGGAGTGGCCAGAGGCCTGGCGCCAGCAGCTTGTGGACAAGCATTCCACAGGGGGTGTGGGTGACAAGGTCAGCCTGGTCCTCGCACCTGCCCTGGCGGCATGTGGCTGCAAGGTTAGAAACCACCTCCTTTCCAGACGGGAGCCTATACCGCACATGCAGCAACCAGTCCATCCACAGGCAGCTCCCAACCTCAAGCCTGGCCCAAAGCCTCCAAGACCCTACCAAGGCTTCTCCCCACCCTGCTCCCCAGCACAGTTCTCCCCACCCCGTTCCCCAGCACAGCGCTTGGGGCCCCTCTGGCTCCAGACCAGGCCCCTTGGAGCAGGAAAAAGATCCACTGATGGAATTCAGACCCCTTTCCCCTTGGGTCCCCAGACAGCTCCCCCAAGGGAGGAGCTGAGGACTTTCCTCCCTCTGCCCCAAGCCTTGTTTCCCCAAGGACAGGTACCAACCTCCTCCCCTACTGACACTTCTCAACCAAGAAAACTTCCTTTCCATTCCCTCACCAGCTGGGCACCCCTATAGCTGCTTAAATACTTTCCAAATCCAGCTGCACTCCTAGCCAGGGAAGGTGAAGGGATGCACAGAGGTGGGGGAGGGGTACTGTGCAGGGTACTCAGCATCCCTGACCACCAGGTGCCAATGATCAGCGGACGTGGTCTGGGGCACACAGGAGGCACCTTGGATAAGCTGGAGTCTATTCCTGGATTCAATGTCATCCAGAGCCCAGAGCAGGTACGGGGCGCCACGGATCAGTCATTAATCCAGGTTGATGATGGAGACCCTGGCCAGAATCACTAAAAGATCACTGGTGGATCATTAGGGTCACTAATGAGAACACTGGTCAAGGTTACTCATGAGTCACTGGGCCTGGGCCGAAATCATCAGTGGAACTTTGATTAGGATCATAAAATGGGAAGTTGGTCAAAATCACAGATGGCTGGCGGGGCACGGTGGCTCACACCTGTAGTCCTAGCACTTGGGGAGGCCGAAGAGGGCAGATCCCTTGAACCCAGGAGTTCAAAACCAGCCTGGATAACACGGCAAAACCCCATCTCTACAAAATAGTTCGCTGCGTGTGGTGGTGCACGCATGTGGTTCCAGCTACTCAGGAGGCTGAGGCAGGAGGATCACTTGAGCCTGGGAGGTCTAGGCTGCAGTGAGCCGGGACGATGCCACTGCACTCCAGCCTGGGCAACAGAGTGAGACCCTGTCCCAGCACTCTGGGAGGCAGAGGAGCCCAGTTGGAGATCAGCCTGGGTAATATAGTGAAACTTGATCTCTACAAAAAAAAGAAGAAAAAAAAAAGCCGCGTGTGGTGGTGCGCACCTGTAGTCCCAGCTACTGGGAAGCTGAGGTGGGAGGATCACTTAAGCCCAGGAGGCAGAGGTCACAATGAGCCGAAATTGTGCCAACTGCACTCCAGCCTGGGCAACAGAGGAAGACTCTTCACAGAAAAAAAAAAAAAAAAAAAAAAAGCTGCTAAGTCATTTACCATAAGTCACTGAGAACAGGGGATGTCTGACCAGATGCAAGTGCTGCTGGACCAGGCGGGCTGCTGTATCGTGGGTCAGAGTGAGCAGCTGGTTCCTGCGGACGGAATCCTATATGCAGCCAGAGATGTGACAGCCACCGTGGACAGCCTGCCACTCATCACAGGTGACCTGACTCCATGGCCTGCTTCTGCATGTTCACAGGCTCCTGACCTCCAAACTCAAGTCAAGGGCCTCTCGTTAGGAGTTACCCGTCACCTGACCGTGTGCCCCCCTACCCCCATCACAAGATGCCTGACCACCACCATGTGGGGTGGCCTGATACTCAACCCACCAGGTGCTGCCACCCCCATAATAAGGGACTTGACCCTCAATGCTCAGGGCCCCTGACCCCAAAGTCGGCATCCCCGAACTCTCCCAAGAAGCTCCAGGTTCTCCATTGTCTCCAACCTCCTCTGCCTCCCCCAAAGCCTCCATTCTCAGTAAGAAACTCGTGGAGGGGCTGTCCGCTCTGGTGGTGGACGTTAAGTTCGGAGGGGCCGCCGTCTTCCCCAACCAGGAGCAGGCCCGGGAGCTGGCAAAGACGCTGGTGAGCGGTGTGGCCTTTCCCTGGGCAAGCGTCTTGATGCGGGCCCAGCCTACCCTTCACCCCTCCCGTCCCCACTGCCTCCCTCCACTCAGCAGTCCTGCCTAACCCCAGTCCCACCCTCTTCTGCCCGAAGTCCCTCCCTCCTTCACGGCTTCCTAACCTGCTGTGACTTTAGAGGTCAAGGCTGGCCCGGCCTGGACCTGGGGAAGCCCTCTGTGGCGTTCCTGCCCCAGACCAAGTACAAGTTCCTCCTGGCCCCATGGCGAGGTGTCGCACTTCACTCGTGTCTCTTCCCCACCCCAATCCTTCCCTGACTTCATGCTGGGGGGCTGGCAACCCAGGGTGCAGCAGGGGCTGGAGTTCGACCAAGAACCGGCTGCAGAAGGCCCCGCCATGGGGGGTCCACGCTGAGCCTCCTCTCCGCAGGTTGGCGTGGGAGCCAGCCTAGGGCTTCGGGTCGCGGCAGCGCTGACCGCCATGGACAAGCCCCTGGGTCGCTGCGTGGGCCACGCCCTGGAGGTGGAGGAGGCGCTGCTCTGCATGGACGGCGCAGGCCCGCCAGACTTAAGGGACCTGGTCACCACGCTCGGTGAGGGGGACGGGGTGTAGGGGAGCGGAGGCGGCGGGGGGTGCTTCCCGCTGGGGCCGCCCCGACCCGGCCGCGCCTAAGACCCGTCCCCGCCCGCAGGGGGCGCCCTGCTCTGGCTCAGCGGACACGCGGGGACTCAGGCCCAGGGCGCTGCCCGGGTGGCCGCGGCGCTGGACGACGGCTCGGCCCTTGGCCGCTTCGAGCGGATGCTGGCGGCGCAGGGCGTGGATCCCGGTCTGGCCCGAGCCCTGTGCTCGGGAAGTCCCGCAGAACGCCGGCAGCTGCTGCCTCGCGCCCGGGAGCAGGAGGAGCTGCTGGCGCCCGCAGATGGTGAGCGTCGGGGGAGTCCCCGTCCTTCCGCCTCCGCCATCCCCTTCCCTTCCCGAGGCCCCGCCCCTTCCCGAGCCCGCGCCTCTCAGCCCCTCTCCCCGCAGGCACCGTGGAGCTGGTCCGGGCGCTGCCGCTGGCGCTGGTGCTGCACGAGCTCGGGGCCGGGCGCAGCCGCGCTGGGGAGCCGCTCCGCCTGGGGGTGGGCGCAGAGCTGCTGGTCGACGTGGGTCAGAGGCTGCGCCGTGGTGAGCGCCGCCCCCGCCCTGCTGGCCCCGCACCCCCGCCCAGCTCCGGCCGCGCGGCCTCTAACAGCCCCTCGCTCTGCAGGGACCCCCTGGCTCCGCGTGCACCGGGACGGCCCCGCGCTCAGCGGCCCGCAGAGCCGCGCCCTGCAGGAGGCGCTCGTACTCTCCGACCGCGCGCCATTCGCCGCCCCCTCGCCCTTCGCAGAGCTCGTTCTGCCGCCGCAGCAATAAAGCTCCTTTGCCGCGAAACCTTGTCAGTGCTTGGGCGGGAGCGGAAGGATCCAGGGCTGCGGAGGCGGGGGCCGTCTCGATGAACACGTGACCCCCGGCGGGCTCCGCCTTCCGCGCACGCGCTGAGAGCCTGTCAGCGGCTGCGCCCGTGTGCGCATGCGCAGCTCCGGGGACGCCTGCGCCCTGCCTGTGAGCGTGTGGCGCCCGCTTTCCCTGAGCCGGCGGGGCAGAGCGCAGGGAGCTGGAGGTCGGCGCTTCCTCTCGTGCTTGGTCCACTGACGCGCGGCCCCGCCGCGAGGTGCGGACGCCGGGGCTGGGAGGGGAGGAGGTAGCCCTGAGGACTCGCTGGACTCCGGGGTAGTTTCCCAGCTCCGGCTACTGCGCGGGGCTGGCGGGGCACACCCCAGGGCGCGCTGGAGGCCGGAGCGAGGCTGGGGCGCCCGTGGGAGGCTCCCAGCAGGCACCGGTGTTCTCGCGGCCAAGCACAGTTATAACGCGCTCGCGCGGCGCTTCGAGTGGTCCTGGAACCTTTCTGGCCACGAGGGCGCTGGCCTTGCTGGGGAGGGCACAAACCCAGAACCGCCCGGGCGGGGGTGCAGTGAGTCCTCGGGAGGGTGCCCTCAGCAGGAGGGGGCAGTGACCGGGAGTCCTGAGACCTCCACCTAGCAAACCTTCTGCGGGGGCCCGTGGGAAAGGCTCAAAGGTCACCAACGCAAAGGCAGGGCGTCGGCTGTGAGCCCGGAGGAGCTGCTGGGAAGCCTGGATGTGAGGAGGGTGGGGTTTTGTGGCGGGTGGAAGTGTCGTGCGTCTCTGCCAGGAGAGGTTAAACACAGCCGGCGGGCAGAGTCTGAGCTCCGGGGGTAGGTCGTGCAGGTTTTCTGCTGGGAGTGTGGAGGAAGGCCGCGGTTGGTTGAAGTGGCTGGAGGTAACAGGAAAGTGTTGGAGGAATCGGTTGCTCTCGGGGATTGCAAGCCAGAGAGTTACCCACCTCCTTTTAAGAAATGGGTTTATTGCAAATAGATAACGTGGTTAGTTCAGGCAAGGCATGCACTTGGAATGCTTTCCGTCAGCAAGAGGTTCACCTTGCTGAGGTGCAGGTGCAGGGCAGGGTGCGGTGACAGGCTGGTGATCCCAGGTAGAGGACAGGAGTGACAGGTGTGGTTGCCCAGGTGTGGATGTTTGGTGGAGGTGGAGTTCTGAGCTCAGGTGAGCAGCTGCAAATGCCTGTTAAGCCTGAACGTGGGCTGGGTCCTTCAGATGGGTGGCTGGTCTCAAGTCGCAGGGGCAGCCCAGGCACTGTCCTGGGCCTTCCCTTCTGGCTCCTGACGCCTGTGCTTGTTTCCAGGAGCATCAGATCCATGCTGCTGCTGACTCGGAGCCCCACAGCTTGGCACAGGCTCTCTCAGCTCAAGCCTCGGGTCCTCCCTGGGACCCTGGGAGGCCAGGCCCTGCATCTGAGGTCCTGGCTTTTGTCAAGGCAGGGCCCTGCAGAGACAGGTGGGCAGGGCCAGCCCCAGGGCCCTGGGCTTCGAACCCGGCTGCTGATCACAGGCCTGTTCGGGGCTGGACTCGGTGGGGCCTGGCTGGCCCTGAGGGCTGAGAAGGAGAGGCTGCAGCAGCAAAAGCGAACAGAAGCCCTGCGCCAGGCAGCTGTGGGCCAGGGCGACTTCCACCTGCTGGATCACAGAGGCCGGGCTCGCTGCAAGGCTGACTTCCGGGGCCAGTGGGTGCTGATGTACTTTGGCTTCACTCACTGCCCTGACATCTGCCCAGACGAGCTGGAGAAGCTGGTGCAGGTGGTGCGGCAGCTGGAAGCAGAGCCTGGTTTGCCTCCAGTGCAGCCTGTCTTCATCACTGTGGACCCCGAGCGGGACGACGTTGAAGCCATGGCCCGCTACGTCCAGGACTTCCACCCAAGACTGTTGGGTCTGACCGGCTCCACCAAACAGGTTGCCCAGGCTAGTCACAGTTACCGCGTGTACTACAATGCAGGCCCCAAGGATGAGGACCAGGACTACATCGTGGACCACTCCATTGCCATCTACCTGCTCAACCCTGACGGCCTCTTCACGGATTACTACGGCCGGAGCAGATCGGCTGAGCAGATCTCAGACAGTGTGCGGCGGCACATGGCGGCTTTCCGCAGTGTCCTGTCTTGAGCCACTGCAGTCTGGGCCCCATCATTAAACGGGCTGCGTTTAATCTGTGTGTGTGTGTGATCTGTACCAGCGGCCCAGGGAGGCCAGGCAGCCCTCTTCTCTGCGCAGGTGTACATAAAAGGGTTTTTAGGGGGAAGATGAGATGGCAACACTGCTTTATTAGGCCGGGCCAGCCAGGAGCAGACACACGGCTCCTCAGTACACATTCCCCCACCCCTGCCTCGGTGCTCCCCACTCAGGGCTGGGCCATGGAGGGGGCAGCGTAGGTCTGGAAGCGCTTGTGCGCTCGCTGGTGCGTGAGCAGTCTCAGGGACATGGTGTCCACGGCCATCTCCAGCCCGGGCTGCTGGGTTATCTCCACTGTGTAGTCATTGGCCTGCAGGGGTGGCACATCAGCAGGGTCTGGGGACCGTCTCCCCCTCCCACGTATCCCAGGCTACTCACCAGCTGCAGGGAGGCCAGCATGGAACGACACACCTCGAAGGCCGGCTGGCCAGCCACCAGCTCCGCAAAGGGACACCACTCATTGAGCTGGGGGAACCGTGAGACCAGCTGGTCCCCATAGGTGTGGATGTCAAAGGGCACATGCTGCTCCTGCACAGGGGAGGGGCATGTTGGCTGCGGAGAGAGGCAAGGCCCTGGACAGACCCGTGGCACACAGCTCTGGTTCCCAGCGGCCCCGCCTCACCTGCTCCTGGAGCAGAGGCTGCACTGTGTCCTCCCAGTCCCTGATGCGCTGGCTCAGCTCTGTCTCCTGGACAAACTTCTGGGAGGTGGCGATGAAGAGCTCCTAGGGGAGGATCAGCAGGAGCTACTGCCTCCCAAGCAGGGGCCTGGGCACCGCTCACCTGTCCCCCTCCCCTCCCCGTCTCCCTCTAACCCAGGCCTACCACATTCCTTCGAACCAGCTCCTCGTAGCTCAGGGACATCGGCACTGCGTCTGGGAAGGGGTAGCTGTGAGCTGGGCAGCTAAGGGGCCACGCTCTCCCCTGCCCCCAGCTCCAGTGGCCCCTCAGCACTCCTAGCCCGCTGCCCACCTACCAAGGTCAGCGGCTTCCCTGGGGTCTGCTCCCTCGGGCTCCATGTACTCCTCAGGCTCTAGAAAGTCATCTGCTGGGAGGTGGGAGAGTGAACAGCACGCAGGCAGCTAGTCGGCAGGTGCCAAGCCCCACCCCACCCCCTGGCAGGCACCCACCTGCTGCCCCCAGGTCTTCCAGGGAATCCTCCAGGTGGTCCTCCTCTGCAGGCCGCAGCCACTGCTCAGCCACCTGTCCAGAGAAAGCATCTGTGAGGGGCACTGTCACCTCCCATCAGGGCCACCACGGGGTCCTAGATCACAGCTGACCAGCTGGGACTTGCCTCCCTCCTCTGCAGCTTCCGGAGAGTTTCCAACTGCTCCTTCACGTGTGTCCAGTACAGGACCTCCATGTCTGCAGACAAAGGCCTTGTGAGGGCTCCCTCGTCCTTCCCAGGCCCCGTGCCAGTCCACCCAAGGCTTTGGGTGACACCAGGTGGGGGAAGAGGTAGGGGAAGGAGAGTAAAACTGTCTTCCCCGAGGACTTCAGCCTCACCTGCAAAGGACGGACCCTTTCGCCGAAGCCGCCTGCTGTCGGCATGGTCTGCATCTGTGAAAGAACATGCTCAGCACCAGCCAGGCCAAGAGCTGCCCACAGCATTGGGAAAAGGGTGCTGATCCTCCTCCACTGGCCCTGGCCCAGCCCCCAGCTCCCAGTGGTCCGGAGTGCACACCACACCCACTCACAGGCAGCCAGGTACCACTGGTGGAAGTCCTGCAGCTTGGCAGCGCCCTTCCTCTTGCGCTTCTGTCCCAGAGCCTCCTCCACACAGGGGGGCACAGAGTAAGGCCTACCTGGGGGCAAACAGGGACTGTCTTAGAGCCGCTGGGGGATCAGGGTGCAAAGCCCACTCCCACCCCCCCACCTCATGCCCCAGGAAACCCAGCCAGGGGTACCTGAGTGGAGGTACCTTCCACCCAATTACCTTTCTTGAAGGGCTTAGACTCCAAGGAGTCAAAGGGGTCCAGGCTCTGCCAGGGGTCTGGAGTCTCCTGGGCACAGAGCACAAGAAGGCGCTGGAGAAGTAGGGGGTGCACAGCCGTCCCTCCCAAAGGAGTAGGGGATGCACAGCCACCCTCCCAAAGGAAGAGTAGGGGGTACACAGCCGCGCTCCCAAAGGAGGAGTAGGGGGTGCACAGCCACCCTCCCAAAGGAGGAGTAGGGGGTTCACAGCCACCCTCCCAAAGGAGTAGGGGGTACACAGCCACCCTCCCAGAGGAGTAGGGGGTGCACAGCCGCCTTCCCAAAGCCCAGGCAACAAGTGCAGTGACAGCCTGGGGCAGAGCCGACCACACTCAAATCCTGGATCACAGAGGGGAACACTAGAGAGAGGGTGGGAGCCCAGAGTCGCATGAGGGGGTCTTTAAGAGAGCAAGTGCAAAGGGCCACAGGCTGGGAACACCACAGGCCAGCAGGAGCAAGAGCATGATGGGCAGGCAGCCAGTCCTCGAATCCGCCCATCCCTCCCTGCCGGGGGTCAGGGCCCCAACACTCCTACCTTCACGCAGGATGCAGGCTCTGGGGCCCCCTCCCGCTCCCGCAGCATGTACCTCCTGGGCAGGGCAGCACTCTGCAAAGACAGTCACAGGGTCCCCACTTCTCCTCTTTCTCCCCTCAAGGCTCTGGGTACCCCAGGAACTCCACCTTGGGTTAACATCAAGAACCCTACAAGGGTCGGGCGTGGTGGCTCATGCCTGTAATCCCAGCACTTTGGGAGGCCAAGGCGGGCAGATCACCCGAGGTCAAGAGTTTGAGACCAGCCTGGCCAACATGGTGAAACCCCCGCCTCTACTAAAAATGCAAAAAAAATTAGCCGGGTGTGGTGGCGCACACCTGTAATCCCACCTACTCGGGAGGCCGAGGCAGGAGAATCGCTTGAACCCAGGAGGCAGAGGTTGCAGTGAGCCGATATCACACCACTGCACTCCAGCCTGGGCAAAAGAACAAGACTCCGTCCAAAAAAAAAAAAAAAACCTACAGGGACCGGACACAGTGGCTCACGCCTATAATCCCAGTGCTTTGAGAGGCCAAGGCGGGTAGATCACTTGAGCCCAGGAGTTCAAGACCAGCCTGGGCAATGCAGTGAGACCCCGTCTCTACAAAAAATACAAAAATTAGCCGGGTGTGGTGGTACACGCCTGTAGTCCCAGCTACTCGGGAGGCTGAGGTGGAAGGATCACCTGAGCCTAGAGAGAGTCAAGGCTGCAATGAGCCAAGATCAGGCCACTGCACTCTAGCCTGGGCAACAGAGCAAGACCCTGTCTCAAAAATAAATAAATAAAATAAGATAAAAATAAACCCTGCTAGTACTCTCTGGGGGTATTAAAACAAAAACCCTAAGAAAAACTTTAAAACACAAACAGTGGGCCGGGCGTGGTGGCTCACGCCTGTAATCCCAGTGCTTTGGGAGGCCAAGACGGGCAGATCACGAAGTCAGGAGATTGAGACCATCCTGGCCAACATGGTGAAACCCCGTCTCTACTAAAAATACAAAAAATTAGCCAGGCATGGTGGCGGGCGCCTGTAGTCCCAGCTACTTGGGAGGCTGAGGGAGGAGAATGGCGTGAACCCGGGAGGCGGAGCTTGCAGTGAGCCAAGATCGCACCACTGCACTCCAGCCTGGGGGACAGAGCAAAACTCCATCTCAAAAAACAAACAGAAAACACAAACAGTGGTCACGGGGTACTCTTCTTCAAAACTAGGAAAAATGAATAGAATATGACAAATATCCATGCCATCTACCAACTAGAGTGAAGAAACGTTAACATTTCCTCTGTATGCATCAGGTTGATTTTGTTTTAATGAATAAAAAGGAAGGATTTCTTGGCTCTAGGCTGGGTACAGTTGACCCCGGGGGTTGAGGGAGGCAGCAATGGCCTCCAGACACTCCCTCCTACCAGCCCGACTGCAGAGAGGCGCCTTGGCAACCGGCGGCCATCCCAGGTTGCCGTGAGCTCGACAGGGCTCAAATCCTTGGACGCCAGCCCACTACTCTGAGGAGCATCAGTTCTGCTCAGAGAGGGGAGGAACACAGAAGCTGCTCTTCAAAAGGGCTGGTTGCAGGACGGGCTGCAAGACAGGTGGGCTTCTGCCCCAGACCAGTGGTCTGGGGCCAAGGCCATACCACTGTCCTCCTTGTGCAAGGTGACTCGGCCCCAGAGCCAGGGTTGCCAGTTCACAGCTCAGGTTCTGCAGGCCTCCATGTGGGTCCCACCTGCTGCGGGCTCCTGGACTCCTTGGGCTCCAGAGCGGCCTTGGGGGCCGAGGCCTCAGGAAGCTCTACTGCCTCCTCTGCATCCTCGTCCTCGCCCCCACCCAGGGGCATCGGGCCTTCTGGAGAGGGGCCTAGGCAGGGAGCAAGAGAGTGATCAGCTCCAAGGAGTGCCGAGACCAGACGGCACCAAAGGGACCCTGATGGCTACTTCCTCCCTCAGCTTTAGTCACGGAGCCCAGAGGATTTGGCGGGTGCCTTGCACCATCCTCGTCGTGCTCCTGTGCTCTGTGCTCTGCTTGGTTCATTTTATTTCTTAGCAAATGTTCCTCTTTAAATGCAGCCATCCACATCTGCCCAGAGAGGAGACCCAGGAGGGCAGTCAGAGGGCAGTCAGTGAACCAAGATGGGCTGAGGCTCACCGGGGGCTGTGGCTGCTTCCCCGGGGCGAGGCCTCACTCCCATGGGCCACAGAAGGGGCATGAGGCTGGCAGCTGAGAGCAGCCCCTTGGAGCCCTGTCCACTGGGTGCTGCCTCCCTGGTCCCCTCTTTGGCTGCCCTGCCAGTCCCACCGGGGAGCTCTCTTCTCACCTGGCTCCTGGGAGAAGCCGAGTGCTGGGACAGGGCTCCTGCACACGGAAACTTCCATTGGCTGCTCCTCAGTCCTCCCGGTGTCTGGGAGAGACAGGGATCAGACAAGGTCAGCCCAGCCCCTCTCCAAGATGGTCCCTGCCCGGTGTTCAACAAGCCTCTCCAAGGGGCCAGCAGGAGGGCAGAGACCAGCAGACTCCAGGCCTTGGGCTGGGGGGAGACAGCAGGGCCCTGAGCCAGGCACCAGGTCTCTGGCACTGAGACCATGTTAACTTGTAATCAAGGCACAGCAGATGGGTGGGATGAGCACCAGCCAACCTGTCTAGACTAGAGCAGGCACCCAGAGACAGGGAGCTCCCAAGACCAGAGGTGGCAAGCACAGGGCACCCCACAAGAGTCCAACCAGAAGACCCTCCCTTCCTTCCCACCAAGCCCCCCGCATCCAAGCCCTCACCCTTCTGGGTCCCTGGCATGGGGGAAACGCCCGCTGGTTCCATGGGGGACATGCCCTCTGGCTCCAACATGAAGGCCCCTCTGGGGTGGGGAACGCACGTGTTCATCCTGAAATCCTTCCGGCTGGCCAGGACCTCACCCTGACGGCTGTGCTGGCAAAAACACGCCTGCTGTAGAGACCCTTCCCAGGCAGGCCTCCCTCCCCGTCGCTGGGCTCAGATCCCTACCTGTACAGGGGATTGTTGTTCTTCTCCATTTCATCAGGGGCCACCAGGGCCATGGGCAGGAGGGGGATGATGAGGACCTCCTGCATGGAGGCCAAGGGTGGGTGAGCCAGGCACCCTTCCACTCCAGTGGAGAACAGGACCCACATGGGGCAATGACACCTTCCCACACCCCATCAGCTCAACACAGCCCCAGGGAAAGTGCTGACCTCACCCCAGCCTAAGAGGGGCCAGGCCAGGACTCACACTGGGCGTCTGATCATTCTTGAGATCCACGTTAGTCCGGGAGTCAGGGAAGTCATCCAGCGACAGGAACTGGAGGGAGACAGAGCTCGTGGGGGCGGAGCCCAGGCAAACACACAGTGGGCGGGGACCACATGCCAAAGAAACTCACCTCATTCTCTGCCTCCTGGGGGACCCCGGAGCTGGCAACCCCATTGGCCCTGTCCTCCTGCACCGAAGAGAGCTGCTTGGCCCGCCTGAGAGAGAAGCACATCCCGTGGGCATCCCAGGAGCTGCAGGGGCCTCCCTGGCCACATGCAGGGCAGCACAGTGAGTGGCTGCAGAACTCACCTCTTTCCAGAGATGAAATCAAGGGCCTGGTAGACGAGTGAGTAGAGGTATTCCACCTGGTGACCAGATGCAGGCAGTGAGGACCCAGAAAGGAGGGGCCCACCCCCAAGGCCTTCCCAGCTATCCATCGGTGCCCCCACGAGGCCTGGCCACCACCACCAAACCTCCAGTACAAGAAACCACCAATTTTGGTTCCAAAAATAATTCTCAAATCAAACCAGGAATCTCATGAGAATTACTTTACCAGCTGAGGCCACCCACATCTCTCCTCTGCCCTCTATGGTCCACGCAGCCGCGAGCGTGGCCTTCTCAACGTGTGACCCTGACAGCACTGTGGTTCCCACAGTGTGCCTCATCACACGGTCCTTGGTGGTGAGGCCCCTCGTGCTTGGCACCCACTCTGCCGACGGCCTGCAGCCCTGCTGCTCCTCCGCCCGTGTGCTCCCGCCAGCATCACCCCAGCCCCTCCTCCTGTCCTGGCCCTGCCCTGTCCCAGCTCCTGCCGCCACGGGGCCTGCAGGACAGAGCCCGTCACTCACTTCCTGTCCTTCTCCTCCACAGAACAGAGGCCCCACCGTGAGGGTGGTGGTTGTGGACTTTCTAGGTGCTGACAATGAGGCACCCACAAGTAGGGGACGGGGAAGGGGAAGGTGGGTGCAGGTGGCACCCTGGGCTGTGTCCAAGTGCACACAGCAGGTGTCATTCCCCCAAGACAACAGAGCCCAACAGCACAAAAGACCCTCCCTGCCTGGCTGTGCGATTTTAAATTAAAAATTGTTCTTGGTGTTGGAAGGTGCTGAGGAATTGGCTGAGACCTGAGGAGAGAGGGAGGTAGGTCACAGACGGGACGACCACTGCACCTGCCCCAGAAGGAGAGCCGACTGTGGTCCCACTGGCCACCAAAATGCCAAGACCAGCGTCAAGCAGGGCCCACCTTCTTACTGTAGACGCAGGCAGAGCCCTGGATCAACAACGCTGCCTCAATGAAGTTCATTGTGGTCTTGCCTTCGTCAAAAGAAATGCAGATCTGATCCAGCTGCAAGAAACAACACAAAGACAGGGGGAATCCAAGGCCCAGTCTGCACTCGCTTCTTCCAGGGCAGCCCCACCCATCTTTGGTCTCTGCCCAGCACCTCCCGAGACGGGCAGCTCTAGCTATGCTGTGGGCTCACCGGTTGTCCCTGGTATTTCGGGGCAGAGACAGGTCTCTGTGTTTCCCCCTACTTCCTATAACAAAAACCTGTTTTGGAAGTGGAAGGCCCCCAGGGCACACTGTCTACAAACAACCAGGGCAGCACAGCGGCTCCCTCCACAAGGCGCCAGAGGCTGACAGACTCCAGCAGGAAGATCCCCGACACAGAGAAGAAAAGGGAACCTCAGGGGTAGGAAAGGCAGAGATAAAATGCTGAGGTCTCCATCCTCTGAGCAGAGAACTCAGGAAACAGTTACAGGTGAGTCGCCATCCTTCCTCTGCTCCCCTCAGCCTCCCGGAGCCCCAGCTCCTCTGTCACCCCTTAAACGTCAGTGCGCCAGGCGCTCCACCCCCCGCCATGCACATTCCTTCATCCCATGCCCAAGCTGCCAACCATAAGCCAATGAGCCCCAAACCCAACCCGACCAGCTCTCTCTCCTTAGCTCTGGGGCTGCATTCATAGCTGTCCACAGAGTACATTCAAATGTCCCCAAACACTTTACTTCCATACTTTACCCAACATCTTCCCCAACGCTGGCTCATCTCCTGTATTCCTTCTCAGCAAATGACACTTTAAAAAAAAAAAAAAAAAAAAGGCCGGGTGCGGTGGCTCACACCTGTAATCCCAGCACTTTGGGAGGCCGAGGCGGGCAGATCATGAGGTCAGGAGATCGAGACCATCCTGGCTAACACGGTGAAACCTCGTCTCTACTAAAAATACAAAAAATTAGCTGGGCGTGGTGGCGGGCGCCTGTAGTCCCAGCTACTCGGGAGGCTGAGGCAGGAGAATGGCATGAACCTGGGAGGCGGAGCTTGCAGTGAGCCGAGATCGCGCCACTGCACTCCAGCCTGGGCGACAGAGCGAGACTCCGTCTCAAAAAAAAAATGTTTTTGTAGAGACAGGGTTTCTCTATGTTGCCCAGGTTGGTCTCAAACTCCTGGCCTCCAGTGATCCTCCTGCCTCAGCCTCCCAAAGCACTGGGATCACAGGCATGCACCACCGTGCCCAGCCACAAACGACACTTTGAAGCCCCTAGGTGTCTTTCCAGCTCTTCAATTTTGCATTTCCATCTGCCTGGAACACCGACCCCCAGCTGTCCCCACGCAAACTCTTTTTCAGAGCCCCTCCATTCCTGGGGCCTCTGTGCCGCTCCCTTAGTGTGATCGTGTCCCTTAGTGAACTGTGTGAGCAGCATTAGTGTAATTCCAGCCTTCTGTTCAGTGCCTGACACTGGTGTCCAGTAAATATTTGATGAACACATGCATAGATAATGTCAAAGCTAAGCCTGAAAAACGCAGAGGCTCACCAGACAGATGAAGGGAACGTGAAGGCAGCTAGCAGAGACTGGACACGTCTCTTCAGGAAAATGAGCATGATCTAAACATGGCCAAAGCATGGCGCGTGCTGGGGAGAGGCAAGATTTTAGGCACCATGGTAGCACGAAGGAGTGGCAGAGGCTGGGAAGCCATCCCCAAGGGGAGTCACTTCCATTAGCTCTTGAAGGATAAAGGGTGTTTGTCAGATCTGGGAGGAAGGGAGAGGAAACAGCAGCATGGTCGTCTACGGAGTGTAAGGACCTCGGGGGTGTTCAGGACCTGAAGAGCTGGTCCAGAAAGAAGGGAACATGGAGGAGATGGCGGCCTGGAAGCTGAGCTGCAGAAGTGGCCCTTCTCTCCAGTGACCCTCAGCCTGGCTGGCTTGCCCACTCCCAAGACACTACTGGGCTTCACTTGTCTTCTCACCTCCCCAGGTTGGACCTGCCATCTGAGCCCAAACCCACATGTTCAGCTGCCTTCTTCAAACATCGCTTGGATGGCTTCACCAAGATTCATACTGAATGCATCCACACTGAACTCCAAATAGCCCCCAACCCACCTGCCCAGAAACCCAGGGGTTCCTCTCCACAGTCACCCCCATTCTGGCCCCACCACCTCCCCTTTCACCTCTGCACTGACAGGGCTCCTCCTGCCCTTCACTCCCCTCCCGTCCACTCTCCACGCTCTGCTCAGTGCCTCTGTTTAGGATTTTGGGTTTTTCCTAACAGTGGCAGGAAAAACCCAAAATCCTAAACGGAGCCAGAGGGAGGCCTCCATGCTGGCCAGCCTCCCTCTCCAGCTGCCTGCCCTCCTCTGCTCTATGGTCCCAACTTGGAACCTTCTGTTTTGTTTTGTTTTGTTTTGTTTGAGACGGAGTCTCACTCTGTCACCCAAGCTGGAATGCAGGGGCGCAATCTCAGCTCACTGCAACCTCCGCCTCCTGGGTTCAAGTAATTCTCCCTGCCTAAGCTTCCTGAGTAGCTGGGATTATAGGCGCCCGGCTAATTTTTGTAAAAACTCCAATCCTTCCAACACCAGGTTTCCTCCACCTGGAGCTAAACATTCTTTAGCTCACCATAAATAAGTAACTGCTTTCATCTCAAACAAACTAAGCCCCCCAAACTCTCCACAGGACCATACATTTTCTTTCAAATCCCTTATAAGTTTCTGGTGATTTTTTCGGTTGGTTGGTTGGTTTTGGTTTTTGTTTTTGAGACAGTCTCTCGCTCTGTTGTCCAGGCTGGAGTGCAGTGGCACAATCTCGGCTCACTGCAACCCCTGCCTCCCAGGTTCAAGTGATTTTCCTGCCTCAGCCTCCCAAGTAACTGGGACTACAGGCATGCACCACCATACCTGGCTAATTTTTTTTGTACTTTTAGCAGAGACAGGTTTTCACCATGCTGGTCAGACTCATCTCGAACTCCTGACCTCAAATGATCCTCCTGCCTCGGCCTCCCAAAGTGCTAGCATTACAGGCGTAAGCCACCTCGGCCTCCCTAAGTGCTGGGATCACAGGCGTGAGCCACCTCGGCCTCCCTAAGTGCTGGGATCACAGGCGTGAGCCACCTCGGCCCCCCAAAGTGCTGGGATCACAGGCGTGAGCCACCTCGGCTCCCCAAAGTGCTGGGATCACAGGCGTGAGCCACCTTGGCCCCCCAAACTGCTGGGATCACAGGCGTGAGCCACCTTGGCCCCCCAAAGTGCTGGGATCACAGGCGTTAGCCACCTCGCCTGGCCATCAGTTTCTGACTACACAAAGTCACACGCAGGGGTGGAGGCTGGATTCTGATCTGCCAGGAACCACTATCATTCAGAGTACATCTCTAACGCCTCTACTAACAAGGTTTTTGTGAGGACTCTGCATTCATATGTGTAAAGCACATAAAACAGGTGCTTAACACAAGTAAACACCAAATGCATATTTATTACACCCCCATGCGGTTACTCTCTTGGACCCGTCTTCCCATGACAGAGGAAGTCCTACCATAGTGGGGATTATCATTTGCTTTGCTTGGCACTATTTTTTCAAAGTTTAACATGGTTCTTGGCACACAATTCACAACTAACAACAATGAATAAATAAATGGATAAAAGAGAGTAGGATCATGACAGTACTAGAAGAACATTCTGGCCAGTGCAATGGCTCACACCTATAATCCCAGCACTCTGGGAGGCCAAGGCAGGTGGATCACTTGAGCTTGGGAGTTTGAGAACAGCCTGGGCAACACAGTGACACCCCATCTCTACCAAAAATACAAAAAATTAGCCAGGTGCGGTGGCACATGCCTGCAGTCCCAGCTACTTGGGAGATGGGAGGATCACTTGAGCCTGGGAGATCGAGGCTGCAGTGAGCCATGATTGCACCACTGCACTCTAGCCTGGGCAACAGGGCAAGAACCTATCTAAAAAAAAAAAACAAAAAAAAAAAAACAAAGGACAAAAAAAAGAAAAAGAACATCATGGTAGTGTGTGGAAAATGACAGAAGGAAAAAGATAATACTAGAAACCAGGAAATCAGGACTTCAAGCTGCAGAGGTTTGGAAGAGCAGACATAAGAAAGCAGGAAGGGAGCTGACCAAGCCAGGAAGGAGATTTACCAAGTGAACAGGTGTCCTCATGGACCCTGCTTGATGTGAAAACCTGAATCCACAGGAGCTCTGCCCAGCACAGTTCCCCGTATTTTCTCAGCCAACTATGCATGAGAGCAGAGAAGTTTGGTCATCAGATCACATGTGCATTTAACAAACACTTTAACGTCCACACCTATGTGCCAGGCACTCTACTAAGCAGACAAAAGAGGGCATAAGTATGGTCCCTGCCCTGGCAGAATTCACATTCTAGGGTGGAGACAGGCCACAAACAGGTAAATGAGTTGAAGAATGGCTTGTGGCCAGTCGCAGTGGCTCACACCTGCAATCCCAGCACTTTCAAAGGATGAGGTGGGCGGATCACGAGGTCAAGAGTTCAAGACCAGCCTGGCCAACATGGTGAAACCCCATCTCTACTAAAAATACAAAAATTAGCTGGGGCCAGGCACGGTGGCTCACACCTGTAATCCCAGCATTTTGGGAGGCCGAGGCGGGTGGATCACGAGGTCAGGAGACCAAGACCATCCTGGCTAACATGGTGAAACCCTGTCTCTACTGAAAAATACAAAAAAATTAGCCAGGCGTGGTGGCGGGCGCCTGTAATCCCAGCTACTGAGGAGGCTGAAGTAGGAGAATGGCGCGAACCCAGGAGATGGAGCTTGCAGTGAGCCGAGATTGTGCCACTGCACTCCAACTTGGGCCACAGGGCAAGACTCTGTCTCAAGAAAAAAAAAAAAATTAGCCAGGCGTGGTGGCAGGCGCCTGTAATCCCGGCTACTCAAGAGGCTGAGGCAGGATCGGACGCGGTGGCTCAGGCCTGTAATCCCAGCACTTTGGGAGGCCGAGGCGGGTGGATCATGAGGTCAGGAGATCGAGACCATCCTGGCTAACACGGTGAAACCCCGTCTCTACTAAAAAAATACAAAAAATTAGCCGGGCGTGGTGGCGGGTGCCAGTAGTCCCAGCTACTCGGGAGGCTGAGGCAGGAGAATGGTGTGAACCCAGGAGGTGGAGCTTGCAGTGAGCCGAGATTGCACCACTGCACTCCAGCCTGGGCGACAGAGTGAGACTCCGTCTCAAAAAAAAAAAAAAAAAAAAAAGAGGCTGAGGCAGGAGAACTGCTTGAACCCAGAAGGTGGAGGCTGCAGCAAGCTGAGATTGCACCACTGCACTCCAGCCTGGGTGACAGAGTGAGACTCCATCTCAAAAAAAAAACATATAAATAAATAAAATTTTTTTTGGCTGGGCGCGGTGGCTCATGCCTGTAATCCCAGCACTTTGGGACACCGACACGGGCGGATCACCAGGTCAGGAGATCGAGACCATCCTGGCTAACACGGTAAAACCCCGTCTCTACTAAAAATACAAAACATTAGCCGGGTGTGGTGGCAGGTGCCTGTAGTCCCAGCTACTCGGGAAGCTGAGGCAGGAAAATGGCGTGAACCCAGAAGGCAGAGCTTGCAGTGAGCTGAGATCATGCCACTGCACTCCAGCCTGGGCGACAGAGTAAGACTCCATCTCAAAAAAAAAAAAAATTTAAATGGTTTATGATAAACATTCTAAAGTGTGTAAGGTGCTGAGATGGAGAGGACTATTTTAGATAGGGTGGTCAGCTGACATTTACACTAAGACCTTAAGAATGAAAAGGACTCAGTCAGCCAGGCGTGGTGGCTCACGTCTGTAATCCCAGCACTTTGGAAAGAGGCAGAGCTGGCTGGATCACCTGAGGTCAGGAGTTTGAGACCAGCCTGGCCAATGTGGCGAAACCCATCTCTACTAAAAATACAAAAATTAACTGGACGTGGTGGTGCATGCCTGTAATCCCAGCTACTCGGGAGGCCAAGGCAGGAGAATTGCTTGAACCTGGGAGTCGGAGGTTGCAGTGAGCCAAGATTCTGCCATTGTACTCCAGCCCGGGCAACAGAGCAAGACTCCATCTCAAAAAAAGAAAAGAAAACAAACTCAGTCATTGAAAGAATATTCCCAGCCAGGTGTGGTGGTGCACAGCTATAGTCCCAGCTACCTGAGAAGCTGAGGCAGGAGGACTGCTTGAGCACAGCAGTTTGAGACCAGCCTGGGCAACACAGTAAGATCCTCCTCTCTGATTTTTTTTTTCTCCTTTTCCTTGCCATATGAAGTCCCTCTTTATTTAAAAACAAAAAAGAGGCCGGGCGCGGTGGCTCACGCCTGTAATCCCAGCACTTTGGGAGGCCAAGGCAGGCGGATCACGAGGTCAGGAGATCGAGACCATCCTGGCTAACACGGTGAAACCCTGTCTCTACTAAAATACAAAAAAATTAGTTGGGCGTGGAGGCGGGCGCCTGTAGTCCCAGCTACTGCAGAGGCTGAGGCAGAATGATGTGAACCCAGGAGGCGGAGCTTGCAGTGAGCTCAGATCGCGCCACTGCACTTCCGTCTCAGAGTGAGACTCCGTCTCAAAATATATAAATAAATAAATAAAAACAAAAAAGAAGATTCCCAAGTGGGGGCAGAAAGCATGAAGATCTTCCACCAAGAAAAAGCTTGGAGGGGCCATAGGTTGACTGGTTCAAAAGAACAAGATACAAAACAGCCCAAAATGAGGCTAAAATGGAGAGCAGAGCCAGGTTCAGAGAAGGAAATTTGGGTTTTATTCTGGGCATAATGGAAAGCCACTGAGGGGTTGATTTTAGGCAGAAAACAGTGCTGTGGCCAGATTTTAATTTTTAAGAGTCACACTTGCTGCTGGTTGGAGCACGAATTGGACGGGACAAAAACAGGGATAAGGGAACCCAAATAGGAAGGTTTTACACAAATCCAGGCCAGAGACAATGGTGGCCTAGACCAAATAAAATGGACAACAGATGAATTCAAGTGATATTCCGGTGGTATAACTGATGGAATTCATGGATGAACTGAGTGTTAAGCATGGGGCTTCACTATAGCCACATTTAGCTTTTGCTTTTGGTTGAACAGCGGTGTCATTTTCCGAGATGGGAAAAGCTGGGGTTTAAGCAGAAAAATGAAGAGTTCCACTTTAAATATGTTAAATGAGATGTTTGCGTGACACCCACTAGATGTCAAGAGAGCAGCTGGATATGTAAAGTAGATTTGGAGGAAAGATCTAGGATGGAGCTGCAGATCTGGTAGTTGTCCTAATACAGGCAATATTTAAAATCATAGAAATAAATGACACTTCAGGGTAAATGCATCAGAAGATGACCTAGGCCCCATCCTGAGGAACTCAACACTTAGAGACTGGATAGAAAAGAAAAATCAGGCAATGAAATAGGGAAAAAAAATCCTACCACCATGTTTCAAAAAGAAAGGAGTGGCCAGTCCAACAAATGCTGACTTATGTCCCTTGGATTTGGTAGAATGGAGATCACTGCTGATCAAGACAAGAAACATTTAAGTGTCGTGGACGCCAGACTGAGCTGGGCTGAGGAGTAAAAATGAAGCGCAAATATGGAGCAGACAGCTTAACACAGGTCTAGACAGGGCTGTCAAACATGGAAGAAACACTAATCGCTAACAGGATAGAGCATGGCAATAGCTTGAAATTGGTTTGAAAATCCAAGATAAAAAATTCCTCTGACATCGTGATCCAGACCTCTCAAACACACAAGCATGCTCGCAATAACTGCAATAAAAGCAATAATGCTTTCTAGTCTATTCCACTACGTTAGAGAAACGGCTGGTCACCACCCACTCAATCATTCACGGCTCGCTGACGGGTAGAAACCTGCAATGACAGGTCCACGCTAATCCAACAAGGGATGATTTGGGGAGGCAGAGATGGAGTTTGAAAAGAAGCAGGGAGCCCGAGGACCTGCGCGGCCAGAGCGCCAGATAGCCATAGGCGTGGAGACGGTGGGGCGCCCACAGCCCCGGGCCCGGAGCCCCCGCCCCGCAGCCCCACCCGCCGGCCCACCCCGCGTCACTCCCCCGCCGCCCTTACCTCCTCCAGATACTCGCCCAGCTGGGCCGCCACGTCCACCTCCCAGTTCTTGGTGAGGTCGCGGATGGGCTGCAAGAGGTGGGCGAAGCGCGCCTCCACGTCCTCCATGTCCGGGAGGGAACGGGCGGCAAAGGGACCGCAGGGCTGCCTTCCGAGGGGTACGGCGTCCTCAGCCCGCCACTAGTTCTGGCGCCATTTTGCTGTTCCCGCCCAGGAAAATGCGTAGGCGCGGCGTCGCGCGCATGTCTATGACGTAACGTGGGCAAAAGCCAGAGAGGCGAACCCCGGCGCCGCGCAGCGGGAGCTCACCGGAAGAGTCGCGGGGCGGGGTCGAAGCCTCCGGGAGGGGGGGGTGGGCGGAGCTTTGGGCTGCCACCAGTTTGGACGGGAGGGCTTTTGGGGCCGCCGTGGGTCGGGCGGGGCGGGGTGGGGCGGGGCCTGGAGCTGCCGCGGGCGAGCGGGCCGAGGAGGCGGGGCTTGGGGGCTGCCACGGGTTGGGGGGGCGGGGCGGTGAGGAGGCGGGGCCTGGGGCAGCCGCGGGCGGGCGGACGGGCCGAGGAGGCGGGGCTTGGGGCTGCCACGGGTTGGGCGGGCGGGGCGGTGAGGAGGCGGGGCCTGGGACTGCCGCGGGCGGGCGGGCGGGCCGAGGAGGCGGGGCTTGGGGCTGCCACGGATTGGGCGGGCGGGGCGGTGAGGAGGCGGGGCCTGGGGCTGCCGCGGGCGGGCGGACGCGGAGGGCGGGCCCTGCTCTAGCGGGCCGCGTAGCGGACATGGCGGGCTCCCGGCTCCCGCGGCAGCTCTTCCTCCAGGGCGTGGCGGCCGTCTTCATGTTTGCTTTCGCTTCCCTCTACACGCAAATCCCAGGTGAAGGCACCCAGGGTGGGACACCCCCAGCCTCGGCGCGGGACCCTATGTCCTCTTTTCTCTGTGCCCGGCACTCACGCAGTCCGGGGTTGGGAGTGAGGGCCAGGCCTTGGCGTGGGGTAGGGGGCGGCGGTTCGTGTCCTGCAGGCCGCTGTGGGGGTAGGAAGGTGTGCGGTGATCCATTTCCCGTAAGGCTCTGGACTCTGACCTGGGGTGGGGGACAGAACTCTGAGAGAGGTGGGAGAGAGGCTTCCTCCCAGACCTGGTGGGACAGGTAGGAGATCGGGCTGAGACCTGGAAGAGGGCAGTGGGCTCTGCTGGGTGGGAGGCCCTGACTCAGGTAGTTGAGCAGGCCTCTAGCCCTGGGACGGGGTTTTGACAGGTCCCGACCTGGGGGACGGGCTCTGGAGGGACTGCAGACTCTGACCTAGGGATGGAGGTATCCGCATGCTCTGACCTAGGCTGGGGGATCTGCAGGCCCTGACTCAGAGGTAGTCTAGTCTGCAAGGGCTGTCCAGGGCCTGGCCATGACATGCCCTCCCACAGGCCTGTATGGCCCCGAGGGCATCCTACCTGCAAGGAGGACGCTGCGGCCTCAGGGCAAGGGGCGCTGGCAGCAGCTGTGGGAGACCCCGACGCTGCTGTGGGAAGCGCCGAGACTGGGGCTGGACACGGCCCAGGGCCTGGAGCTGCTGAGCCTGCTGGGTGCACTAGTGGCCCTGGGAGCCCTGCTGCTGAGCCCACTGCGCCACCCTGTCATCTACTTGCTGCTTTGGGCCGCCTACCTGTCAGCCTGCCAGGCAAGTGGGACCTGTGACCAGCTCACTCTATCTCCAACCCCCACCACCCACCCCTGCCTCTACCTTACCTGAGTCCACAGACACACCCGCTCCCTGACAGCCCCTCTCTCCGCAGGTGGGCCAGGTGTTCCTTTATTTCCAGTGGTGAGTGACGGCTGGGCCTGGGGCTGTGGGAGGCTGGGTAGGGGGTGGGGGAGGGCTCTGCCCTTCCTGGGAGGACTTTCCGAGGGAAGCAGCTGTGTGGGGAGGGGCTCTTGGTGCTATTTGCTCTCCCCATAGGGACTCCCTGCTGCTAGAGACTGGCTTCCTGGCCGTGCTGGTGGCCCCGCTGAGGCCAGCCTCCCACCGCAAGGAGGCCCCCCAGGGCAGGCAGGCAGGGGCCCTGCCCCACGAAGACCTCCCCTTCTGGCTGGTGCGATGGCTGCTGTTCCGCCTCATGTTCGCCTCAGGCGTGGTCAAGCTGACCAGCCGCTGCCCTGCGTGGTGGGGGCTCACTGGTGAGGGGCCCGGTCTGGACCTGGGGTAGTCTGGGGGCTCGGCCAGCCCTGACTCCTGCCCTCGCCTGCAGCCCTCACCTACCACTACGAGACCCAGTGCCTGCCCACGCCCGCCGCCTGGTTCGCACACCACCTGCCGGTCTGGCTGCACAAGCTCAGCGTGGTGGCCACCTTCCTAATTGAGATCGCTGTGCCGCCCCTGTTCTTCGCCCCCATTCGACGCCTGCGCTTGGCTGCTTTCTACTCGCAGGTGGGTGAGGGCCGCAGCTGTCAGAGAGAGGCAGACAGGGCTCGGCCTTCAGCGCTGCTCAGCGTGCCCTGTTGGGGACAGCGTGGCTCCCGGGGACAGCTGGCAACCGCTGTTGGGAAGGCCTTGTAGCAGAGGGATGCACCCTGCAGGGTGGAGGTGGGTGCCTGCCACGGGGCCAGGCGTCAGTCTCCGGGAGCACTGAGAGCGGGCCGCCCCCAGGTGCTGCTGCAGGTCCTGATTATCATCACCGGCAACTACAACTTCTTCAACCTGATGACGCTGGTGCTTACCACTGCGCTGCTGGACGACCAGCACCTGGCTGCTGAGCCTGGCCACGGCAGCCGCAAGAAGACGGCCACCTGTGCGTGTCACTTGTCCAGCCCCCTGCCCTCCCAGGGGTTCTCCCCTCCAACACCCCCACAGGACTCCCACTCTAGCTGCACCCCAGCCCCCTGGCTGGGGACCCTCTGCTGACCCATGACTGTCCTGCCCCACAGCCTGGCCCAAGGCCCTGCTGGCCACCCTGTCGCTGCTGCTGGAACTAGCCGTCTACGGGCTTCTGGCCTATGGCACTGTGCACTACTTTGGCCTGGAGGTTGACTGGCAGCAGCGCACCATCCACTCCAGAACCAGTGAGTGCCGACCTGGGGGGGCCAGAGGGCAGGGGCGGACCAGTCCTCACACCCCCCTCCTCCACCAGCTTTCACCTTCCACCAGTTTTCTCAGTGGCTGAAGACACTGACGCTGCCCACTGTGTGGCTGGGTGTGGCCTCCCTGGTCTGGGAGCTGCTGAGTGCCCTGTGGAGGTACATGGCCCAGGAAGCAGGGAGGGGGCACAGGTGTGCAGGGCCGGCCTGACGACCTTGGGTCCTTGCCCACAGGTGGACCCAGGTGCGGGGCTGGCTACGGAAGCTCAGTGCTGTAGTCCAACTGTCCCTTGTGGGCACTGCGACCGTGGCCTTGTTCCTGATTAGCCTGGTGGGTAGCGCTGCAGGGCTGGGGGATGGGCTGGGGGCAGGGCAGCCCTGAGAACCTCCCACCTGTCTCCAGGTGCCGTACTCCTACGTGGAGCCCGGGACCCACGGGCGCCTCTGGACCGGGGCCCACCGCCTGTTTGGTGCCGTGGAGCACCTACAGCTGGCCAACTCCTACGGCCTCTTCCGCCGCATGACTGGGCTTGGTGGACGGCCTGAGGTGGTGCTGGAGGGCAGTTACGACGGCCACCACTGGACGGTGAGCCCTCCCAGGGCGGGCAGGGTGGTGGGGCCCAGGTCAGCGGGCCCAGCTGACCTCGGCCTGCCTGGCAGGAGATCGAGTTCATGTACAAGCCTGGGAACCTGAGCCGGCCGCCCCCGGTTGTGGTGCCCCACCAGCCACGCCTGGACTGGCAGATGTGGTTTGCAGCCCTGGGCCCACACACGCACAGCCCGTGGTTCACAAGCCTGGTCTTGCGCCTGCTGCAGGGCAAGGAGCCAGGTGCGGAGCGGGCTTGGGGGGTGTGGAGTGGGCTGGGGTGGAGCGGGGTGGGGAGGGGAGGGGCAGGGCGGGTACTGTGGGGGCCACGCTGATGCCTCTCGCTGCAGTGATCCGCCTTGTCCAGAGCCAAGTGGCCAGGTATCCCTTCCACAAGCAGCCGCCCACCTACGTCCGAGCCCAGCGCTACAAGTACTGGTTCTCCCAGCCTGGGGAGCAGGGGTAAGGCTGGGCACCGGGTGGGGTGTGGAGCCCGGGGTGCAGGGGTAAGGCCGGGCACCGGGGGGTGTGGAGCCCGGGGTGCAGGGGTAAGGCCGGGCACCGGGGGGGGGTGTGGAGCCCGGGGTGCAGGGGTAAGGCCGGGCACTGGGGGGGGTGTGGAGCCCGGGGTGCAGGGGTAAGGCCGGGCACCGGGGTGGGGTGTGGAGCCTGGGGTGCAGGGGTAAGGCCGGGCACTGGGGGGGGTGTGGAGCCCGGGGTGCAGGGGTAAGGCCGGGCACCGGGTGGGGTGTGGAGCCCGGGGTGCAGGGGTAAGGCCGGGCACCAGGGGGGGATGTGGAGCGTGAGGAGCTGAGGAGCAGGGGTAAGGCTGGGCACTGGCGATGGGGTATGGAGCCCGGGGTGCCTCCAGCTTCTGAACATCGGGTCCTGCTGCAGCCAGTGGTGGCGGCGCCAGTGGGTGGAGGAGTTCTTCCCATCCGTGTCCCTGGGGGACCCCACGCTGGAGACGCTGCTCAGGCAGTTTGGACTACAGGTAAGGGGGTGTCAGCCAGGCTGGGGGAGGTGGCAGGGGTGACCCCAGCCTCCCGGGGTAAACCCAGTAAGCACTTCCCCAACCTCCCTCCCTCCCTCCCTCCCACAGGAGAAAAGCCCACCTCGCACCCGCAGCGCCAACAGCACCCTGGCCCAGGCCCTCCACTGGACTCGCTCTCAGCTGTCTCCCCTGGAGGCCCCCGCCCTGCTCTGGGGGCTCCTCATGGCCGTGGGGGCTGTCAGATTTGTGCAAGCCCTGCTAGCACCCTGTTCTCTCCGGTCCTCCCCGCTGGCACCAGTCAGCGGGGAGAAGCGCAGGCCAGCCTCCCAGAAAGACTCCGGAGCTGCCTCCGAACAGGCCACCGCAGCCCCCAACCCCTGCTCCAGTAGTTCGAGGACCACCCGGCGAAAGAAGTAGCTGTGTTCTCCCAGCTGCACGTCCTGAGAGGGCCAGGTCGCCGGGAGTGCTCTGGCCTCCGGCAGGACAGGACCCAGCCACTGTGCCTTAGCTGACCCTGCAGGGCCAGGCACAGGTTGGGGGGCTGCCCCTGGGGTTTGCAGGGTGCTGCATTGAGGGCTCCAGGCCCCACCCCCACGCCAGCCATGCCCCTCCCCAGGACTCCCACTATTGCCTCTGTGATTGGCCCAGGAGGAAAACACGACCAAGCTCAAGACCCTTCCCCTGCCCTGGGCTGTGGGGGTCTGAGTCTAGAGCCCCCAACCCTAGGCCCCGTGCCAGAGGGGAAGAGGCTGACTCCCAGGGGAAGAGGGGAAGCACTGTCATCTTCCACGTCATCTTCACACCAGCCCATCCTGCCCTTTAGATCTGGGCACCAATAAAGGCGTCTTTTGTGCTTGGCTGTGTGCCTGGTGCTGCTTTCCCAGGAGGCATGAGGATGGGATTGTCTCCCCTGCCCCAGGCAGTGGGCCGCCCAGAGCACAGTCAGGCTCCGCCACGGCGTGGCTCCCTGGGCACCCTCCTGCCCCGTCCTCAGCATTCTCTCTGAAGAGGCCTGGCTTGGTGTTGCCCACTGCCTGATCACAGAGGAGCCTCAGGCCTGGCACAGCCCGGTGGACCTGTCAGCTCCACACTCCAAGGTCGGTGGTGGAGCCGGTCCCTCACTTCCCTCCTGCTCCCACTTCTTGGCCTCAGGAAAGGACGGAAGGGCCAGAGTGGGCAAGGGGAGAAGGAGAGATGAGGTGGGCAGGTTAGAAGAGGCTCCTCTGCAGAGTGAGGCCAGGGGGAGGGTAGCTGGAGGCCCTGGGTTGGGACGGAGGAGGGAAGGTGCATCTGATGCCCCTGGCCTCCATCCTGGGAAGAGAACAGCAGCAGAGACAGCAGTCAGGGCACCGTCCAGGTTTCCATTTGGGGTCAGGTTATCAATCAGAGGTCACTGCCCACCCTGGAAACTCACAGCACAGCTTCCTCTGCCTCTGGCCCGTCCTCTTGGTACAGCCCCTGCCTCCTGGTCTCCTGCCAGACCCCTGGGCAGCTCCCAATGTACCCAGCTCCCTCATGTCACTGACCTCCATCTGGCCCACCCAGGCAGAGCCCTGTGCTCAAACACAGCCTGTGGCGTGAACTCTCAGATGTCTTCAAGGGGCTCCTATACATGGAATAAACAATCGAGAAGTCAGCCTTGGCTTAATAATAGGCTGGGCGCTGTGGCTCATGGCTGTAATCCCAGCACTTTGAGTGGCCGAGGTGGGTGGATCACCTGAGGTCAGGAGTTCGAGACCAGCCTGGCCAACATGGTGAAACCCAATCTCTACTAAAAATACAAAAATTAGCTGGGCATGGTGTCGGGTGCCTGTAATGCCAGCTACTCCACAGGCTGAGGCAGGAAAATCGCTTGAACCTGGGAGGCAGAGGTTGCAGGGAGCCGAGATCATGCCACTGCACTTCAGCCTAGACAACAGAGTGAGACTCCATCTCAAAAAAAAAAAGTAATATGTTTAAAACTAAAAAACCTGTTCCTAGGCTTCTTGGCTTTCTAGACAGGGTCTCACTCTGTTGCCCAGGCTGGAGCACAGTGGTGCAGTTGTGGCTCACTGCAGTCTCAGACTCCTGAGCTCAAATGATTCTCCTGCCTCAGGCTGCCATCACCACCCACACTCCCCTTGTTGCCCAGGCTGATGTTCCTGAGTTTTTTTTTTTTTGAGACGGAGTCTCGCTCTGTCACCCAGTCTGAAGTGCAGTGGCAGGATCTCGGCTCACTGCAAGCTCCACTTCCCGGGTTCGCGCCATTCTCCTGCCTCAGCCTCTCTGAGTAGCTGGGACTACAGGCGCCCGCCACCACACCTGGCTAATTTTTTGTATTTTTTTTTTAGTAGAGACGGGGTTTCACCATGTTAGCCAGGATGGTCTCGATCTCCTGACCTCGTGATCCGCCTGCCTCGGCCTCCCAAAGTGCTGGGATTACAGGTGTGAGCCACCGCGCCCGGCCTGATGTTCCTAAGCTTTCAAGCTCACTTGATGAATGCGTTCTGTGTTTTGTTTTGTGTAGCAGCTCTCTTGGTAAGCCACGTGCTACACAATTCACCCGTTCAAGTGCGCAATTCAGTGGCTTTCAGTTTATTCACAGAGTTGCACGTCTATCACCAGAGTCCATTTATTTACTTATTTAGAGATGGAGTCTCACTCTGTCACCCAGGCTGGAGTGCAGTGGCACAATCTCGGCTCACTGCAACCTCCACCTCCTGGGTTCAAGCGATTCTCCTGCCTCAACCTTGCAAGTAGCTGGGATTACAGGCGTGCACCACCACACCGGGCTAATTTTTGTAGTTTATTAGTAGAGATGGGTTTTCACTATGTTGGCCAGGCTGGTCTCGAACTCCTGACCTCAGGAGATCTGCCCACTTCGGCCTCCCAAAGTGCTGGGATTATAGGCATGAGCCACGGCGCCTGGCCCGGAGGCCATTTTAGAACCTTTCATCTCCAGAAGAAACCCCAAACCCTTTAGCCTTTGCCCTCTGACCCCTCCCTGCCAAGCCCTAAGCAACTATTCATCTACCTTCTGTCTCTGTGGATTTACCTACTCTGGATATTTCCTGTAAATTGGATCAGTAACATGGGACCTTTGTGTCTGGCTTCTTTCACTCAGCACGGTGTTTTCAAGGCCACACCCACGTCATAGCACGTATGAGCGCTGTGTTCCTTTAGGGCTGAGTCAGTCCAGTGTACGGAGGGGCCACGTTTTCCCTGTCCTTATTCATTCGTATATCGATAGACGCTTGCGTGGCTTCCGCCTTTCCTATGTGAATAGTGCTGCTGTGAACATTGGATATGCAAGCTTTTGTGTGGGATTACAGGTGCACGCTACCACACCCAGCTAATTTTTGTATTTTTAGTAGAAACGGGGTTCGCCATGTTGGCCAGGCTGGTCTTGAACTCCTGACCTCAAGTGATCCACCGCCCCCCCCCCCCCCACCATCCTGCCAAAGTGCTGGGATTACAGGTGTGAGCCACCACGCCCAGCCTATATAGAACTGATTTGATGAGAAGCTGAGTCTCTAACAGATGCAGTGACTAAGACACCATTTGGTCAAAGAACCATATAGGCTGTGCACCGGGAGGAAACACACACAGGCTGTTTCCTAGTAAAATGCAAAAAAAAAAAAAAAGGAATAAAACCACTTGCATTTGTCAAAAATAAATTTTTAAGCCGGGCATGGTGGCTCACACCTGTAATCCCAGCACTTTGGGAGGCCGAGGCGGGTGTATCTCCCAAAGTCAGGAGTTCAAGACCAGCCTGGCCAACATGGCGAGACCGTGTTTCTACTAAAAATACAAAAATTAGCCGGGCGTGGTGGCAGGCGCCTGTAATCCCAGCTACTCAGGAGGCTGAGGTAGGAGAATTGCTTGAACCCAGGAGGCAGAGGTTGTGGTGAGCCAAGATCGTGCCATTGCACTCCAGCCTGGGCAACAGGAGTGAAACTCCGTCTAAAAAAGAAAAAAAAAATTTGCATGGAGACATTTGTGGCTGCTGTGTATATTACACTCATTAGCTGGAAACTGTTTATGAGGTGATAGCTAAGTAAGGGATCCATTAGGGGAATGAGCTACTGCCTTTGTGTATAACAACTGTCGAGAAGAAATAGTTAAGTGATACAATCATAATTTTATAAAAAGAGAATCTGGGCCAGGCGCGGTGGCTCACGCCTGTAATCCCGCCACTTTGGGAGGCCGAGGCGGGCAAATCACCTGAGGTCAGGAGTTCAACACCAGCCTGGCCAACGTGGCAAGACACTGTCTCTACTAAAAGTACAAAAAAATTAGCCGGGTATGGTAGTGTGTGCCTGTAATCCTAGCTACTCGGGAGGCTAAGGCAGGAAAATCGCTTGAACCTGGGAGGCGAAGGTTGCAATGAGCCAAGATCGTGCCACACCACTCCAGCCTGGGCAACAGAGCAAGACTCCGTCTCAAGAAAAAATAAAAATAGGCCGGGTGCGGTGGCTCATACCTGTAATCCCAGCACTTTGGGAGGCCGAGGCGGGTGGATCACGAGGTCAGGAGATCGAGACCATCCTGGCTGACATGGTGAAACCCCATCTCTACTAAAAAAAATAGAAAAAATTAGCCAGGCGTGGTGGCAGGCACCTGTAGTCCCAGCTACTTGGAAGGCTGAGGCAGGAGAATGGCGTGAACCCAGGAGGTGGAGCTTGCAGTGAGCCGAGACGCCACTGCACTCCAGCCTGGGCGACAAAGCGAGACTCCGTCTCAAAAAAAAAAAAAAAAAAACAACAAACGGAGAAGTAGGTCCAGAATTTGTCAATAGTCAGTGACTTTGGAGATGGGATTTTTTTTAGTTATTTTGTGCTGATTCATATATGCACATTCCTACTTTATTATTACCCATTACATAACACATATGCTTGAATATTCAAGGAAACACACCTCTATAAGCAATATTCAAGAGTAACTACTGGGCTTGAGAATAAGTGTGTCAGAACAAATGAGATCCTATGAGAGAGAAGGCAGGAGCCAGGGAGGACGATCCCAGGGCTCGGCAGGGAGGCGGAGCCGTCAGAGGAGGGCGGCCAACCAAGGAACCACCCCCCGGAGGTTTGCAGAGGTCAGGGTCCCCGCAGGTGATTGGACTGTTGTGGAGTGTCCAGAAGACAGCGAAAGTCTCTGAGTTCACCAGATAACCCAGACCAACTGGAAACCCAGTGGTGGTTCTACAGAAAAAACTAGCACAGGATTGGCTGTGTGAGGGTGGGGTTGGCGTCTGTCTTCGCTGCAGCTCTGTCTGCAGAGCCAGCACCGTAACAGCTCACACTAGCTGCTCAGTATGTGTCTGAAAGTGAATTAATATCTAGGAAGGGATGAAGGCAGGTACTGCTCTCTGCAGAGACTTCCCGCCTGAAATGCCATAGCCCCAGACATTGGAGCTGTCCAAAACCTTGGCTTGTGGAGAATTTCCAGAAGGGGGCACTGTGGACACGGTTCAGCATCTGCCTCCCAAGGCTGGGGCTCCATGTCAAAAGAAGGTGAGACGACCAGGCACAGCGGTCACTCCTGTAATCCTAGCACTTTGGGAAGCCACAAAAGGATCACTTGAGGCCAGGGGTTCAAGACCACCTGGGCAACATAGCAAGAGCTTCTCTCTACAAAAAAAAAAATTTAAAATGTAGCCAGATGTGGTGGCCTGAACGTGTAGTCCCAGCTACTCAGGAGGCTGAGGCAGGAGGATCACTTGAGCCAGGAGTTCGAGGCTGCAGTGAGCTCTAATTGCACCCCTGCACTCCCAGCATGGCAACAGAGCAAGACCTGGTTTCTTAAAAGAAACAAAAAAAGAGATGAGATTGGGGTGTCCTGCTTCCATGCACGTGGAGGGGAGAACTGGGAACTGTGGACTGTAGGGGATCGAAGACCTTTGGATGGGAAGAGCAGCTCTCCAGAGCTGCACAAGAACCACGGGCAGAGGCCCTGGCTGGTGAGATGATTCTAGCTGTGTGGCTCGCCGAGCAGGAAAAGCAGGAACAGAGACCAGAAATGAGGCTGGGCGCAGTGGCTCATGCCTGTAATCCCAGCACTTTGGAAGGCTGAGGCGGGTGGATCACATGAAGTCAGGAGTTTGAGACCAGCCTGGCCAACGTGGTGAAACCCTGTCTCTACTAAAAATACAACAATTAGCCAGGCATGGTGGCACATGTCTGTAATCCCAGCTACTCAGGAGGCTGAGGCAGGAGAATCGCTTGAACCTGAGAGGCGCAGGTTGCAATGAGCCGAGATCGCACCACTGCACTCCAGCCTGGGTGACAGAGCGAGACGCTGTCTCAAAAAAAAATAATAAAAATAAGTAAATAAATGAAAGTTTAAAATGGCAAGAGTGGCCCAATCTAGAGAAAATGTAATTTGGGAGGGAATAGCTCTCCCTTTACTGTAGCCTTATTATTATGGTATCGACAAAGCAATGTCATATTCTAACTCTGCAGAGATAAAATTTTAAGGGGCAAAAGTCCAAGGCGGAAGTCAAAAGTTTTGCAAGGAAATCGATGAGGTTGGTGATCTGAGCTGGGCGAGGTTGGACAGGTGGGTGCCACGGTCCAGGTGTCTGACTGTCTCTGTCTGGCAAGTAAGCAGAGATCTAGAGCTGTCCTGTGAATTAAGTGGGAGATTGGACAGGGGTGCACACTTGTGTATTGAGGAGAAGGTCGTGGACAAGCTGGGGCAGAGAGCTGGCAGAGAGAATACCCAGGAAGATTTTTTTTTTTTTTTTTTTTGAGACGGAGTCTTGTTCTGTCGCCCAGGCTGGAGTGCAGTGGTGCAGTCTTGGCTCACTGCAACCTCTGTCTCCTGAGTTCAACCTATTCTCCTGCCTCAGCCTCTGGAGTAGCTTGGATTACAGGCCGTGCCACCATGCCCAGCTAATTTATTTATTTATTTTTTTAATAAAGACGGGGTTTCACCATATTGGCCAGGCTGTTCTCTAACTCCTGACCTCATATGATCCCCTCACCTCGGCCTCCCACAGTGCTGGGATTACAGGCGTGAGCCACTGCACCTGGCCAGGAAGTTTTTGTTTTTTGTGTTTTTTTGAGACAGAGTCTCGCTCTGTCCTCTAGGCTGGAGTGCAGTGGTGCAATCTCGGCTCACTGCAACCTCCGCCTCCCGGGTTCAAGCAATTCTCCTGCCTCAACCTCCTGAGTAGCTGGGACCACAGGCGCACACCACCACGCCCGGCTAATTTTTGTATTTTGTTTGTTTGTTTTGGGGACGGAGTTTCGCTCTTGTTGCCCAGGCTGGAGTACAGTTGTGCAATCTCGGCTCACTGCAACCTCCACCTCCCGGGTTCAAGCAATTCTCCTGCCTCAGCCTCCTAAGTAGCTGGGACCACAGGCGCACACCACCATGCCCAGCTAATTTTTGTATTTTGTTTGTTTGTTTTTGGGATGGAGTTTCGCCTTGTTGCCCAGGCTGGAGTGCAATGGCGCGACCTTGGCTCACCGCAACCTCCACCTCCCAGATTCAAGTGATTCTTCTGCCTCAGCCTCCCGAGTAGCTGGGATTACAGGCATGTGCCACCACGCCTGGCTAATTTTGTATTTTTAGTAGAGACAGGGTTTCTTCATGTTGGTCAGGCTGGTTTCGAATTCCTGACCTCAGGTGATCCACCCGCCTCAGCCTCCCAAAGTGGTAGGATTACAGACACGAGCCACCGTGCCCGGTCAATTTTTGTATTTTTAATAGAGGCGGGGTTTCCTCATGTTGGCCAAGATGGTCTCGATCTCTTGACCTCATGATCTGCCCACCTTGGCCCCCAAAGTGCTGGGATTATAGGCATGAGCCACCACGCCCGGCCGAAGATGCTTTTAGCAGGAGAAGGATCAAGCTTAGATGCAGGCTTGGGAAAATAGGTAACTTGACCAAAGGGAGCAACATGAGATTCCACACCTGAATTTTGTATACAGTTTATTCAGCGGATTGGGACAGGAGCAAAAATAGATTTTCTAGGAACTACGGACTCCTGTGATTGGAGGGGTAGACAAAGTACAGCAGCATCAGACAAGCCCTTGCTGAGGTGCTGGGCGAGAAATCTCAGAGGTCAGGTAGAAGGCCCCTGTATGAAGAGGGAAGGTTTGGGAGGGCAACCTGACTTGTCTTCAGAAAAAGCTGGAACTAGTTGGCTTAGTGGTCAAGAGAGACTGGGTTGAAAATGAGGAATCAGCCGGGCGCGGTGGCTCACGCCTGTCATCCCAGCACTTTGGGAGGCCGAGGCGGGCAGATCACGAGGTCAGGAGATCGAGACCATCCTGGCTAACAGGGTGAAAGCCCGTGTCTACTAAAAATACAAAAAATTAGCCAGGCGTGGTGGCGGGCGCCTGTAGTCCCAGCTGCTGGGGAGGGTGAGGCAGGAGATTCACTTGAACGCAGGAGGCAGAGGTTGCAGTGAGCTGAGATCACGCCATTGCACTCCAGCCTGGGCAACAAGAGCGAAACTCCGTCTCGAAAAAAAAAAAGAAAAAGAAAAGAAAAAAGAAAGAAAAAGAAAAATTAGAAAAATAAACTTTTCTTTCTTTCTTTCTTTTTTTTTGCGATGGAATCTCGCTCTGTTGCCAGACTGGAGTACAGTGGTGTGATCTCGGCTCACTGCAACCTCCACTTCCCTTGTTTAAGCAATTCTCTTGCCTCAGCCTCCCTAGTATCTGGGACTACAAACACGCGCCACCACGCCCAGCTAATTTTTGTATTTTTAGTAGAGATGGCGTTTCACCATGTTGGCCAGGATGGTCTTGATCTCTTGGCCTCGTGATCCACCAGCCTCGGCCTCCCAAAGTGCTGGAATTACAGGCCTGAGCCACTGCGCCTGGCCAACTTATCTATTTTCTTTTGTTGTCTGTGCTTTTGGTGTCATATCCAAGGAATTATTGCCTAATGCAATGTCAAGGAGCTTGTCTTCTGTTTTCTTCTGAAGGTTAAAGTTTTAGTTTTTTTTTTTTTTGAGACAGAGTCTCACTCTGTCGCCCAGGCTGGAATGTGGTGGCACAATCTCAGCTCACTGCAACCTCCGTCTACCAGATTCAAGCGATTCTCCTGCCTCAGCCTCCTGAGTAGCTGGGATTACAGGCAAGTGCCACCATGCTCGGCTAATTTTTGTATTTTTAGTAGAGACAGGGTTTCACCATGTTGGCCAGGCTGGTCTCAAACTCCTGACCTCAAGATCCACCTGCTTCAGCCTCCCAAAGTGCTGGCATTACAGGCGTGAGCCACCGCTCCTGGCCATTTTAGCTCTTAAGTTTAGGTCAGCCGGGCGCTGTGGCTCACGTCTATTATTCCAGCACTTTGGGAGGCCAAGGTGGGAGGATCACTTGAGCCCAGGAGTTCGACACCAGCCTGGGCAACATGGAGAAACCCTGTCTCTACAAAAAATAAAAATTAGCCAACTGTGGTGGTGTGCACCTGTAGTCCCCCTACTACTCTGGAGGCCAAGATGGGAGGATCGCTTGAGCCCAGGAGGTCGAGGCTGCAGTCAGCTGTGGCACACTTCTTCACTTCAGCCTGGGTGACAGAACAGGACCCTGTCTCAAAGCAAAAAAAGTTTAGGTCATTGATCCATTTTGATTTAATTTTTGTATGTGGTATGTGGTGTAAGGTAAGTGTCCAACTTCATTTTTCTTTTTTTTTTTTTTTGAGACAGAGTCTTACTCTTTCGCCCAGGCTGGAGTGCGGTGGCGAGATCTTGGATCACTGCAACCTCCGCCTCCCGGGTTCAAGCGATTCTCCTGCTTCAGCCTCCAGAGTAGCTGGGATTACAGGTGCCTGCCACCATGCACAGCTAATTTTTGTATTTTCAGTAAAGACAGGGTTTCACCATGTTAGCCAGGATGGCCTCAAATTCCTGACCTCAGGTGATCCACCCACCTCGGCCTCCCAAAGTGCTGGGTTTACAGGCGTGAGCCACCGTGCCCGGCCCAACTTCATTTTTCTGCATGTGAATATTCTATTTGTCCAGAACCATTCGTTTTTGCTTGTTTGTTTTTTGAGATGGAGTCTGGCTCTGTTGTCCAAGCTTGAGTGCAGTGGCGAGATCTCGGCTCACTGCAACCTCTGCCTCCCGGGCTCAGATGATTCTCCTGCCTCAGCCTCTCCAGTAGCTGGAATTACAGGCATGCACCACCATGCCCAGCTAATGTTTGTATTTTCAGTCAAGACAGGATTTCACCACGTTGGCCAGGCTGGTCTTAAACTCCTGACCTCAGGTGATGTGCCCACCTCGGCCTCCCAGAGTGCTAGGATTACAGGCGTGAGCCACCACTCCTGGCCCCATTTGTTGAAAAGATCATTCTTTCCACCATTGAATGATTCTGGCACCCTTGTTGAAAACCATTTGACCATATATTGAAGTGTTTATTTCTGGGCTGTCTATTTAACCCCATTGATCTCTGTGTCTGTCTTTAAAGCCAGTGCCACACTGTTTTGTTTTGTTTTGTTTTTGAGACAGTCTCACTCTGTCAGTCAGGCTGGAGTGCAGTGTCGTGATCTCAGTGCACTGCAACCTCTGCCTCCCGGGCTCAAGCAATTCTCCTGCCTCAGCCTCCCGAGTAGCTGGGATTACAGGCTTTTGCCACCACACCCAGCTAATTTTTGTATTTTTAGTAGAGATGGAGTTTCACCATGTTGGCCAGGCTGGTCTTGAACTCCTGACCTCAGGTGATCCACCTGCCTCAGCCTCCCAAAGTGCTGGGATTACAGGTGTGAGCCACCATGCCTGCCCATGCTGTTTTGATTATTGTAGCTTTGTGGTAAGTTTTTAAATTGACAAATGAGAGTCCTCCAACTTTGTTCTTTTTTTTTTTTTTTTTTTTGAGATGGAGTTTCGCTCTGTTGCCCAGGCTGGAGTGCAATGGCGCGATCTTGGCTCACTGCAAGCTCTGCCTCCCGGGTTCACGCCATTCTCCTGCCTCAGCCTCCCGAGTAGCTGGGACTATAGGCGCCCGCCACCACGCCCGGCTAATTTTTTGTATTTTTAGTAGAGACAGGGTTTCACCATGTTAGCCAGGATGGTCTCGCTCTCCTGACCTCATGATCCACCCGTCTCGGCCTCCCAAAGTGCTGGGATTATAGGCATGAGCCACTGCACCCAGCCTTTTTTTTTTTTCTTTTTTTTTTGAGATGGAGTCTTGCTCAGCTGCCCAGGCTGGAATGCAGTGGTGCAATCTCAGCTTACTGCAACCACCGTCTCCCAGGCTCAAGCAATTCTCCCGTCTCAGCCCCCCGAGTAGCTGGGATTACAGGCACCCGCCATCACGCCAGGCTAATTTTTTTGTATTTTAGTAGAGATGGGGTTTCACCATGTTGGCCAGGCTGGTCTTGAACTCCTGACCTCAGGTGATCTGCCGGCCTCAGCCTCCCAAAGTGCTGGGATTACAGGCGTGAGCCACTGCACCTGTCTTCTTTTTATTTTTGGAGATGGAGTCTTGCTCTGTCGTTGAGGCTGGAGTGCAGTGGCATAATCTCAGCTCACTGCAACCTCCACCTCCCAGATTCAAGCAATTCTCCCTGCCTCGGCCTCCCGAGTAGTTGGGATTACAGGTGTCCACCACCACACCTGGCTAATTTTTTTTTTTTTTTTTTTTTGCGACGGAGTCTCGCTCTGTTGCCAAGCTGGAATGCAGTGGCGCAATCTTGGCTCACTGCAACCTCTGCCTCCTGGGTTCAAGCAATTCCCCTGCCTCAGCCTCCCGAGTAGCTGGGACTACAGGCACGTGCCACCACGCCCAGCTAATTTTTTGTATTTTTAGTAGAGATGGGGTTTCACCATGTTGGCCAGGATGGTCTCAATCTGCTGACCTCGTGATCCGCCCGCCTCGGCCTCCCAAAAGTGCTGGGATTACGGGCATGAATCACCGTGCCCAGTCTTTGTTGTTCTTTTTTTACCTTTTAATTATTTTGTTTCTTTTACATCTTTTTCCTTTTTATGTTTTCTATTTTATCTTTAGTCATCAAGAAGTAAACTTTTTTTTTTCCAAGATTGTTATGGCCATTTGGGTTCCCTTAAAATTCCATAGGAATTTTAGAATTATGTTTTTCTATTTTCCAAAAAATGCCTTTTTTTTTTGAGACGGAGTCTCGCTCTGTCACCCAGGCTGGAGTGCAGTGGCTCGATCTTGGCTCACTGCAACCTCCGCCTCCCAGGTTCAAGTGATTCTCCTGCCTCAGCCTCCGGAGTAGCTGGGATTACAGGCACCGACCACCAGGCCCAGCTAATTTTGTATGTTTAGTAGAGACTGGGTTTCACCATGTTGGCCAGGCTGATTTCGAACTCCTGACCTCAAGTGATCCTCCTGCCTCGGCCTCCCAAAGTGCTAGGATTACAGGTGTGAGCCACCGTGCCTGGCCAAAACCTTGTTTCTACTAAAAGTACAAAAAAAAAATTAGCCAGGTGTGGTGGCGTGGGTCTGTAATCCCAGCTACTAGGGAGGCTGAGGAAGGAGAATTGCTTGAACCCGGGAGAGGGAGGTTGCAGTGAGCTGAGATTGCCCCACTGTACTCCAGCCTGGGCGACAGAGTGAGACTGTCTCAAAAAAAAAAAAAAAAATTAAGGGAAGGACTGAAACATCGACCTGCCTTTCTATACGAACAGTGCCACTGTGTAGCCAAAGAGCACGTGGGAGGCAACTTCCACTTCCTGAAGTGTTCCCTGCGGCGGACGAGGACAGAAAGTGACCTGGGCTGTTCCATACCCAGGGGAGTGGGGGATCCGGATAAGCTTGAACGCCCACAGCTGCCCGCTGACAACACTCAGGACAGGCACCGCATGCCTCTTCCTCAGGAAACACCACTGCCTGAAAGCACTCGTGCCCACAACCAACCAAACAGGATCTGGGGAAGCCTCTAAATCCGTGCACCGATTGGCAGAAGTTCAGAGGAAAACGTTAACAGGTACAGAATCCCCACAAAGACGAATTTCCTGGGACAATCTACTTTCTTCAGAGATGAATTTCAGAGAAGATGGAGGGGAGGCCACTCTTTGGCACCAAGGGCTGCACGCCTGGGTGACAAAACCATGTAGAGAGGATGGACGGTGGCTGCAGAGCCTGTGGAGGGGCTGCTCTGTGCGGGGAGCCGCACCCGGGGCATGCGGAGGGTACTGGAGAGTCGGTTCAGGGGTGGTGGCCGCAGGTGTTTGCTTTATAGCATTTAAACTGTGCACTTGTTTTATTTTATTTTATTTATTTTTTTTGAGATGGAATTTCACTCTTGATACCCAGGTTGGAGTGCAGTGGCACAATCTTGACTCACGGCAACCCCTGTCTCCCGGGTTCAAGCGATTCTCCTGCCTTAGCCTCCTGAATAGCTGGGATTACAGGCGCCCACCACCACGCCCGGCTAATTTTTGTATTTTTAGTAGAGACGGGGTTTCACCATGTTGGCCAGGCTGGTCTTGAACCCCTGACCTCAGGTGATCCGCCCACCTCGCCCTCCCAAAGTGCTGGGATTATAGGTGTGAGCCGCTGTGCCCAGCCTGCATTTGTTTTTTGTTGTTTTCTATGAATGTATTATTTTAGCTATTGGGGTATTTTTTAAGGGGACGGAGCCCAGAGGACTTGGTGACTGTTTTGAGCATGTGGGGGTGAGCTGGGTGACTCGTCCCCCAGGCTCTGACACAGGAGCTGGGAGGATGGGCAGATGTTTACCACGGCCAGTGTGGTGGGACACACACACCTGAAAGCCTGGGACTTGGCCTCCACCCTGCTGGCACCATCCCTCGGCCTGGGCCACGCCCTGCTGCAGTAACACCCAGTGGGGCTTCAGAAGCACAACATCCTTCCAGGTCTTTATTGACGCCAGGCACAAGTTGCCGTGAGGGGTGGCGACCCTAAGGGGGTGAGTGGGGTCCCCCACCGAGGTGAACCCTGATGGCGGCTGTTTGCCCAGGGCCAGGCCTCTCCAGGCAGGCGGAGGGCCAGGCCTAGGTCCAGCAGCAGCTTGGGTGGCAGGAGGGTCACCAGCTCAGGATGCCAGGGCAGTACTTGTCAATGAGCCCCTGGTAGTAGGGCCGCAGCTTGTCCACGTCCGGCAGGTCCGGGCACTTGGTGTAGAGGTCGAACTTGCTGCAGCAGGGAGGGGCGGTGAGCCCCGTGAAGAACCCCCAGGCCCCCCACCCAACCCCCTCTTTCACTCCCACAACACCCCTCGGCGGGTAGCGGGGCGTACTTGAACTCCCGCACCCAGGGCAGCATGGCCAGGTCCTGCTGGCTGCACAGCTGCTGGTAGTCGCGGCCCGTGTGCCAGGGGTAGAAGGAGTGGAACCGGATCATGTAGAAAGCCTGCGGGCAAGGCCACCCAGCGGCTCACTTGGGGCTGCAGGACCGGGCCTGGTGGACGGGCTGCGTTGCCCCTCCCCCCACCTACCTCAGGGGGCAGTGAGAACTTGTTAAACTTCATCACCTGGTACATGTACTCTGTGGGGAGAGGGTGTCACCAGCAGGCACTGCCTCTGCCCCACCGCCCCCCACCGTCCCCCACCGCCCCCCACCGCCCCACTGCCCGCCTCTGGCCTCACCATCATGGCCCCAGGACATGAGGACCCTGTCGAGCCCACAGTGGGGCTGATACATCCCGAGCTCTGTGCTGCAGTGAGATACCAGGGTGAGGAGGGCTCAGCAGCCGCCCAGGGAAGGGGGCCCAGCCCTCAGCAGCAGGGAGCACCTGTATCGAGGATCCTGGAGGTCAGGGTTGTCCTGGAAGGTGGAGTCGCAGAAAACCACGGAGGCCTGCGGACGGCATCCGACGGGGAAGGTGTCGCCGACGACAGCCCACTGCAGAGGGACAGGAGGGACGGGAGGCCATGGGGGGAGTGGGGGAAGGTGTCGCCGATGACCACCCACTGCAGAAGGACAGGAGGGACGGGCGGCCATGGGGGGAGTGGGGGAAGGTGTCACCGATGACTGCCCACTGCAGAGGGACAGGAGGGACGGGCGGCCATGGGGGGAGTGGGGGAAGATGTTGCCGATGACTGCCCACTGCAGAGGGACAGGAGGGATGGGAGGGACGGGAGGGACAGGAGGGACGGGAGGGATGGGAGGGACAGGAGGGACAGGAGGGACAGGCAGCCATGGGGGGCCGTGGGGGAAGTGGGGGAAGGTGTCGCCGACGACCGCCCACTGCAGAGTGACAGGAGGGACAGGCGGCCATGGGGGGCCGTGGGGGGAGTGGTGCGGGGAGGCCGTGGGGGGTGCACTGGCCTGTCCCCCAGGTAGTATCCCAGGCCAAGCACCGAGGCCACCAGAGGGACAGGCAGCCGTGGGGGGGGCCGTGGGGGGTGCACTGGCCTGTCCCCCAGGTAGTATCCCAGGCCAAGCACCGAGGCCACCAGAGGGACAGGCAGCCGTCGGGGGGCCGTGGGGGGTGCACTGGCCTGTCCCCCAGGTAGTATCCCAGGCCAAGCACCAAGGCCACTCCACCCCCACCTTGCCTCAACATGCAGCCTCCTCACCCTCCACTTCCAACTCTTACCTGGGGCTCCCCGAACAGGGCCAGGACCTTCCCCAGGTCGTGCAGGAGCCCGACGAGGTGGAACCAGTCTGGGAGGGGGATGGACAGGGCAGGTTGGGGACTGCAGGGGCCAAGGCAGAGGATGAGCAGGTTTGCGGGGCTGAGAGCCAGGAAGGGTCCAGGGCCTGCTCCCCAACCCAGGCAGGGCTGCTGGAGGAGGCCTGGGCCCACTACTGTCCCCTCCCACCCTACAGGCTGCTGCATTCTGCCCCTTGGAGGCAGCACCTGCCCCCCTGCAGCACAGCCAGGGCTCACCCTTGTCTGGGTGGGCCTTCCGGATGCCCTCCGCTGTCTGGAAGGCATGGAAGGAGTTGGGGAAATCTACGTCCGGGTCCGACTCATCCACCAGCCCATCCAGCAGGTCCACGGCCTCCATGACTGTCATTTTCTTGTAGGAGAAGCCCCCAAACTGGGCATGCTGGCGGGGAAGGAGAAGGCAGTGTGGCCCAGGGTCAGCAGGCCCACCACACAGGCCTCTCCATCCCCTCGGCGCCTGGTGGGCTCATGGGGCTGAGGGCAAGGGTCCCTCCGCGTTTGCACGGGGCGGCAGGAAACGCCTACCTTGCTCCTGACGAAGTCCACTGTCTGGTGCGTGTGCATGAGCTTGTAGGTGGTGAAGACACGGTCCAGGAGGGGACCTGACTGCAGGCCGGAGGGTCAGTGGCGCCACCCCCACCCTGCACACGAGGCCCCATGCCTCCCCTCTCCCAGGCAGCCCCACAGGGTGTGATGGGGGTGGGAGTTCCCACAGGGCACCCCCTGGAACTGTGTGAAGGGCAAGTGCTGCTCCCCAGGGTGTGGATGGGGGAGAAGGGGGGCAGGACGGCAAGGTACTCACCGTGTAGTTCCGGAAGCTGGCCTTGTCTTTGGCCACCTCTGGGTCCACATCAGGTCGGTAGACCAGGGAAGGGTCTGGGCCCTGGGTAGGTGGAGGATTGAACCTATTTCACCATCATGTCAGCTCCACGAGGAAGCACAGACATTCCCAGGGTGGCTGCAGACTCCAAGCCTGCCTCTGCTCGAGGGCTGGTGGGTGACACGCGAGGACACAGCCTCTCCCACGCCATCATCCCAGCCCCTGCCCTGGCCTCAGCGAGTCCCAGGAGCTCTCACTCCCAGGTCCTCATCTGCAAAGCGAAAGTCAGCAGACGTCTGCTTCCGGGGTACAGGGGACACCACGCCTGAGCGGCACCCATGGCCACCCTTGAGGGGTGGAAGTGGCTTTGGGAGGAGACTGAGTCCACAGGGAGCCTGGGGGTCGGCAGCCGCTGGCTCTTGCCCAGCTGGACGGAGGAGGAGGGCTGGCCAGTGCCAGCTAGAAGAGGGCGGGAGTGGCTGGCCACCAGGAGAGCAGTCAGCAGAGCCTCTCTGCATGGGGTCTGGGTACTCACCACCGTCACCTTCATCCTGAGAGGGAGCGGCGCTCAGGTGGCAAAGCACAGGCTGGCGAGTGTGTCCTCAGCCAGGCTCCTATATACACCCCAGGTTACATAAGTGTCCGCAGTAATAAATGACCATCCACCCTCCTCCCGGCCTCAGGGAGTTAATGTGTCAGCACAGCAGCAGCCCCCAGCAGTCCCACATCCTCTGGCCCTGACTCAGCCTCACACTCCTGTCCCGAGCCGCTGACCTGCCTAGGGTTATCTGTGGGCCCAGCCTCCCACTTGGGCCCTGGCCTTAGACCCCTCTGTGGGGTCCCACAAGTAGGGGCAGACCCAAGACCCCACCCTCAAGCACACGCCCCCTCTGCACCACCCCTTCCCCGGCTGCCCCACTGGATCTCAGGAGGTGAAAACTTGTCCCCAGGCCCCCCGTGATTCTGGGTGGGGCAGGAGCTTGTTAAGAAAAGATGATTCTGAGGACTTGTTAAAATGGTGAGAAAAGCTTTATTCAAGAGAGTGGTGAGAGGAGCTCACCTCCGAGTTCAACAACCACAGCTGGAGATTGATGGCGTTGGAGGGGTCAGCGGATGGGAAGTTGTTAGGGCGGCCTTCGAGGGTAGGGGGATTCTCACTGGAGTGGCTCAATGAGGATCTTGCAGGAGGCCGGCAGGGTGATGAGATCAAGGGTGGGAGATGAGGAATGGGATCAGATATCGAGGGTGGGTAATTCTCCATAAACTGATTTAGAGGATTCTTGCTAACACCGGGGTCGGCGGGCCCAGCGAGGATGGGGATGGGGTCAGGCCTCGTCGAGGAAAGGACTCAGGGGCACCTGCCTAGAGTTCGGCCACAGAGTGTGTCAGGCTCTGGGAGAGGGGCCTCACGGAGAGTTGGAGCAGGCACGGAACCGCCAACACCCAGGCCGCCAACGCAACTTCCCATGCATGGGCCCTGCAGGCATGGAGGACACCGTGAGAACAAAGTGCCCGCGGCAGAGCTGGCGTCTTGGAGCGTGGCCAGGGAAGTCTGGGAACAGCAGTCGGCTGGGGCAGGAGAGAGGGCAGTGGGGTGCTGGGGCCATACCTAGGGCTGTGAAGATCAGAGTTCTGGGCTTCAGGGGTCAGGCAAGAGGGCTGTGGGCAGCTGACCTGACTCAACAAGATCCTGGCACAGCTGAGCTGAGAAGCAACTGTGAGGAGACCCCAGCGCCCCCCATTTAAACGGCACCTGCCCCACACTCTCCTTCCTTGTCTGACTTCCTGTGGCACTCAGCACTCCCTGCCACTCCACCACCCACTTATTCTACCTTCTACGTTTGTCTCCTTCTATCTCCCCCTAGAATGTCAGCCCCTGGGGGTCAAGGCTGTATCCTCACGTGTCCCAACACGGGTAGGTCACGTGCTCAGCATGCACTGGCCAGAGGGATGCAGACAGGTGCCTGGGAGGAGGCTACGGCCATCGCCCCGAAAGCAGGTGGTGCCTGGGTCAGGAGAAGGTGTCTGGATAGGTTCAGGAGGTGGGACCGGGTGGGATTCAGAGGAAGGTGTGAAGGAAGAGAGGAGGTTTTTTTTTTTTGAAACGGAGTCTTGCTCTGTCATCCAAGCTTGAGTGCAGCAGCGCCATCTGGGCTCACTGCAACCTCCACCTCCCGGGCTTAGACGATTCTCCTGCCTCAGCCTCCCGAGTAGATGGAATTACTGGCATGTGCCACCACGCCCAGCTAATTTTTGTATTATTACTATTTTTTTTTTTGAGGCAGAATTTTGCTCTTGTTGCCCAGGCTGGAGTGCAATGGCGCAATCTCAGCTCACTGCAACCTCCGCCTCCCAGGTTCAAGTGATCCTCCTGCCTCAGCCTCCTGAGTAGCTGGGATTACAGTCATGTGCCACCACGCCCGGATAATTTTCTGTTTTTAGTAGAGACGGGATTTCACCATGTTGGCCAGGCTGGTCTTGAACTCCTGAACTCAGGTGATGTGCCTGCCTTGGCCTCCCAATGTGCTAGGATTACAGGTGTGAGCCACGGGGCCTGGCCGAGCGGAGATTTTGGCCAGAGCAGCTGGAAGTGGGTGCAGGTGCTGCTGGGCCTCCGCGTGATGGTGTCAGGTGGGTCTGATTTCGCACCCGAGGCGACACGGAGGGTTACAGCAGGCGGCCTCCTGACTACAGGGCATGAGGAGGGTAAAGGCTTTCCTGGAGGAGGGAACACTTGGCCCTGACCACAGGCAGGCCCCAGACGGGGTGCCAAGCTGGACTTTGCCCAGGCAGGAGAGGAGACGTCTGGGAGGGTTTTGGCTGGGCTGAGTAGCGGACGCTGAGCTCCTGACCCCCGAGCCTTGCCCCAGGGCCCCCTCCTTCACTCCCCGTGCCCCTCCCTCTGTCCTCATGCCGTGTGCTCTGCTGACACCCTTCAGTGGTCACAGGGCACATGACTCTGAGGCCGAGGCCCCTCCACCCTGCAGCCTCTCAGCAGCCACGCCTCCTGTGCACCTGGGGCCTTGGCACTCCCAGCTCCTTCCCCTAGGGAAGGCCTGCTGTCCTCAGACCTCACCTGACCCAGTGCTTCTCCCAGGGAGCTGGCCTTGACTGCCTCGCTGTGCGGCCCATCACCCTGACCACCTTTGCTGCAATCCTAGTACATCTCTCAGTGCACGGAGGCCTCCACAGGGCAGGACCAGCCTGGACCGTTCCCACAGGGCCTCGTGGAGTACAGGTCAGTTACGTGGACTCGGCAATCCCTGAGCTCGGGGAGCAAGCACAGGGGCGGCGCCTGGGTGGGCGCTTCCAGGACCCTCCCCCTTGGAGGTAGGAACTGAGGGGCAAGCTCTGTGGGGGAATGTCCTGAGCTCTGCTGCGGCCTCTAGAGTTGGGGTGATCATGGCGACCCTCGTGGGATGGCCGAGAGGGTGACCCTAGCAAACATTTGTAAATTAAATGCTCAGTGTTCGCTAAATAGCAGAAGGAGCCCTTTCTGAACCCCGTGTTCTGCTGGACGGTTGAGAGGCTCCAGTGGCAGGCACATGTGAGTCCCCCGTCCCCCCAGGGAAGGACACACACCAAGTCTGTGCACGCCGGCAGTGGTTCTTGTTCTTGCTGTCACTTGGGCCTGGGCTGCCCTCCCTGGCTCTTGGTAAGTCACCCTCTGCCCCCGCACCTGGTCCCACTGGGTCCCCAAACTGGGTGGTGGTGGGGCGCCTGTGCTGCCTGTGGAGCCCCACCCTTGTCTGGCTGCCAACAAGGGTCTCACCCCCTTCAGGTGAGGTGGGTCTAGTCGGGCTGGGGGATCTTGCCCCACCCAGCCCTGCCCTGCCCTGGGGTAGAAAGGGGTGTCCCTGTCCCAGAATGGTTTGGGGTGGCTCCTGAACTGCTGAGTTCCCCTCCCTGGCCTCCTACAGGGGATCCAGGTGGAGTCTCCATGGCCACCTCGGTCTGGGCTCCAGGGTTGGCAGCTGGAGCCACAGAGGTCCCTTCATGACCTCTGGAGGGCCACCATCCTTCCCTTGCCCAACCCCGGGGGCTACAGCATCCCACGCTCCCCCTCCTGTCCCACAGGCAGGCACGTGGAAGGGCTGGTTGTGCATGAGAGCAGGAACAGCCCAGGCACAAGGCCGGGCTTCAGTCTGACTGGACCAGCAGCGGAGGGGCCACTTCTGGCCAGTTCAGCCTCTCTCCCCTGCTCGTCCAGACATGGCCCCGTGTGTTCAGGGCCCAGCTTCTGCTCCACATCTCTGGGCAGACACCTCCTCTCTGAAGCGCTTAGCATCTGGTGCTGCCGCCAGCTGTGTCTGGCAGCTGTCCCCCAGGGGGTCACAATTTCAGGGTGTTTAGGCTCCTTGACGTACCAGCACTGCGTGTAGACCAGCCTAGGTTTACGTGTGCAAAGCCGTGCAGGTATTGTTGCTGCAGGACCTGCTGTCTGCAGCTCCGAGGGACTGGGCTTCAGATGGGGCTCAGCTGCAGCTCTGGACGGGGGCACAGCACCCTGGCTGGGATGGGCAGGGGTGTGGCCCGGCCCCACCTCAGCCATAGCTGTGGGGGCTGCTGGGGTCCACAGGAGCTGAGTCCTGCCGGCCGGCCGGTCCCATGAGTTGCCACAGGCGGTGGCTGAGATTCTGCACCTGGCAGGTGCCCAGCACACAGCCCACTCGCAGGAGCTGGGCTTGGGTCCTGCGGGGGCCCGAGTGTCTTCGGGGGCCCGAGTGTTGGCGGCCACCATCCCGGAGAGGCTGACCCATAACAGGGGCCAGGCCGGCACCCCTCTGTGCCTGGAGGGCCCGGTGAAGCTTCCAGACCACAGGTCGGGGTGCGGGGTGCCTGGGCTGCAGGCTGCTGGAAGGGCTCCGGGCTGGGGGCTCCCTGCAGAGGCAGATGGAGAATGTCAACCAGATGGCTCAGCCTTTTGGAGAACTCACACCTGCCCACTTTTGCCTCTACACAGGCCTGGGTCACTGCCAGGGGAAGCCCACAGCCCCCATCCACACACAGCCTGGAGCACGGCCAGGGGAAGCCCGCGTCCCCTCTGGGCTTGGGCCTGGGACCATCTCAGTGGCCCGGGTCACGTGTCCCGGGAACCGGCACCTCCTTGGCCAAAGGGCACCCCGGCGGCCCAGCCTCTGCGGGTCACCACTCTCAGGGCTCAGGGTGACTCGGCTTCTGCCCTCCCTTTAGGGTGGTCACAGGCCGGCCAGGGATACCGCCAGCCTCCCCTCCCCCAGCAGACACCCCCAGAAGAGGGGCTGCTGTGCCCATGTGTGTGGGGAGGAGCAACTGCCCTGTGTAGGGAGGCAGAGAAAGAGGGGCCTCTGGCCCTGCTCAGGCGCTCCTGAGCCTGGGGTAGGGGCCTTTGTTTGGGAGGGGAGTCCTAGCAGCAGGTGGAGGCGTGGAGGGAGGGCGGCCCCGCGGCCCCCGGCACTCTGCTTCCCTGCGGGGGCCAGAGGGGTTGGCTGGCCCAAGACCTGGACTCACCTGGGTTTGACGGGTCGCGGGTCCCCGCCCAGGCTGCGGGACAGCGAGCCAGGGAGCTGCAGGCAGAGGAGGCTGATGCAACCCAGGGCGGCCGTCGGGATCCGGGCCATGGCGGGCGGGGCTGCAGGGGAGGGGGCGGTGAGCCGGGCACGTCGGGGGCAGCCTGAGCCGCGAGCCACCCCCTCCGCCGGCACCTCGGGGAGTCCTCCGCGGTCGGGGCGCCGGGCGTGGGCGTGGCAAGCTGGGCACGGGCGTCCGTCGGGGCGCAGGCCTCGGGCGCGAAGCGGGCAGCGGGTCTGGGGTCGGCCGCGGGTCCGGGGCGCAAGGCGGAGCGGGCTGGGCGGGTTGGGGGTCCTGCCTGGAGCGGAGTCGCGGCCCGGGATGGCACCTCCAGGGCTGAATACGTAGCCTTTCCAGCAAGGGGCGGAGCCGGATGCACGGACGGGGCGGGGCGCCCCTCCTCCGGGCCCAGCCACCCTCGGGGCGGGGAGGGGGCTGCGGCGAAGGGAGCGGTGGAGGGGCCTGTCCCCGCTGGGAGCGCTCGGCGACCGGCCCGGGACCGCGGGACCGCCAGCCTCACTCCAAGCGCCTTCTGGTGGGGACGCAGCCCCGAGCCTGCGGGGGCCGGACTTCCCCACGCTGCAGCGGGGTTCTGGGGGGCGAACCGTCGTCCGAGCTGATCCCACGGCTGGGGCGGACTCGGACCCGACGGGGCCCACCCCGTCAACCACCTCCCGAGTCCGGGCGGTCCCACCCTCCAGGGTCTGACCCGGTGGACCCCGGCCCCCCAGCCTGACCAGCAAGTCCGCGGGATTCCGCAGCGGGCTGGCCATTCCGCTCTCCTCTGACGCGGTGCCGCCGACCCCGGGGCTGCGCTCCTAAAAGGCTGTACCGACCCTCGGCCGCTCCAACCCCGGACCAAAGTATTGCACGGTTTTTGTAACAGATTTAAAGTGTCCGGGCGCGGTGGCTCACGCCTGTAATCCCAGCAGTTTGGGAAGCCGAGGCGGGCGGATCACGAGGTCAGGAGATCGAGACCATCCTGGCTAACAAGGTGAAAGGCCGTCTCTACTAAAAATACAAAAAATTAGCCGGGCGTGGTGGCGGGTGCCTGTAATCTCAGCTACTCGGGAGGCTGAGGCAGGAAAGGCTGAGGCTTGAATCCAGGCGGCGGAGGTTGCAGTGAGCCGACATCGCGGCATTGCACTCCAGCTTGGGCGACAGAGCGAGACTCCGTCTCAAAAAAAGAAAAAAAAAAAAGAAAAAGAAAAATTTAAAACGAGTGAAACGTGAGACTCCCCTCACCATTGCCACCCACTTGGGACCCCTACCCTGGTCTGGGGGGGAGCCCTCTCCTGACTTGCCCTGGGCACACCTAGGTGTGGCTATGTGAGGCACACACATCCATGTGTGCAGATTTGCAGTAGGACTGAGACCCCGTTCTTTCCTGAGAGCTTGTTTGGAGGTCCTGGCAGAGGAGCGCAGCTACTCGAAGCCCGGTCCTCCATCCTCTTCGATGGAGCGTGCAGCTTCGGAGGGACGCACAGGGAACAGTGGGGAAGGAGGGGGACACCTGCCTCTGAGCCAGCCACATCAGCCGAATCAACACTGGTGACCAGTGGGGTGACAGGCGTCACAGCCCGACCGTCCTCACATCAGAGACCCCACTCTTTCCTATGGTTGGATCTACTCCAACATATAGGTGTTGTATGATTCATCTCATCTGCTATTAATATGAAATTAGGTGACTGCCAGTCTTTTCATGAGTTGCTGCCTTGAGCTCACAGATGTGTCTATAGGACACCTTCCTGGAAGTAGAAATTCTGGTTGAAGGTGAGCATGTGTTTATGTTGATAGATGGTTCACTGTTCTCCACAGAGCTTTCGCCTACCCACTGTCCACGAGTCCTGGACTTGGTGTCACGGGTTCCAAGCTGCTGAGACTGGCCTCTCTGTTGGGTGAGCTGAGGATCTCTGCGTCCGTTCGTGCTTCCCCTTCTGTCTCCCCAACCCCTGCGCTCACCCCGTAACCCTCCTGCTGACACACCATGGGAGCACAGTCAACATTTGCTGGGTGAATAAGTCGAGGAGTGCCGAGCACACACCCCACAGGCCGATCTGGGAGGGCAGGGATGCCTTGCAGGTATTATTTACTTATTTTGACCAGTTGAGGGGGCAGGGAGTGTCACATTTATATGTTTTTTTTTTTTTTGAGATGGAGTCCCACTGTGTCACCCAGGCTGGAGTGCCGTGGCGAAATCTCAGCTCACTGCAAACTCCGCCTCCCAGGTTTAAGCGATTCTCCTGCCTCAGCCTCCTGAGTAGCTGGAATTATAAGTGCCCACCACCACGCCCAGATAATTTTTGTATTTGAGAGAGGGTTTCACCATGTTGGCCAGGATGGTCTCGAATTCCTGACCTTAGGTGATCCACCCACCTTGGCCTCCCAAAGTGCTGTGATTACAGGTGTGAGCCACTGCACCCAGTGTTTTGTTGTTGTTGTTGTTTGTTTGCTTTTTTGAGATGGAGTCTCACTCTGTCGCCCAGGCTGGAGTGCAGTGGCACAATCTTGGCTCACTGCGACCTCCGCCTCCCAGGTTCAAGTAATTCTCCTGCCTCAGCCTCCCAAGTAGCTGGGGTTACAGGCGCCTGCCACCACACCTGGCTAATTTTTGTATTTTTAGTAGAGACGGGGTTTCACCATGCTGGCCAGGCTGATCTTGAAGTCTGGACCTCAAGCAATCCGCCCACCTCTGCCTCCCAAACTGCTGGGATTACAGGTGTGAGCCACCAAGCCCGGCCAAGTGTCACATTTATGTTGAAAGGTGGAGGGGCAGCCAAGAAGGCAGGTGCTGGGGAGGCAGGCAGAAAGGGCTTGAGGGGACAGAGTGGATGGGTGGGAGAAATTTAGCGGGGCAGGACGGGAAATGAGGGGCTCAGTTCCCGGCGAAGCCCTTCTGTTTGCTGATGTGGCAGCTGCTGAGGGGGTGGGAAGAGGTCGGGGCCTGGACATGCTGAGGCCGAGCTGCCTGGGGGTTGTCCAGGGAGAGGGGTCTGGTCGCTCCCCAGCCTGGCAGGCATGGGACTAAAGATAAGGCAGGTCGAGAACAGTTTTGGGGTTTCAGGGATGGCGCAGCCATGGAGGATATGGTGAGCCTCATCCACAGAGAATGCGGAGAGGCTGGCCAAGGATGGAGCCCAGCGCCAGCTCTGGAGGGGCAGGTAGGGAAGGGCCTGAGCAGGGGATCCCCCAGGTTCCCAAATCTGCTGCTGCGGCTTCTGCTGCTGCCTCCCCACTCGGCCCTCAGCCTTCCACACTGCCACCAGCTCTGTCCTTTCAAAACACAAGTGCAATCAAATCGTTCGCCCCACCAATAAAGAAAAACCAGCAAAAATTCCCTGTCCTCAAGAGGCTTTTTTTTTTTTTTTTTTTTTTTTTTTGAGACGGAGTCTCGCTCTGTCACCCAGGCTGGAGTGCAGTGGTGTGATCTTGACTCACTGCAAGCTCCGCCTCCTGGGTTCACGCCATTCTCCTGCCTCAGCCTCCCAAGTAGCTGGGACTACAAGCGCCCTCCACCATGCCCGGCTAATTTTTCTGTATTTTTAGTAGAGTTTCACCGTGTTAGCCAGGATGGTCTCGATCTCCTGACCTCATGATCCGCCCGCCTTGGCTTCCCAGAGTGCTGGGATTACAGGCGTGAGCCACCGTGCCCAGCCCTCACAAGGTTTTTAATCTGGGACAGGTGGAGGACAGCCCCAGCGAGGGGCTGCGTTTCAGGCCCTGAGATGACAGGACAGTTGCTGCCCCTGTGAGCCACAGTCCTGCCTCCCGCCAGCTTGTGGGGAGGGTGTATCCTCTGCCCTCAGGCATCAGCCTGGCTGCTGCTTCTGCACCTGCCCAGCCCACCAGAGAGGAGGCCCCGTCTGTGATTCCCAGGGTCCCTGGTGCTTGTTGCATGTGAGTCCATTCTTAGTTGGAGAAGCTGCTTCTGGGGAGCGACGGGGCTGCCCCAGCACCGCTTATGATGGACACAGGTGAAGGGGAGACACAAGTTTCCAAATGTGCGAGGGCTGGGCCATAGGAGGGGGCGGTGGCCTTGGGGAATGCTTGTGAGAAGCAAAAGAAGCTAGGGTGGCAACTGGCTGGACAAACAGCATCTTGGGGTTTTTTCCTTTTTTTTTTTGAGATGGGGTTGCGCTCTATCTCCCAGGCTGGAGTGCAGTGGCGTGATCTCGGCTCACTGCAACCTCCGCCTCCCGGGTTCAAGCAACTCTCCTGCCTCAGCTTCCCGAGTAGCTGGGATTACAGGCACGCGTCACCATGCCTGGCTAATTTTTTGTATATTTAGTAGAGACGGGGTTTCACCATGTTGTGCAGGTTGGTCTCAAACTCCTGACGCCAAGTGATCCACCCGCCTGGGCCTCCCAGAGTGCTGGGATTTACAGGCATGAGCCACCACGCCCGGCCTTTGGGGGGTTTTGTTTGAGTGTTTTATGATGGCAGAGGTAAGTTTGACTCTGATAGCAAGGAATCCATAGACAGGGAAGGATGGAGTTTGGCGGCGGGCACTGACAGTGAATGATGGCCTGAGATGAGGAGTGGGCAGGGGGGCAGAGCCCTGTGGTAATGGAGGGAGGGGTGGTGTGAGAGGTGTAAGATGGGGGCTTGGTGCTCCCATCTGATAGCTTCTATTTGCTCTCTGAGGAGCAGCCAATTATCTCAGAGACACTGGAAGTGGGGTGAGAGGTTCGAGGAGAGTGCAGACTGCAAGACAGCTGACCAGAAATCAGCAGGCTGGGCGGTAGGGAGGGGCATCCATCCATCTGAGACACTGAGCCACTGTGGATGGTTGTTCCCAAGGGCCTGGTGGAAGCATGACAGTGGAGAGAGTGCGACGCAGGGTCCCCAGAGTCTCAGAGAGAGTGGAGAGTGCGGTGCAGGGTCCCTAGAGTCTCTCCGAAGAGAGCCAGCCCTGGGCTCAAGCACTAGCCCAGACTTGCCCCGGGCCCCTGCCAGCCTGCACACAAGCTCAGTGGTGTGGTAGTGTGGTGCTGAGGACCTTTTTGGGTACAAGTGACAGAAACCAACTTGAGCCAGCTGGGGCAAAAAGGAGGATTTCTGGCAGGGCACAGTTTCTCACACCTGTAATCCCAACACTTTTTGAGGCAGATGCAGGAGGATCATTTGAGGACAGGAGTTCAAGACAAGCCTAGGTAACTTATCAAGACCCTGTCTCTACAAAAAAATTAAATTTTAAAAAGATGATTTCTCAACCTGTGAAAACCAACAGTGGGAGAGGAGAGGCGTAGCGTGGCCTGTGCCTGAGGGCAGGGAGGGGACCCTGGTGGGGCCTCTCAGTTTGATTCCATTCATTCTCTTGGGCTGGCTCCTGCCCATGGATGGAGACTGGATGCCAGTCATTTGGCCAGTTCTTGCAGCAGCCAAACTCATTTAAAAACAGACCTTCAGGGCCAGGCGCGGTGGCTCACACCTGTAATGCCAGCACTTTGGGAGGCCGAGATGGGCGGATCACGAGGTCAGGAGATCGAGACCATCCTGGCTAACACAGTGAAACCCTGTCGCTACTAAAAATACAAAAAATTAGCTGGGCGTGGTGGCAGGTGCTTGTAGTCCCAGCTACTCGGGAGGCTGAGGCAGGAGAATGATGTGAACCTGGGAGGCGGAGTTTGCAGTGAGCCAAGATCACGCCACTGTACTCCAGCCTGGGCGACAGAGCGAGACTCTGTCTCAAAACAAACAAACAAAAACAAACAAAAAACAAAAAACAGACCTTCGGGCTGGGGGCGGTGGCTCATGCCTGTAATCCCAGCACTTTGGGACGCCATGGTGGGTGGATGGCCTGAGGTCAGGAGTTCAAGACCAGCCTGGCCAACATGGTGAAACCCCCTCTCTACTAAAATACAAAAATTAGCCGGGCATGGTGGTGCACACCTGTAATCCCAGCTACGCGGGAAGCTGAGGCGGGAGAATTGCTTGAACCCAGGAGACGGACGTTCCAGTGAGCCAAGATGGTGTCACTGCACTTCAGCCTGGGTGACGGATTGAGACTCTGCCTCAAAAACAAAACAAAACATAACAAAAAACAGACCTTGGCCTGCTGTGCTCAGAGGGGTTTCCCTGCTGCACCAGGCTGGCTCCTGCACCTTCTCTCCCAGCATGTTCTGCTCTGGGCTCATGCTCATCCCTGAGCCACTTCAGGGGTGGCCCTGGCCAGCCCTGCCCTTGAGAGGGGTGGGCACTGTCAGGGATCCTGGGGGATGCAGCTTTCCCAGAGCCCCCTGCTCCGTGGCCTCATGTGCCTCACACGCTTAGAACATTTGCTCTTTACAGGGGGACATGAGCGTGCCGTTTTTAAGCTGTGTTAAATGTCTCACTTGGCCTAGATGGGGGCTCTTCAGCCTGGGACCCCAAGGGCAGGGCCTGAATTCTCTCTCTGTTCCCCATCGCCAGGCTGGCAGCCCCTGAGGTGATGGCCCTGCGCCTCCTCTGACTTCTAGTTTGGGGGGCCCGGTAGGCAGCGCCTAGGCTTCTCCCGCCTTTCTCCCGCTGGACAGAGAGGGGCGGGGGACGAGGAGTCTGGGGACCCGATCCCCAGATTGGGACGGCCCAGGGGTGGGGTTCGGGCTCCTGTGCGGGGAGTCCCAACGGCGAGGGCAGCTGTGGTCCTGGCCCATGCCTCCCGCCGACACCACAGCCGACCCGGGTCAGGGCGTCAGACCCGCCGGAGCCGTAGTCCAGGTGCCCGGCCCGAGGGGCGGTGCTCGGGCCCCAGAGTGGTCAGCGATGGGCGGGGCGCTGCTCTCGGGAGCCGCCCTCCCACCCTCTGGACCAATGGAGATGCGCGGTTGCAGGCCCCGCCCGCTCAGGGCTTGACGACAGCGCGCAGGCGCACGGCGCGCCCGGGCGGGCCGGCTGGCTGGGAAGATGGCGGCGGGAACCTGGGCCGCCGCCGCCGCCGCCGCCGCCGCCGCGGAGCGAACCAGGGGTGTCCGGGGTGCGCGGTCCAGGGCCGGGGCCGGGCCATGAGCGCGCCGTCCTCGAGTCCCCGAGCCGCGGAGCCCGCCCGCGCCCCTCGGGCCGCCCCGCGTCCCTCGCCATGGCGCGGCTCGCGGACTACTTCGTGCTGGTGGCGTTCGGGCCGCACCCGCGCGGTGAGTGCCGAGGCCAAGCGCTGAGGGCCGGGGGCCGAGGGTCGAGTGCTGAGGGCCAGGGGCTGGGTCTGAGGGTCGAGGGCCGGGGGCTGGGGGCCGAGGGCTGGGGGCTGGGTCGGGAGGCCGAGGACTGAGGGCCGGGCGCTGAGGGCCGAGGACCGGGGGCTGGGCGCTGAGGGCCGGGGTCGGGGGAGCCGAGGACTGAGGGCCGGGGCCGGGGGCCGGGCGGGGACTGAAGGCCAGGGCCGACCGGACAGCCCGTGGGGAGAATGGGCGTCCGCTGGGGGCGGCGTGGCCGCGCGGGCCTGGTGGCGGCAGGGAGAGAAGGCTGGGCCCGGCCTGCCCGGCCTCCTTGGGGTGGGACGGGCTCTCTCCTTGGCCAGCTGCGGGCGGCTGTGGCTCTAGTGGCTCCAGGGGCGCGGACCCGCGGCTCGCCAGCCCGCCTCTGACCTTGGTGCTCCGTCTGAAGCCCCCGGCGGTCTTGGCGGGGTGCAAAGAGGGGGTGGAGTTCGGGTTTGGTGCATGGAGAAGCGGTGTTTGATTTGAAACTGGGAGGATTTGAGGAGGAAGCGTCGAGAGTAGAGAGAAGAGCATTCCTGGCGACTCGCCTGACGGTCCAGGCCCTGCACGCCAAGCCCTGGGTGGGGTATCAGCGTGGCGGTCGGTGCCCATGCCCAGGAGGTCTGTGTGTGGGGTCAGCGCCCGTGTCTGAGAGCTCTTCAGCCCAGGAGGTAGGAGAAAACGGAGCCTGACGATGACATCAGCAACAGCCTGGAGACAGCAGCGTTGGCGAGCGTGCTTGGTGTGCCAGGCCCCGCACAGCCCTTTGTGTACATGATCTCACCTCTTCCTCCCAGCAGCCCACCGGGGTTGCCCTGGTGTTGCCCCCATCTGTAGAGAAGTTAGGCGCGGATAAGCTGACTGCCTGGCCTGAGCCGGCTCAGAGAGGCTGGGACTGGCACTCAGGCTGTCAGATCCCAGCTGCAGACTGGCAGTGTGTGGGGATGGCTGTGTGGTCAGGCAGGGGCTGGATCTTGAGCCTGGAGGTGGGATTGAGCTTGCCTTCCCAGTTACCCTGTTTTTTGTCAGTCCAGTTGTCACTGTCCCCACCAAGGACCTGGAGTTCTCTCTTTTTTGTGTTTCTTCTGCTGGACACCCCCCTACACTTCCTGAAGCCTCTTTAGCATCTTCTTCGTCTCCAGCCCCTCCTCAGTGCCCTCTTACTCAGCACACACTCCTCTCTGCTCATGTCTATCCAAGTGTGTGTCTTATGGCACCGTCAGTCATGAGCATCTGTCTTTTTCTTTAGAGAGGGAGTTCTCGCTTGCTAGGACCACATAGTCCTCATCCCCACTGTGCAGGTTGGCTGTCAATGTTGTCTTGACCCACAGAGGGAGCTGTCTGCACCGAGGCACCTATGAGGGGCATGGAGGAGGCCTTACCACCTGGGGCAGAGGGTGCCTGAGGATCCAGGGAAGCAAGGCTGGCTGAGGGCTGTCTTGGCGTGAGGGGCCTTGGGCTGAGGGCTGGGGCGGGGGCTACAGGAACAGCTGATAATGACCCTGATGATCCTGAGGGCAGTGTGGAGAGGGTTTGGGTTGGTAGAGACTGCAGGCAAAGGCCAGGTGGGAGGCGTGGTGGCCGTGGGGTGAGGAGTTGAAGGTAGGCAGAGAGAAGAGGCAGAGTGGGCTCCACAACAAGCTGGCTGTGACGTGTGTGCTCACTGCTGGAGCCACACGTAGTGCAGGCACCTGTTTGTGTGTGTCCTTTGCGCAGGACAGGGTAGAAGGCTGGAGCCCAAGGTGCCCCCCCTTCCCCTAAGTGACCGGAAGGAGTGATAAGTGGTCCACTGCAGTAGGGTTGGAGGACCGTGGAGCCCTGTACCCACTACCTTCTGGGGTTGAGCTGGTCAGCTGCTTGCTGGCCTTGCAGCCCCAGGCACCCCTTAGAAGGACTTGTTCATTCTTGAGGGGAACAAGGCTATAGACTGGGACCCTGGTCATGGGCTGAGGGCAGAGCCAGGTACCAGGGCCGGTGGGAGCTGGGGGAAGAAGCAGAGGAGTGTGGCGTGGGGGTCACTTGTCTCTGCTTTGCCCCTTGATAGCCTTGTGACTTCGAGCCAGTTGTTTGGCTCTCTGTGCCTCAGTTTCCTCATCTGGGGATGGAGTGAGTCATGCTAACCTCCCAGGCTGCCGTGAGGATGCAGCGAATGCACAGGTGTGAAGCAGTAGCACACAGGAGGCCCTGGAAATGATGAGTTTCTTTCATTAGTGACTGAGCAGCAGGTGTGTGAACTCTCTAGGCACAGACACAACAGGCACTTCTGAGTGGGTAGAGGATCCTCTCTGTTCTGTCAGGCTAGGACTTCAGGGCGGGATGCAGGGTCTCTTGGGTTGGGGATTAGGATTGGCGGATAGCTTGTCTTGGCCTGGATCTGGACATCCTGTCTGGAGCTGCTGGGTGCAGCACCAGGGTGCTGAGGGTGCATGAGTCCTGCCTGAGGCAGCATCCCAGTTGCTAGTGGTTACCAGCTGGAAACCTCTCAGGAAAGGTGGGGAGGGGCCCTGAGAAGGTAAATGCCTGTGCTGGCCGTGACCCTTTCACCTCAGAGAGTGATGGTGGCCAGCGCTGGCCCATCTGCAGGCCCCTCACCTGGTGAGTCAGGGATCACCTTCTGTGCTCTGGGGCAGGCATCAGGACTAGACAGACTGCCTCTGCCCGGCTCTTGGCCTGATCACAGCGTGGCCAGTGCTGAGGTGTCTTTGAGAACAGGAGACACATTTGATCTGGCCCTGACCTGGCCATCGGCCTTCCATCTCCAGCAGCTGAGTGTGCATCTGCCTGGGAGGAGGGGCTGGACCCCTTGGATCTGAGAAAAAGACCTTTCACCCTATGGCCTCGCCTCTCCTCCTGACTGTGATGTGCTGGCTGCATTCTTGAGCCCCATCTACTGTCCCCACCCACGTTCCTGCCCTCCCTCTGGAGCGGGTTGGGGCTGTTTGGGATGGCCTCAACTGCCTCCCAGCCTCCACCCTGGGAGCCGGAAGGGGTCCAAGGCCTTGGGTCAGAACTGCTCAGGTCTGATGGGCAGGGGAGGTTGGGGGGGATGGCTGTGGAAGCTGCAGGGGCCCTGCGCATGGCCTGCTGCTGCGGCCGAGGGAGCCATGTGCACGTTGGGGTTGGGTGGGTGGCGTAGCAGGAAGGTGCTGTCCTTCCTTCTTTTCTCTTTTCCTATAGCTGGGTTCCCCACAAGCAGCAGAGCCGGCCAGGGCTGGTCTTCGTGCACTGTGGGGAGTGTGGTGGGGAAACAGGAGAGGCTGCCATCCTTCTTTGCCTCCCCACAGCACACGCTGGCCTGGGCCAGCCCTCCAGGCGTCAGAGCCTGGCACTGATGATGGGGTGCTGCCAGCAGATGACAGAACGCGAGGTCTGTGTTCGCCTGCCCGCCCGCCCGCCTTTCAGGCCTGCCGTCTGCGTGGGGCTGGCCGCAGGGACATTGGTGCAGGAGGGAGTGCTCTTTGAGGGGCTTTCAGGACAGAAGCCCCAGTGTTGTCCTTAGGTGGCCCCCTCAGCCCCATGTTCAGAGGTGGAGGTGGCAAGGAAACCTTGGTGCCCAGTGCCACCCAGCACACCGTTTGGATTCGTCCTGTTGCCAAGGGGAGGAGTGGGGAGGGCACCCTCCCTCCTGTGTATTCTGAGGTAAAGGCAGCACTCTGATGGGCAAGGAGCTCAGCTGCTGGAGGTCACTCCTATGGCAATAGAGCTTCAGTGGGTGGGGGACCCTGGGAAGATGTGGCAAAACCCCCCACATCCCCCTGGAGGCCAAGATGTGGCCTGGCCCCGGACAGCACAGAGCTGAGGTGCAGGCTGGGACCTCAGAAGGGTGAGGAGGAGAGCTGCTCACAGCTGAGGGCTGCAGGGCCCTCCATGGCCTGCCTTTCCAGGGGCCAGCTGTGTTCTGTCATTCCCTGGGGCTCCGGAAGGTGCCCTGTACTTCCGACTGAGGAACCTGTTTGCTTGTTGGGTGTGGGGAGGATGGTTGTGTAGCCGACTGTACGTGTTCTACAAGCCCTAATTAGCCTGTGGTCCGTCCCAGCCAAGCCAACAGGTGCACTAGCAGTCACTGGGGTGTGGTGGAGGGAGGTCGGTCCTAGGGTCCCTGTAGGCCCCAGGCTGGGGCAGAGTTTCCCAGGGGAGGGGGTGCTCTGTGGGCTGAGACCTGAAGGGCCAGTCTGGGGCTGTCATGGCACAGAGGAGCTCAGGGAGAGGTGCCTGCTTGGCCTGGCCCACTTGGGCCATTGGGCCAGCCCAAGGAGAGTGGAGCTCAGGGCTGGCTCTTTGGAGGGTAGAGCCCTGCAGAGGACTTAAGGCTGAGTGAGAGTTGATGCTTCACAAGACTAGCGGGGGGTGGAGAGGGTCAAGGTAGATGGTGACCTGCCACTCTGCCCATCCTCCTGGGGAAGGCTGCCTTCCCTTCCTGGCCTTGGGGAGGCTGCAGTGCAGAGACTGCTGTCCCTGTTCATAAACCCCTCTTCCTTCCTCCACCTGCTGCCTCGTGGCAAGAACTGGGTGAGCCCTGGGTGCCAGCCAGGGCTGGGCCCAGATGGTGGTTTGGGGCCAAACACAAGGAGGCCTTTGGGGGAGTGGGCGGGGTGGGGGAGGAGCCGCAGCTCAGGGCCTGCGCCTGAGTGAGCTGTCCTTGGGGGTGTGGAGGTAGGTGTGGCACCCGCAGACACCTGGGCCCCCACCCGTCTGCCGCCTGTCCTCTGCAGGGTGTCGGTGGGAGGGGGAGGGGAGCAGGAAGCTGAGGTTTTGTGAGTCAGAATCGGCCCCTCACCGCCCCACCATCTCCCACTTAGCAGCAGCCTGCCCACTGCCGACTTCCTTGGCTCTGCCCCTGTAACCCTGGAGGGCAGATGGTCTCCCCGCCTGTAGGGGACCCGTGGAGTGTGTGCCATTGGGCTGCCAGAGTTGCTCATCTGTTCCCAGGAGGACCAGGCATGCTGGATGTGGGGCTGCAGCTTCTTGGGGGCCGGGGTGGGGGGTCCATGAGGGGCTCTGTGTTGAGCATGACCCCCGCCTTGCCCATCTGGCTCTGCTGCTTCCGCCAGGTGGGTGGCGGTGTAGAGGCCCGTCCAGACAGAGGATGGGCCCTGGGGACCTGCGGTTTGTGTGGAGGAGAAGGCAGGCAGGCTTTCGTCTTTCCTGCTGCACCTGCTCCATCCTCCACAAGCCCTGGGAGGCCTGCGGAGCCGTCCTGCTGCGGGAGCCACACCCTGAGTGTCCCACTGTGGTCCCCACCGGGCTTCCTGGTTTGGCTCTCCAGGGGTGAGCCACAGGCAGGGACCTTTACCCCACCGGTGTGGACTGGGCCTGGAAACAGGGCCCTGGATGTGGTAGTTCTGGGGCCCCACGGAGAGGAGGGGTCTGGTGGGGAGACATAGGCCTCTTGGCTCTCCCTGCCCTGAAAGCCCTCCTCCTGGCCCAGGGGAGCTTAGGCTGTGCTCAGCACCCATCCTATGGCCTTTGTACAGGGAGATTTGGAGACAGGGAGCAGGCCTGGGTGTGACCACCGTCCCACTCTCCTCTGAGAGCTGCTGGGGTCCAGGTGCTCAGGAAGCCATCTGGGCATCCTTCGGTGGTCGTCCTGGACCAAGTCTCCATCCTTCCCGTCTAGCTGCTGCCCCTCTAGGTCCTGCTGGCTGTGGGGCTGGTGTTCTAACAGGGAGCTGCCAAACCCCATCTTCTGGGACCTGTACTGGGGACTTGTCTGTCTCTGAAGCAGCTGGGATAGGGAAGAGTTTGGGGCTGTGGGCGCAGGGGGTGTCCTCTAGCCTTGTGGGGCTGAGGCTTCTTGAACCCCACACAGACAGCAGGTTTGAGTCCTCCACACCCCCGGCTGGGTCCAGGGCTGGTGGGTGACAGGGAGCTCTGGGGGATGCCCACTGTTGGGGGGCCGAGAGCCTAAGTGGGGGCCTGGCGGTGGTGGCAGATGCTGTGGGGGCCTGTGGAACAGTCCCGAAGTGTTGACCTTCGATGGAGGGCTGCTGTGCTGTGTGAAGCTGGGCTGGTCAGGCTGAAGGAGGTCTCTGGGGTGGGATCGGAGAATGGGGTGTAGCGGCAGGGGCTTCTCTACCCTCAGGTGGCCCTGGGGTCTGCAGCTGTCAAGCAGACTCTCCATACGGAGCTATTTTTAGGGAGCTGTGGCTGATCTGGTGCCAGATGAGGGCCCAGTGGGTGGGAATGTTTCCACCCTGGGATCCTCAAGCCTCCTGGTGGGTGGGGGGCGGGTTGGGTGCTCTGACCCCCTGTTCTTGTCCTCAGGGAGTGGGGAAGGCCAGGGCCAGATTCTGCAGCGCTTCCCAGAGAAGGACTGGGAGGACAACCCATTCCCCCAGGGCATCGAGCTGGTGAGTTGGGGGCGTGCTGAGACGGTGCTGGCAGGTGGGGAGGGCAGGTGGGCACAGCCCTGCCCTTGTCCCTGACTGAGGGGCCTCCACAGTGCCCGGCCCCCCGCTGGGCTAGGGACAAGACAGCAGAGCCTCTGTCGGGGGGTTTGACCGGCTTGGCCGGCGGCCTGTGCGGTGCTCATGTCACTGTGTCATGTTGTCACTCACTCATGATGGTGGGGACTGTTCTCCCATCTCCTGGTCCTTGCCCCAGGTGGGGAGGTCAGAGGCTGTTACTCCCTTCACCCGGAGAGACTGAGGCCCAGGAGGCCACGTGTCCCCAGGGTCTCCAAGCAAGGAGCTGCCTGTGTGTGTTGGAGCCTCCAGGCCTGGTGGTGCAGATGCTGGGGCGGGTGGGCTGGTTCCTGCCACAGGTGTAGGGGGAGGAGCTGACTGCTGAGCCTTCCCTGCAGTTTTGCCAGCCCAGCGGGTGGCAGCTGTGTCCCGAGAGGAATCCACCGACCTTCTTTGTTGCTGTCCTCACCGACATCAACTCCGAGCGCCACTACTGCGCCTGCTTGACCTTCTGGGAGCCAGCGGAGCCTTCACAGGTCAGCTTGGGGCCTCTGGGTACAGCATGAATGAAGCTGCATCCTTGGGCCGTGGCCAACTCCCCCTGCCCCCGTCTCCCCCTGACCCCCAGCAGGAAACGACGCGCGTGGAGGATGCCACAGAGAGGGAGGAAGAGGGGGATGAGGGAGGCCAGACCCACCTGTCTCCCACAGCACCTGCCCCATCTGCCCAGCTGTTTGCACCGAAGACGCTGGTACTGGTGTCGCGACTCGACCACACGGAGGTGTTCAGGGTGAGGCCGGCAGCCGGGGCGGCGAGGCACGACGAGGGTGCTTCCATCGGCTGTCCCACCACTCCCCGCTCTGGTCATTGCAGAACAGCCTTGGCCTCATCTATGCCATCCACGTGGAGGGCCTGAATGTGTGCCTGGAGAACGTGATTGGGAACCTGCTGACGTGCACTGTGCCCCTGGCTGGGGGCTCGCAGGTGAGTTTTGGAGGCAGCTGGTATCTGCACAGCCACAGGCCCTCCTGCTGGGGCCCTGGTAGGTATTTGGAGCCCAGCCAGAGCCACACACAGCTGGAGGCCTTGGATGCTCCCTCTTGCGTCCTCGTGCCACCATTGCCCCCAACAGTCCTGGCCTGCTTACCTGGCCCTCGCACCTGTGCTCTGGGCCTGTGTCGTTCAGCCTCTCTGTCCACTCCTTTGATGGTGTGTGCCTGTCTCTGGATGTTGATGTCAGCTTGTTTGTCTGCTCCCTGCCCTGTGCCTGGGTGTGTTGGAGTGTCTAACCGTGTCTTTCTGCCCGTCTGTCCTGTGCAGCTGGACTCTGTTGAGGAAGGAGCGGTATGGATTCTTTGTTTCTTCCGCCCACCTAGGCCCCATCCCTACCCCCAAGTCAAAAGCAGCCACTCCTGTCCTGAGTTTTCTCTGCAGCTGCTTGGGACAACAGAGGCAGGGCATGGCGTTTCCCTCTTGCCATGTTGCCCATCCCAGCCAGTCCCACCTCGGGTCTGTCAGTACACCAGGGTCTGCCTGGGGACACAGAGCTCTGGGCTGACTCTGGGCTGGCTCTGGCCAAACTACTGAGCCCCGATCCTTTTTTTGCTGCAGAGGACGATCTCTTTGGGGGCTGGTGACCGGCAGGTCATCCAGACTCCACTGGCCGACTCGCTGCCCGTCAGCCGCTGCAGCGTGGCCCTGCTCTTCCGCCAGCTAGGTGAGCCTGTCTGTCCCACCCCCGCATGGCTTCCCCTCGGGGACTGGTAGTTAGGGATGTGGGTTCTCACTCTGCCTGGGTGGGGGCCCAGGGTCCTCTCCAAGCTTCTCTTCTTCCTTTAGGCATCACCAACGTGCTGTCTTTGTTCTGTGCCGCCCTCACGGAGCACAAGGTTCTCTTCCTGTCCCGGAGCTACCAGCGGCTCGCCGATGCCTGTAGGGGCCTCCTGGCACTGCTGTTTCCTCTCAGATACAGGTGACCCCTGCCCGGCCCTCCCAGCCCCTTCTCCTGGCCCCTTTGCCCAGCCGCGTCCCCTGGCTCACTGCATCCTCTGGGGCCTGCACAGCTTCACCTATGTGCCCATCCTGCCGGCTCAGCTGCTGGAGGTCCTCAGCACACCCACGCCCTTCATCATTGGGGTCAACGCGGCCTTCCAGGCAGAGACCCAGGAGCTGGTAAGGGCTGTGCTTTGTGTCCACCTCACGGCCCAGGCCTGCAGGTCCCTGACTGCCGGCTCCCTTGGTCCGCAGCTCGATGTGATTGTTGCTGATCTGGATGGAGGGACGGTCACCATTCCTGAGTGTGTGCACATTCCACCCTTGCCAGAGCCACTGCAGAGTCAGACGCACAGTGTGCTGAGCATGGTGAGGGGCACCATGGGCAAGCGGGAGCCTTGGGGGCCTTTGGGATGTGGCTACCTGGCAGCACGGGGAGCCTAGAGCCGGGGCCAGCGTGCAGCTGCCTGCTCCATTCTGTGCTGGCAGGTCCTGGACCCGGAGCTGGAGTTGGCTGACCTCGCCTTCCCTCCGCCCACGACATCCACCTCCTCCCTGAAGATGCAGGTGGGGGTCGTTGCTGCTCCTGCATGGGGACCCCAGGCACTTAGGCTGCCCCCACTCAGGTCTGCTGCCACTGACACACAGGGCCCCACCCCCAGGCTGGCCCCGGCTCCAGTAGCAGAAGCAGGAGCCTGGGAGCAAAGCAGCTGCCAGCAGTTAGGAGTGGTGGTCGTGAGTGGTGCAGGCGAGGCGGCAGGGGCCCAGCAAGGGGCTGGAACTTGGCGTCTGATCACAGGAGCCCTTGAGGGTGCTGAGCCAGGAGTGCCTTGTCCAGACAGTTTCAGAGGAGCTGGTGGCCCTGAGTGCAGAATGGTGGGAGGGGCAGAAGGATGGGAGCGGGGCAGCTTGGGGTGGGTTGGGGTGTGGAGAAGCTCCTGGGCAGCCTGGGGTGGGGATTGGCAGGACTGGCTCTCACCTGCACTCAGCTCTTCTCCCAGGACAAGGAGCTGCGCGCGGTCTTCCTGCGGCTGTTCGCTCAGCTGCTGCAGGGCTATCGCTGGTGCCTGCACGTCGTGCGCATCCACCCGGAGCCTGTCATCCGCTTCCATAAGGTGGGGTGCCTGGTGGCTGGGCGTGGGGTAGGAGATAAGCGCATGGTGGAGACCCCTGAGGGACCGACCTCCTTCTGTCATCCAGGCAGCCTTCCTGGGCCAGCGTGGGCTGGTAGAGGACGATTTCCTGATGAAGGTGCTGGAGGGCATGGCCTTTGCTGGCTTTGTGTCAGAGCGTGGGGTCCCATACCGCCCTACGGACCTGTTCGATGAGGTGCACCTCCACCCTGCCCTCCCAGCCCCCTGCCCTGGCTCCGCCTGACCATGGCTTACCTAACCTCCTGCTTACCCCGCTAGCTGGTGGCCCACGAGGTGGCAAGGATGCGGGCGGATGAGAACCACCCCCAGCGTGTCCTGCGTCACGTCCAGGAACTGGCAGAGCAGCTCTACAAGAACGTACGAGGGTAGCAGGACGGGAGGGCGTCGTACCGCCTTGATCCCTGGGCCCCTGCCCCACACCTGCCGTCTCCCCACAGGAGAACCCGTACCCAGCCGTGGCGATGCACAAGGTACAGAGGCCCGGTGAGAGCAGCCACCTGCGACGGGTGCCCCGACCCTTCCCCCGGCTGGATGAGGGCACCGTGCAGTGGATCGTGGACCAGGCTGCAGCCAAGATGCAGGGTGCACCCCCAGCTGTGAAGGCCGAGAGGAGGACCACCGTGCCCTCAGGGCCCCCCATGAGTGCGTAATGAGGGAGGGGAAGGCAGGCCCCGAGCGTGGCCCAGGATGGGCGTGGGGTCAGGGGTCCGAGTGTGTGTATTCTGTCCCCGCAGCTGCCATACTGGAGCGGTGCAGTGGGCTGCATGTCAACAGCGCCCGGCGGCTGGAGGTTGTGCGCAACTGCATCTCCTACGTGTTTGAGGGGAAAATGCTTGAGGCCAAGAAGGTGAGGGCTGTGCAGGCTCCAGCCGGGCCAGGGCAGCGGGTTTCAGAGGAGACCCAGGCTGCACTTCACCCTTGTGAGTGCTGACGCTGCCCCAGGGCCTCCTCTGCCTAACAGACAGCTAGAGGTGGCTGGGCTGGCCGGAGGGTAGGTGGGCTCCAGGTCTCCTCTCTTGACCTCAGTGAGGGGTGGGTCGGGCCTGCGCGGGAGACCCAGCCAGGGAGATGTACTTCCATTTTTAGAAATCAGAAGGTTTCACTATTATGTTTCGTCTGTGTCCTTCCCCTTAAATTGGGTAGGCCCATACACGACCTGTTCTTTGTACTTGATGGAAAACAGAGCTTGCTCCCTCCATACGTGACCTGTTCCTTGCATCTTATGGAAACAGAGCTTTTTGCTCCTGCTGTTTTGCTCTCTGTGGTGCTCACTTAACGCCTCTGGGGTCTTTCATCATGGCCAGTTGGAGACTCTTGTTTTTCATTGGCTGTATGGTGTCCCTTTGGGGCGGCCAGTTTTGTGATGAACGTTGTAGCAATAGAACGCAAACTCCAAGGCTTTCTGTGGCCGGGCCTGTGCCAGGCGAGTCACTGAGCCAGCCAGGCAGCTGTGAGCCTGTGAGCAAGGGGGCCCGGCCCGCAAGGCCTCCCTCCGGAGCGCACCTCCCTGCCAGCTCACAGGTGCAGCATCTGCGTCCTTGTGTCTGGCCTGGTGAACTTGTACTTGTGGAGTTGTCGGGCCCACTGGAGGTTTTAGTCTTTATTGGTCGGCAAAGCCCCAGAGTCTGGCACACCCCACCTGAAAGGCATTTGGGTCTCCTGGACACCTGCTGCCCTCCCTGCCAGGGCCCCGAGTGGGTCTTCTCTGTGCCCTCAGCCCGTGTCTCCTTTCCCCACCCCCAGCTGCTCCCAGCCGTGTTGAGGGCCCTGAAGGGGCGAGCTGCCCGCCGCTGCCTCGCCCAGGAGCTGCACCTGCATGTGCAGCAGAACCGTGCGGTCCTGGACCACCAGCAGTTTGACTTTGTCGTCCGTATGATGAACTGCTGCCTGCAGGTGAGGCCTCTTATCCTGCTAGTGACATGGCTCATGGCGCATGAGCGGGAACAGGCGGGCAGACCCTGGTCTGTGAGTGAGAGTGGAGAGACGGTGCAAGAGACTCCTGTGCCAGTGGGCAGGGGTCCTCGGTCTGCAGGGAACAGGGTGGAGAGAACCATTGTTGGGGGCAGGTGCTGGGGCCTGGGGTCTCCTGATATTGAGCCTCTGAGGCAGCCTTGGGGAGCTGGAGCCAAGGGTGTCAGGTGCTGGTCTGTGGTGGTTATGGGGTGGTGGGGGCATGGTGGGAGGTGAGTGCTGCCTGGGAGGGGAGAGGTCCTGACGGTCTCTCGCTCTACCTGCAGGACTGCACTTCTCTGGACGAGCATGGCATTGCGGCGGCTCTGCTGCCTCTGGTCACAGCCTTCTGCCGGGTGAGTGCTGGCATGGCTGAGGTCTCCTTCCCAGCCCCCCCTTCCTGGTGGCTGAGGTCTCCTTCCCAGCCCCCCTTCCTGGTGGCCGAGGTCTCCTTCCCAGCCGCCCTTCCTGGCTGCATCCAGCTGACCTTCTCCCCTGGCTCCTGCAGAAGCTGAGCCCGGGGGTGACGCAGTTTGCATACAGCTGTGTGCAGGAGCACGTGGTGTGGAGCACGCCACAGTTCTGGGAGGCCATGTTCTATGGGGATGTGCAGACTCACATCCGGGCCCTCTACCTGGAGCCCACGGAGGACCTGGCCCCCGCCCAGGTGCGCAGGGACTCCCTGGGCTGGGGGCTGGGGGCTAGGGGCTGGGGCAGCGTGGCCCCGGCTCATGCGTGTGGTGCCGTGGCAGGAGGTTGGGGAGGCACCTTCCCAGGAGGACGAGCGCTCTGCCCTAGACGTGGCTTCTGAGCAGCGGCGCTTGTGGCCAACTCTGAGTCGTGAGAAGCAGCAGGAGCTGGTGCAGAAGGAGGAGAGCACGGTGTTCAGCCAGGCCATCCACTATGCCAACCGCATGAGCTACCTCCTCCTGCCCCTGGACAGCAGCAAGAGCCGCCTACTTCGGGAGCGTGCCGGGCTGGGCGACCTGGAGAGCGCCAGCAACAGCCTGGTCACCAACAGGTGAGGCAGGGACTGGGGGTTGGGCCCAGTGGAGGCGGGGCCGTGGTGGGCAGGGCCCATGCCCACAGTTTCTTCTCTGGCCCAGCATGGCTGGCAGTGTGGCCGAGAGCTATGACACGGAGAGCGGCTTCGAGGATGCAGAGACCTGCGACGTAGCTGGGGCTGTGGTCCGCTTCATCAACCGCTTTGTGGACAAGGTCTGCACGGAGAGTGGGGTCACCAGCGACCACCTCAAGGGGCTGCATGTCATGGTGCCAGGTACGGGGGTTTGGGCTGGTGATTCCCCCTTGGATGGGTGGGGCTGGGCACAAAGTGTGAGAACTGTCTTCCCCCAGACATTGTCCAGATGCACATCGAGACCCTGGAGGCCGTGCAGCGGGAGAGCCGGAGGCTGCCGCCCATCCAGAAGGTTTGCGGGGGCCGTTGGGGCTGCGGGGGCCCAAGGCCCGGGCTGCATCCTGAGCTCCTGCTCTTGTTTTCGAGCAGCCCAAGCTGCTGCGGCCGCGCCTGCTGCCGGGTGAGGAGTGTGTGCTGGACGGCCTGCGCGTCTACCTGCTGCCGGATGGGCGTGAGGAGGGCGCGGGGGGCAGTGCTGGGGGACCAGCATTGCTCCCAGCTGAGGGCGCCGTCTTCCTCACCACGTACCGGGTCATCTTCACGGGGATGCCCACGGACCCCCTGGGTGAGCCTGCAGACTCTCTGGCCCTGTCGCCCCCTCTCCCCCAGGTCTTTGGGATGGATGGGCTTTCCCTGCCTCCCTCTCCCTTTTCTCGGGGGTTCTGGGTGCCCGTGGGAAACGGGCCTTTGTCTGCTCCTTCCCCACCCACTTGGGATTCCCCATAACTGTGGTACCCTGAGATTCTGGGACCCCCCCCCCCTTACCTTCCTTGCTTCTGACTCTGCCTGGCCTGTCCTAAGTTGGGGAGCAGGTGGTGGTCCGCTCCTTCCCGGTGGCTGCGCTGACCAAGGAGAAGCGCATCAGCGTCCAGACCCCTGTGGACCAGCTCCTGCAGGACGGGCTCCAGCTGCGCTCCTGCACATTCCAGGTGGGGCGCGGTGCGCGGGTGGGGCTCTCATCCCCCGCCCTGGTCTTTCTCCTGCAAACCGGTCTTTCTTGTATGAACCATTTTTAGGCCAGTCTCCAGCAGTGGCCCTGTTGTTACGCTTGCATGTCTGGGGCCCTCACTGTGGCTCTTGAGTTGATGTCCACTGTTTGATGTGCGGTCTTTGGGTCCTTGTCCTTTCCTTGGGGCGCCGGCCCTCAAGTCCGTGTCTTGGGTGTGCCTTGCAAACCCAGGCCTCAGCTCACAGCCACTGAGATTTCGAGTTTACACAAGCGCTTGCCTTCGTGTGACACAGATACAGGCCTTTGCCTGGGGCCTGCTTCTCTCTCTGTCATGGCTGCGAGGGGAAGGGGAGCCTGGCAGTGTCAGAGTTGGGGGAGGGGCTGGGGGGCCACCCACACCCCTAAGGGCTGCTTTTACTGACACAGCTGCTGAAAATGGCCTTTGACGAGGAGGTGGGGTCTGACAGCGCCGAGCTCTTCCGTAAGCAGCTGCATAAGCTGCGGTACCCGCCGGACATCAGGGCCACCTTTGCGTTCACCTTGGGCTCTGCCCACACACCTGGCCGGCCACCGCGAGTCACCAAGGACAAGGGTCCTTCCCTCAGGTATGGATCTGGGTCCCAGGCAGGGCAGCTGGGCCTCAGCCGTGTTCCCGCTCCAACCCTCCTAGGCCCCTGTGCTCATCTTTGTCCCTCCTCCTCTCACCTTTGCTGACTCTCGTGGGCCTCAGAACCCTGTCCCGGAACCTGGTCAAGAACGCCAAGAAGACCATCGGGCGGCAGCATGTCACTCGCAAGAAGTACAACCCCCCCAGCTGGGAGCACCGGGGCCAGCCGCCCCCTGAGGACCAGGAGGACGAGATCTCAGGTGGAGGGGTGGGGGTGGAGTCCTGGGTGGTCTCTGGATGCTGACATTGGCCAGGGAGGATCAGGGCAGGCGGAGTGGCCCCGTGATGACCACGTGTGCCCGGCCTGTGCAGTGTCGGAGGAGCTGGAGCCCAGCACGCTGACCCCGTCCTCAGCCCTGAAGCCCTCCGACCGCATGACCATGAGCAGCCTGGTGGAAAGGGCTTGCTGTCGCGACTACCAGCGCCTCGGTCTGGGCACCCTGAGCAGCAGCCTGAGCCGGGCCAAGTCTGAGCCCTTCCGCATTTCTCCGGTCAACCGCATGTATGCCATCTGCCGCAGGTGAGGGCCGGCCAGGGCTGGCCCGGGTGGTGGACACGTGACTGGGTGTCTTCCCTGCCCGCTGTGGGCCTGGGCCACGGCTTCTGGTCATGTAAGGAATGTGGAGGGGGAGACTCCGGGCAGAGGGACGGGCCACAGGGCTGGGGGGTGGCTGGGGGGCCCCGTGGCTGAGCTGGAAGCGCCTCCTGCTGGGAGCCATGGGCTGGCTCCTCTTGCCCTGCTTGGGGCGTGAGCCTGGAGGCGGGTGGGGTCGCCAGCCACCTTCACGCCTCTGCCTCCTCTCAGCTACCCAGGGCTGCTGATCGTGCCCCAGAGTGTCCAGGACAACGCCCTGCAGCGCGTGTCCCGCTGCTACCGCCAGAACCGCTTCCCCGTGGTCTGCTGGCGCAGCGGGCGGTCCAAGGCGGTGCTGCTGCGCTCTGGAGGCCTGCATGGCAAAGGTGTCGTCGGCCTCTTCAAGGCCCAGAACGCACCTTCTCCAGGTACCTCCTGCGTCCTGCCCTGTGCCTGCCCTGCCCTATCTCACCCTCCCCTCCCTCAGCTCCGTGTCCTCCCCCAGGCCAGTCCCAGGCGGACTCGAGTAGCCTGGAGCAGGAGAAGTACCTGCAGGCTGTGGTCAGCTCCATGCCCCGCTACGCCGACGCGTCGGGACGCAACACGCTTAGCGGCTTCTCCTCAGCCCACATGGGCAGTCACGGTGAGGGTGCTTGTGGGCAGACGGTGGGGCAGGGGCACTTTGGGGGGCCGTGGTGGCATTTATGGTTTGGCAGGCAGGCCAGGGAGGAGCAGAAACGGCGCTGGTCATGGATGTTTGGGTGTGGGATGAGGAGCATGCCCTCCGGGTGCCGTGGGGCAGGGGCGGGAAGCCTGTCCAGACCAAGTGTGTGCCCAGACCAGGTGTGTGCCCTGACCTCCTGCCCGCCCTGACGTCCTGCCCGCTCTCCACCTCTGCGTCTGCTGCAGCTTCCTGTAGGGTCCTCCGGGTGCTGCCTCTACGCGGCTCTGTCTTACCATTTCCCACAGCCTGGAAACATCCCAGATGCTCCTCTGTCCTGTTCCCTCCCAGTGTCACTGTTTTTCCTCATCCCCCACACTCCACCCTCCCTGCATCCCCCAATCCAGACTGTCTTTGGAGCCTCTGGCCTGGCTCTGCCTGCAGCTTGGCCTCTGTCCTCGTGTGTCCTGGTTCCTTGGGCCTTGCCCGAGCTGGCCTTGCTGTCTCTGTCCCCACCGCCACGCACACTTCACAGGCGCCCTGCACACACTGAGCTAGACTGGCCCCAGGACGGGGTGGCAGATAGGCCCCACACTCACTCCTGTGTCCGGACCACCTGTTCTCTAGTTCAGAAGTGGTTTTGTTTTTCCAGATACCACATTATATACTTACATTTTACAATCGCCCTGTCTTGCTGCCTTCCCACCCCTGCCAGAAACCCTGAGTGGCATTTGCAGGTGGGGCCGCCCCTGCACCCCCCATGCCTGTGCTTCCCACAGAGTCCCTTTTGCGTCTCCGACCATCCCCAGTGCCAGTGGCTGCTGCCTCCCCGTGTCCCCCTCAGTGCCCAGCAATGCTCAGGGGCTCAAGCTTCACTCAGCTGTAGTCGTGGCTTCTAGTCCCAGCCCTGACCTTTTTTTTTTTTTTTTTTTGAGTCGGAGTCTTTCTCTGTCACCCACGCTGGAGTGCGGTGGTGCGATCTCGGCTCACTGCAAGCTCCACCTCCCAGGTTCACGCCATTCTCCTGCCTCAGCCTCCCGAGTAGCTGGGACTACAGGTGCCCGCCACCGCGCCCGGCTGATTTTTTTGTATTGTATTTTTAGTAGAGACAGGGTTTTACCGTGTTAGCCAGGATGATCTCGATCTCCTGACCTGGTGATCCGCCCGCCTCGGCCTCCCAAAGTGCTGGGATTACAGGCGTGAGCCACTGCGCCTGGCCAGCTCTGACCTTTTTACAAGGATACACTGGGCCCTGGTTGGCGTCCAAAGCAGGCTGGTGCTGCGTCCTCACTGTGAGCTGGGCGCCTGCAGTGTGGCAGCCGTCAGAGGACACAGGGCGTGTTGGGCTGGCATTGTGCTTGGCCTGTAGTGACCACTTGGTGGACGAGGGGACATTGCCTCTCTCAGTCCCACCCTCGGGCCTTGCAGAAGCAGGTGAGCCTGGGCAGGGCCAGGCGCCCAGAGACCCTCTGTGGACCCCAGGCATCTCCCAGCCCTTTGGGCTGCCAGTCCTCCCTGTGCCTTCAGGCCACGTCGTCTGGACCGTAAACCTCAGCCTGGGACTCAGATCTGCCTGTGTCCTGGACTGAGCTGCTCTCCGTCCTTTTGGACTGGGCTCAGGCTCTGAGCCCACCCTCTCCCCTCTTCGGGAAGCCTCCAGGTCGCCTCTTCTCCAGGCCACACCTCTTGGGCACCTCCTGTTGCTGTGCCCTGGACAGAGGCGTCTACATGCTCATGTGTGGAGCGTTCTGAGCTGTGCCCATCACAAGCCCTGGCCCCCTGAGTGGAGGACAAAGGGCCAGGATGTGGAGGGAGGGACTCAGAGACAGACTTGCTCTAAGCTGGTTTGAGTGGGAAGAAAGGAAGTGTTAGAGGAGAGCCCGGGATCCCCACCGCATAGCCCTTCTGCTGCCACGGAGTGCTCTGCGGCCTGCCCTGCCCTGGCAGAGAGGCCCACACCAGGATGGCTCTTCCCACTTTCCTGCGATCAGGGACTTGGGGCTGACCCCTGCTGTCTCCAGGCTCCCTGGGGGCTTGGTGGAACCCTCTGACCTGTAGGCACCCCCAAGCTGGGCACGCCCAGGCCTGGGGCTAGGCCTGAGCCTTCTCTCTGCTGTGCCCTCAGTTCCCAGCCCCAGAGCCAGGGTCACCACGCTGTCCAACCCCATGGCGGCCTCGGCCTCCAGACGGACCGCACCCCGAGGTACCGTACCGAGCCTGCGCAGGCCCGCCTCCCCTTACTTGGTGCTGGCGGCCTCTAGTGTGCACTGAGTTATTGCGGGCACTAATGTCTCCCTCCACACCTGACACTAACGACCCGTCTCCCGAGCCCCAGTCCTTACCTCCCTGACCCGTGAGTCCTGCCCTAGAAACTAACACTGGCTGCCACCCCACGTCTCAGAATCTGTGTGTTCCAGCCCTCCTCTCGCACGGCCCTGCTGGGGTCCTGCCAACCACCCCTGCCCTGGGAGCTCAGCCCCCTCCCTGGAGGCCGGGCCCAGCCAGCCCCAGGTAAGTGGTGCCCTGGCCCCCTTTGGGTGCTTACCTGGCATCTCCTTCACAGGTAAGTGGGGCAGTGTCCGGACCAGTGGACGCAGCAGTGGCCTTGGCACCGATGTGGGCTCCCGGCTAGCTGGCAGAGACGCGCTGGCCCCACCCCAGGCCAACGGGGGCCCTCCCGACCCGGGCTTCCTGCGTCCGCAGCGAGCAGCCCTCTATATCCTTGGGGACAAAGCCCAGCTCAAGGTGACTGGGGTGCGGGGGGTGGGGGGTGAGGGTGGGGGCTCGGCAGGGGGCTTGGGGCCTCATGTGTCTCACGGGACTTGTCCGGATTCTTTTCAGGGTGTGCGGTCAGACCCCCTGCAGCAGTGGGAGCTGGTGCCCATTGAGGTATTCGAGGCACGGCAGGTGAAGGCTAGCTTCAAGAAGCTGCTGAAAGCATGTGTCCCAGGCTGCCCCGCTGCTGAGCCCAGCCCAGCCTCCTTCCTGCGCTCACTGGAGGACTCAGAGTGGCTGATCCAGGTCTCTGCACTGCCCCGTCCCTCTGCCCGCCTTGGTGCTGGGCCCTCCCCTTGGGTAGAGCCAAGTGGACGGGTCTAGGTTTGCTTGTCTGACAGTGTGGAGCGCTGGAAGGAGGAGGTGACAGCCACTTCCCACCCAGGCTCTGGTGCCTAGAAGGCAGCTGGGAGGCTGGGCCTGGCTGGGGCCAGCTGACAGTGAGAGTGGCCAGGGCTTGGGCATGGGTATGTCGGAGCAGCCTGCTGGGCCCACGTGGGCTGATGACCACACGGGGGATGCAGTTTATGGTTCTGGGCCCCTGCTGCATTCTCTCGGGGGTGGGTACTGACAGGATGCTGGCTTGGTAAACACTGGAGGGCTTGAAGGTAGGGCCACCGGCATCTTGAGGGACAGGGACGTCCCTCAGTCCTAGAGGGCTTGGAAGGGGGTGGGCTGTGACCAGCAGGCTGGAGGCGGTGGTCGGCACACCCAGAGCGAGCTGTGTTTGTCCAGTGCTCTGCCCGCATACAGGGCTTGGGGGGCTGTGGACAGGGCCTGCCTCCCCGCTGCCTGTGGACATGCGGGTCTCTGGCCTGGTGAGTGGCCAGGCGGGAGGGCGGTGGGTCCCCGAGGTGCTGAGGCCGCCTGTCCCTGCAGATCCACAAGCTGCTGCAGGTGTCTGTGCTGGTGGTGGAGCTCCTGGATTCAGGCTCCTCCGTGCTGGTGGGCCTGGAGGATGGCTGGGACATCACCACCCAGGTGTGTGGCGCGTGGGGCTGGGGTGGGCCAGGCTCCCGGGCTCCTCGCTGACCTCCTGGCGGTGCTGGCAGGTGGTATCCTTGGTGCAGCTGCTCTCAGACCCCTTCTACCGCACGCTGGAGGGCTTTCGCCTGCTGGTGGAGAAGGAGTGGCTGTCCTTCGGCCATCGCTTCAGCCACCGTGGAGCTCACACCCTGGCCGGGCAGAGCAGCGGCTTCACACCCGTCTTCCTGCAGTTCCTGGACTGCGTACACCAGGTGGGCAGGCCGCTGTGTGGGTGGGCCGGGACTGTGCACCCTGACCGCTGAGCCCTGGCCCCTGACCCACATGGCGTGCAGGTCCACCTGCAGTTCCCCATGGAGTTTGAGTTCAGCCAGTTCTACCTCAAGTTCCTCGGCTACCACCATGTGTCCCGCCGTTTCCGGACCTTCCTGCTCGACTCTGACTATGAGCGCATTGAGCTGGGTATGTGGGGAGTCGGGGCTGGGGCAGCCACGGGTCAGGAGGGGCCCAGGCTCAGTGCTGCTTCTGTGCAGGGCTGCTGTATGAGGAGAAGGGGGAACGCAGGGGCCAGGTGCCGTGCAGGTCTGTGTGGGAGTATGTGGACCGGCTGAGCAAGAGGACGCCTGTGTTCCACAATTACATGTATGCGCCCGAGGACGCAGAGGTAAGCTGGGGCCTGGGTCGGGTAGGCGGCTCCTGCCCGACCCAGGTCCTCAACCACAGGCCCACCCTCAGGTCCTGCGGCCCTACAGCAACGTGTCCAACCTGAAGGTGTGGGACTTCTACACTGAGGAGACGCTGGCCGAGGGCCCTCCCTATGACTGGGAACTGGCCCAGGGGCCCCCTGAACCCCCAGAGGAAGAACGGTCTGATGGAGGCGCTCCCCAGAGCAGGCGCCGCGTGGTGTGGCCCTGTTACGACAGCTGCCCGCGGGCCCAGCCTGACGCCATCTCACGCCTGCTGGAGGTGCGTGTGATCCCAGAGCAGGGTCTGGCCTGGCACCCCCCTCCTCTCGCTCAGACACCAGGGTCGTGCGTGTGTGTGTACACTCGTACATGCACGTAAGTCCGGTTACCCCTGGGGGTTGGTGTGGCCCTGCCGTCTCCCCACCATGTGAACTGCCTACTGGCCTGGGGTGGCTGTGGCTCCCCAGGGCCCCGCACCACTCAGTGGGTGCTTCCAGACAGTGACAGGAGGGCCGTCATCAGAGACCCTCAGGTCTCAGTACACAGCCTCCACTCTGAGCACGTGTGTTTTCCCTGACCTGGCTTTGAGCAGCTCAGGCACCTGTTGAGGAGTCAGCCCTTAGAGACGACAGTGTTTTACTCCCTCTGCCAGACCGCCTGCCCCACCTAACGTGAGCAGCTCTGGGTTCTTGCCCTGAGAGCTTGGGGTTGACATTGAGGCCTCTCTTACCCCTCACTGTGCCATCCCTGGTGGGCCTGGACTGAACAAGGCAGAGATGCCTGGGAGGGAGAAAGGAGACTGCGATTGGGTGGTGGCTGGGTTGGTGTGTAAGGCCTGAGGCAGTGTCCTGCGCGTGGTGCTACCTTTTGGGGCCATCCCGGAGTCTCTGTGGGACTGAGCAGGCAGAGGAGTGTGGACCTTGGACCTAGGCCACGGGGGGACCTGCACTCAGCTCCCCACTGTTGGCTGTGTGGCCTTAGAGGTTATCTTTTTTTTTTTATTTTGAGATGGAGTCTCGCTCTGTCGCCCAGGCTGGAGTGTAGTGGCGCGATCTCCGCTCACTGCAAGCTCCGTCTCCCGGGTTCACACCATTCTCCTGCCTCAGCCTCTCGAGTAGCTGGGACTACAGGTGCCCACCACCACGCCCAGCTAATTTTTTGTATTTTTAGTGGAGACGGGGTTTTACCGTGTTAGCCAGGATGGTCTCGATCTCCTGACCTCGTGATCCACCTGCCTCGGCCTCCCAAAGTGCTGGGATTACAGGCGTGAGCCACCGTGCCTGGCCTAGTTATCTAAGCATCTTAGAGCTTCTGGTTCCTTGTGCAGAAAGTGGAAATGCTGATTCCTGCCTTACAGGGAAGTTGTGAGGCTTAAATGAGTCATTTATTTCAGTGACTTAGCATGGGGCACAGGGTTTGGGGGAGTACGGGAGTCATGGTTTGTGATGGAGGTGACCCACAAAGCACAGACAGCAGTCCCTTTTTCTCTCTAGCGATGCTCATTGTCTTAAAGTTGACGCGGTCTCATTGGTGCTAACAGAGTCACTCAGCTTTGTCATGACCAGTGTCAGCTTGCTCTGTTGTTTTCTTGTATTTTTTACTGGTCTGTGTGTTTATGTTTAAGGTGAGTTTCTTGTACACAGAATGTAGATGTAGTTGGGTCTTCTTGTTATCCAGTCTAATGGGTTTTTTTAATTGGAATTTTTAGCCCATTTTAATTTACTGTTACTATTGATGTGGCTGGGTTTAAGTCTGTCATCTTGCTCTTTGTTTTCTCTTTGTCCCTTTGATTTTTTTTCCTTTCTTTCTTTTCTTTTTTTAAAAAACAAGTGTTTTTAGTATTCTGTCTACTGTGAGTTGAGCTGTACATCTCTGTGTTGTGTTTCAGGGGTTGCTGGGGGCTATAATCATCTGACTTGAAATTACATCACCCTGTTGACACCAGAAGAGCCTTACGGCAGTGTGTGTCCATTCATGCCTTTCCTGTCCTGTTACTGTCACACATTTTATTTTTACGTATGACATAAACACCCAGTATGGTTTTTTTTTTTTTTTTTTTTTTTTTTTTGAGAGATGGAGTCTCCCTCAGTCACCCAGGCTGGAGAGCGGTGGTGCGATCTCGGTTCACTGCAACCTCTGCCTCTGAGTTCAGGTGATTCTCCTGTCTCAGCCTCCCAAGTAGCTGGGATTAGAGGCACCCACCATCATGCCCGGCTAAATTTTTTTTGTATTTTTAGTAGAGACGGGGTTTCACTGTGTTGGCCAGGCTAGTCTCAAACTCCTGACCTCAGGTGATCCGCCCGCCTTGGCCTTGCAAAGTGCTGGGATTACAGGCGTGAGCCACCGTGCCCGGCCCTGTTTTTGTTTTAAATAGTCAACTTTGTTTTAAGGAAATTAAGAAAGAAGGAAAAAGTCTTCTATTTTTGCCATTTATAACATTCTTCATTCTTTCAGTATAATCTGGTCTGGTTATTATTTCTCTTCAGCCTGAAGAATTTTTAATATTTCTTGTAATGCAGAGCTGCCAGTCACAAATCCCCTCAGCTTTTGTTTATCTGAAAACATCTTGGTGCCTTTATTTTGCAAAGGGCATTTTCTCTGGATATGCATTTCTAGGTTGACAGCTGCTTCTTTTTTTTTTTTTTTTTTTTAATTCAGCAGTTAAACTGATGTCACTTTAAAAGATCTCATTACTAGGCTGGGCGCAGCGGCTCACGCCTGTCATCCCAGCACTTTGGGAGGCTGAGGCAGGTGGATAACCTGAGGTCAGGAGTTCGAGACCAGCCTGGCAAATATGGTGAAACCCCGTCTCTACTAAAATATAAAAATGAGCTGAGCATGGTGGCGGGTGCCTGTAATCCCAGCTACTCAGGAGGCTGAGGCAGGAGAATCGCTTCAACCCGGGAGGTGGAGGCTGCACTGAGCTGAGATCGCGCCACTGCACTGCAGCCTGGGCGACATGAGTGAGACTCTGCCTCAAAAAAAAAAAAAAAAAAGATATTACTTTGTTTTCTGGCCTGTATTGTTTCTGCTTAGAAGTTGGTGTTGATTCTTATCCTTATAAACTGTGTATAATGGCACCCTTTGATTCTCTGCCTTAAGATTTTGCATTTAATTTTGGCTTCAGCAATTTGACCATTGTGGTTTTTGCTTTCGTCCTGCTTGGGGCTCTTTAAACTTCTGGGTCTGTGGGATGATCATTTTTGTCAAATTTAATACATTTCAAGCCATTGCTTCTATAAATTACTTTTTCTGCATGATCTCTCCCTTTCCTTCTGGAACTTTATTGTCCCATACGTTGCTGAAGCTCTGTTTGTTTTTTCTCAGTCTTTATCTTTGCAATTCATTTTGGATGATTTCTGTTGGCTTGTCTTCAAGTTCACTACTCTTTTCTTTCTTGTTTTTAATATACTGAAGCCCATCAAATGAATTTTTTTTTAATTTCTTGAGACAGGGTCTTGCTCTGTTGCCCAGGCTGGAGTGCAGTGGCACAGTCATGGCTCACTGCAGCCCGAACCTCCCAGGCTCAAACAATCATCCTGCTTCATTCAGCCTCTTGAGTTGCCAAGACTACTGGCGTGGGCCACGTGCCGGCTACTTTTTTTTTTTTTTTTTTTTTTTTTTTGTAGAGATGGGGTCTCCCTATGTCACCCAGGCAGGTCTCAAACTCCTGGGCTCAAGCAGTCCTCTCACCTTGGCCTCCTAAAGTGCTGGGATTACAGGCATGAGCCACCACACCCGGCCCCATCTAATGAATTTAACGCTTTTTATTGTAGAGATTCCCCATCTGATAAACCATTATGTCCATCTTTTCTTTTAAATCTTGAAACATAACTTAAAAATATATATAAAGATGGGGTCTTGCCATGTTGCCCAAGCTGTTCTCACACTCCTTGGGTCAAGCGATTCTCCCTCCTCGGCCTCCCGAAGTGCTGGGCTTACAGGCGGGAGCCACTGTGCCCTGCCTGTGTTGTCTTTCTTTAAGCTTAGAGTCTTGGGTTTTATTCTCGCAGGTAGGTAATGAGCTTGTGCGTCAGCTTGGTCTGTTTGAAGCTTGTTTCTAAGCTTTGTTTGGGCAGCTCTCCAGCACCTCTAGAGAAGCTCCAGGGATAGAGCAGCCCAAGGCGTGTGGCCTCTCCAGGGCTTCAGTTGGAGTTTTGTGTCTTTGTGTCTTCGGTAAGGTCTTGCCACACTGGCTTTTTGGAAGTCCAGTATCTTTTAGCATTCCTCTAGAATTTGGGTTCAGCTCATAGTTTTGTTTTTTTTTTTTTGAGGCAGAGTCTCACTTTGTCTCCCAGGCTGGAGTGCAGTGGCGCACTCTCGGCTCACTGCAGCCTCCACTTCCCATGTTCAAGCAATTCTCCTGCCTCAGCCTCCCGAGTAGCTGGGATTACAGGTGCCCGCCACCATGCCCAGCTAATTTTTGTATTTTTAGTAGAGACAGGGTTTTGCCATGTTTACCAGGCTGGTCTTGAACTCCTGACCTCAGGTTATCCACCCGCATTGGCCTCCCAAAGTGCTGGGATTACAGGTGTGAGCCACTGCTGCCGGCGTCAGGTCATAGCTTCTTAGTAGCTGTTCTCTGCCAGGCCTTGTGACATCTTGCTTTGCACATGGCAGCCTAATTTGGCCAACGACTCAAGGAGGGCTCTGTCTAGATTTCTAGAGCCCCTTTGCTGTGGTGCTCCCTCCCCTCTGTGGGCTGCCCTGCAGACCCAGCTGCACTAGCGCCCCTGGACGTCCCGTCTCTGCCTCCTCGGCTCAGCAAGCTCCCGTGTGTTGCTCTGGCCCTGCCTCCCTGCACTGTGGCTGGGCAGAAAACAGGTGACTGTGGGGCCCATCTTATGTGGTCCCATGTCTTAGGCTCCTGTCTCTCAAGCTGCACTGCTTGTCTGACATCTGGAAACAACGGCTTCCCCTTCTTGTCCAGTTTCATCATTTGCATATGGAGGGAGGGCTGTTCAGACTAATTATCTGTCATGGCTGGAAGTTGACAGTTGGCCTCGTGTTTCTCTTTTGAAGTCAGCCGTCAGTTTTATTGTTGCTCTTTCAAAGAGAGCATGTCTTTTTTTCTTCTGGCAGGTTTTGGGACTTTTCTCTTTGTTTTTCAGCAGTTTTTCTGTCCCATTTTGGGGTGTGTGTGTGTGTGTGTGTGTGTGTGTGTGTTTGTGTGTTTTGAGACAGAATCTCACTTTGCCGCCCAGGCTGGAGGGCAGTGGTGTGATCTCGGCTCACTGCAACTTCCGCCCCCTGAGTTTAAGTGATTCTCCTGCCTCAGCTTCCTGAGTAGTTGGGATTACTGGTGCCTGCCACTGCGTCCGGCTAATTTTTGTATTTTTAGTAGAGTTGGGGTTTCACCATCTTGGCCAGGCTGGTCTTGAACTCCTGACCTCGTGATCCACCCGCCTCGGCCACCCAAAGTGCTGGGATTACAGGCGTGAGCCACCGCGCCTGGCCCTAAAATCACTCTCTTGAATTTACTGTATGTTCTAACTCCTGTTTCATTTCAGGGTCTATTTTAATGTTTTTCTCCATTTTTCTGCTGTTCTTTTATTGTAAGCTGGACATTGTGGACCCTGCAGTGTTGAAGATCAGTATTGTGTGGTCTTTTTTTTTTTTGAGAAGCAGTTTTGCTCTTGTTGCCCATGCTGGTGTGCAGTGGCGCGTTCTCGGCTCACCGCAACCTCCGCCTCCCAGGTTCAAGCGATTCTCCTACAGGCGTGCGCCACCATGCTGGGCTAACTTTTTGTATTTTTAGTAGAGATGCGGTTTCTCCATGTTTGTCAGGCTGGTCTCAAACTCCTGACCTCAGGTGATCGGCCTCCCAAAGTGCTGGGATTACAGGCGTGAGCCACCACGCCTGGCCGGGGTGTGTGTTTTTAACTTACCCTGTTGGGGTCTGTAGTGCTTCTTGATTATGTTGTTTGATGCCTCTGGTTAGTTTGGGAAATTTTTCAACTGTTGTCTCCGAATATTCATTTTGCATATTCCTTCCCTCCCTCTTGCCACCTCCCCCTGTGGCCAGTCACACACGCGTTAGGCCTTTCCGTTGTGTCTCTTTCCTGTGTTTTCCTTTTGTCTTTTCGTGCTCTAGTCTGGATATTTCCTTTTGAATAAACTTGCCATTAATTCTTCCCCCAGGAGCTGCAGAGGCTGGAGACAGAGTTGGGCCAACCCGCTGAGCGCTGGAAGGACACCTGGGACCGGGTGAAGGCTGCACAGCGCCTCGAGGGCCGGCCAGACGGCCGTGTGAGTGAGGGCCAGTGTGAGCGTCCACGGTGGGCGTGTTGCTGGGAGAAAGTGGAGTCTGTCCAGCCCTGACCCAAGTCCCAACCTCCTGTTCCCAGGGCACCCCTAGCTCCCTCCTTGTGTCCACCGCACCCCACCACCGTCGCTCGCTGGGTGTGTACCTGCAGGAGGGGCCCGTGGGCTCCACCCTGAGCCTCAGCCTGGACAGCGACCAGAGTAGTGGCTCAACCACATCCGGCTCCCGTCAGGCTGCCCGCCGCAGCACCAGCACCCTGTACAGCCAGTTCCAGACAGCAGAGAGTGAGAACAGGTATGAGGGCACCTCCCACTGCCACATGGACACCTCTGAGCTGGTGTTCTGGGGTCCCAGGCAGTCCTCTGGTGGGAGATTGCGGGTGCTTTTGAGGAGCTTGCTTAAGTATACACCACCACTGGGAGGGGTTTGGGGTGTCGAACTGGTGACCACAGCTGACCACAGCCTGCAGTGGCTGAGGGAGGAGTAGAGAGAGGGCAGTGGTGGGGCCCCCGTGAGTCTGGAGTCTGGCAGGATCCATCCCAGGCAGCTGCTGCCGTGGCTGCTTCTACAGATCTACCTGCCTGGCCATCCCTCTCCTCGTAAGGGCGCCTGCCCTGTGTAGGGGGCTGCTTTCCCAAGACCCTGAGGCTCTGGTGTGGGGATGCTCCCTGGAGTCTGGAGGGTGTGAGGCGCCCTTCACTGTCTCCTTTCTGGGCGTCGTCTTCTTGGGCCTGCAGCCCCCCATCAAAGGCTTCTTTGTGGCCCCCTGGCCAGTGCTCTGGGCTTAGGTCAGTTCTGGGGACAGGGTGCCTGGTCTTACCTCCTGGGCTGGGACAGCAAGGGGGGGACGACTGCTGGGGCCTGGGCTTGGCTGGGCCATGACGGTCAGCCTGGCCCTGGTTCTGCTGGAAATGCAGGTCCTACGAGGGCACTCTGTACAAGAAGGGGGCCTTCATGAAGCCTTGGAAGGCCCGCTGGTTCGTGCTGGACAAGACCAAGCACCAGGTGAGTGATCAGGTGGTGGGGGGGACTCACGGGGGAGGGGGCTCCGCTGACTCTGTGGCCTCCTCCAGCTGCGCTACTACGACCACCGTGTGGACACAGAGTGCAAGGGTGTCATCGACTTGGCGGAGGTGGAGGCTGTGGCACCTGGCACGCCCACTATGGGTGCCCCTAAGACTGTGGACGAGAAGGCCTTCTTTGACGTGAGCCTTGGCCGGGGCTTGGGAGAGGGGAGGGGCTCTGCGGTGTGGGGGCTGCGGAGTCAGTAACCCGCCCTTCCCCAGGTGAAGACAACGCGTCGCGTTTACAACTTCTGTGCCCAGGACGTGCCCTCGGCCCAGCAGTGGGTGGACCGGATCCAGAGCTGCCTGTCGGACGCCTGAGCCTCCCAGCCCTGCCCGGCTGCTCTGCTTCCGGTCGTTACCGACCACTAGGGGTGGGCAGGGCCGCCCCGGCCATGTTTACAGCCCCGGCCCTCGACAGTATTGAGGCCCCGAGCCCCCAGCACTTGTGTGTACAGCCCCCGTCCCCGCCCCGCCCCGCCCGGCCGGCCCTAACTTATTTTGGCGTCACAGCTGAGCACCGTGCCGGGAGGTGGCCAAGGTACAGCCCGCAATGGGCCTGTAAATAGTCCGGCCCCGTCAGCGTGTGCTGGTCCAGCCAGCGGCTGCAGGCGAGTTTCTAGAACCAGAGTCTATATAAAGAGAGAACTAACGCCACGCTCCTGTGCCTGCCTTCCCCACTCCCCGGCTGCCTGCTCTCGGCCTACCCAGAGGGTCCCATCTGCCCCTATCCAGGCCCACCTGGCGGGAGGTTGGCATCTTTCTCGTGAGCCTCTCCTGGTGCCTGGGTCCACCCAGCTCGGCCTGCATGTCCCTGGGAGTGACTTTGCTCTGGGGGCGGATCGAGCAGGAGGCTTCACTGGGGACTTGCTTGATTCCCTCCACGCCTCAGGGCTGGTCTAGGGGCCGGCACGGCTGGAGAGGAAGCCCCCATCCCTACCCAGGGGATGCAGAAGCTGACCTCACAGAGGCTTGGGGGTGAAAGGGTGGGTGGTCATTTGACCCCAGAAGGCTGTTGCAGGTCCAGAGGACACTTGAGGTGGACGTCAGTTTCTGGCTAGACCCGAGCTGAAGGGATGGAGGCCGGAGGCGGGGGGGGGGGGGGGACAGTGGGCTCCCAGGGGAATGCAGGTTGACCACATCTGGCTCCTGCCAGGCAACGAGCAGCATCTGGCAGAGTAAGGGGCCAACGCCCATGGGGGATGGACCCTCTCAGTTCTTGGGAATTCTGCCCCAAAAGTCCTTTCCCTGGGGTCTCAGAGGGCCCCCGTCCTTCCCTTCTTGGTGTCACTGTGGCCCCTCACTGCTCTTTTCCTATTCAAACCTGAGTCCCACCAGGCCCAGGGCTTCACCTGCTGAGCTGTTGTGTCCTTGCCTGTGACGAGGCCTGGCCAGGGGTGCAGGAGCAGAAGGTGGGGAGGGTTATAGACGCTGCAAAGGCCAAGAGAACATCTGAGAGTGGCAGCTGGTGACCTGGCCAGAGGGGCTGGTGAGGGGCAGAGAACCTGGCTAGAGGCTGGGTCCCTCAGGTGGTCCTCTCAGGTGGGAGGCGAGCAGCAGGTGTGGGTGAGGGGAAGGTTCTGATGACAGCTGCAGAGGCAGGGCCCAGTGCTGGCAGGTGGGGGGCCAAGACCCTCCCCTGGTGGGACGTTGAAGCCAAGGATGGCCTTGGACCCTGTCAGGCCCAGCATGGTCCCGCCACCTCCCCCACCCCACAGGTGGTGTTGGGACACCTGGGCGAGATGTGAGGGTGGGCTCACTTGAGCCACTGAAACCAGCCAGGTCTTCCCTCAGGCCGGACAGATGGCGCCTGACCGAAGTTCCTGGCACCTGGAAAACCCACAGGTCAGAGTAAGGGGAGAAAGGACCCTGCCCTCCCTGTTCCACGTCTGTGGGGGGAGAGGACAAATGCCAGGCACAGGGTAGGCGGCGAGAACAAGGCACTCAATGTGTAGCTGGGGCAGAGACTCGGCCTCTGGGGAGCTGAGCGGGTTCCCTCCACCCCCAACCGTGGTGGAAAGACAAGCTCGCTGGGGCGGGGTGGGGGTCTGGTCTCCACCTGCCCCTCCCACTCAGCCACTGAGGACAAGGTGGGGCCCAGGCTTCTGGGAGGGGGAGCTGGCACAAAAGGAAGTCCTGGGGTTGATGTGTTTGAGCGTTAGGCGAAGTGGTTCCCCCCATCCCCCAAACGGAAAAATGTCAGTATTTGCTAAGCTGTAGAGACCTGATGCCGTGATGTGGCCTGTTCCGCCTCCACCCATTACACGGGGATAACGCTGGGGGGTGGCGGGCCCACAAAAGAGGTGCTGGAGGAGACTCTCCCACCCCTGGCCGGGCCGGGGCTTTGGGGCCGGAAGGTTCACAGTACGCGGTTTGTCCGAACGTCACGGCTTTTATTGGGAGTTGGGGGTTTGGGGTGCCCTGTCAGGTGATCAGAACATTAAAAATGGACTCAACGTAAAATAATCTTCTGGACCCTTCTAGGACGACATGGCCGTGACCGGTAGTGCTAGAAACCAGTCTTCGAGCCCCTAGTGCCACACCATGTCCCCCCACCTGCATACCTGTGGTCTCCCCCTGCCAGGCACCCTGTGCTGGGCACAGGGACATCCCTGCCAGGCCTAGAGGGCCTTGTGTTTTTAAGGCAGTCAAATCTTGCAGCCTGGTTCAGTGCCAGCTCCAAGGGCTATTGGGTAGCTGCAAGGGTCAATTATGCATTCCTGTGAGTCAGGTTTTTCCAACCCAGGCCCTTGACTCTGCCCTGAGCTTGCAGCTGGATACAAAGTGCAAAAAAGCTTGGCTCCTTCTGTATTCTTTAAAAACAAAACAACAACAAAAAAAAAACTGTAAAAACAGCCTCCATGTCCACGCCCTTCCTGGCCCATCAGGTCCTGGTGGCATCTCAGGGTCCTGCCCCCCCCACCCCCACCCCCACCCCGGCTCCTGCAGGCCGACCTTATTGCTGTGCTCTGGGCTTGGGGGCGGCTGAGGTGCCCCTCTGTCCTCCAGCAGGGCACGAGTGACCTGAGAGGCCCACTCAGGCAGAAGAGACGCAAGCTGGGCCGTCCAACTGGTTTCAACTGCCAGCTTTACCAATGCAGCATTTATTTTAAAATTAAATTAAATTAAAAAAAAAAAAGATTGCATCACCAGGTAGTTTTCTCGATTAAGGAGGCAGCCTGACCAGGGTGGGCCGTGGCCGGGCGGCAGCAGCATCACACTGGGCCATTTAAGGCAGCTCCTTCTGGCGGGGCATCTGTCTTCCTGCAGGAATGGGGTGGGGTTGGAACCGTGCGGGCTGCGGGCCCTGTCCACACCCCCTACCCCCACACTCAACCTGCTCACCCGTCCTTTGTCACTGTCCCCAGGGTGGCCACCATGGCTGGGGCTGCTGTGACTGCCATGATGGGCCCTAGGGGGACCGCCACGGCCAGTGCAGAAGAGACTGCTGGGGTGGGTATGGCGGGGCCAGCCTTGCTCAGTGCTGTGGTGATGGCCACAGTAGCCTCGGGGGGCACAGCCACGGCTGGGGCAGCAGTCACTTCCTTTGGCGCGGGGCAGGCAGGGCTTAACAGCCGGCTGTCAGCACACCCGACCCTGTGTGGCAAACATGGACTCCGGTTACGGGCACCCCCACCCTCAGTGCCACCCCGCCTCATGCCCAAGGACCAGCTGGACAAAAAGGTCCAGGCGGCCTGGGAGCACCATCTTTGGCCCCTCTCACTCCTGCCCTTTGTGGGGTGGCCCAGGTTGTGCCCAGCTAGGCAGCTCTGCTGCCCCAAGTTCCAAGTACTGGGACAAGCTGCCTGTCCATTGATGACCTCAAACCTCCTCCAGGCAGCACTCAGATCCTGCTCATCATCAAGCGCCTCATTCTTCAAGGACCCCAGAGCCTCCTGTGCTATGATCTCAACTTCAGCCTCACACTGGACACAGTCTGGGGAAACCTCCCAGGGGATGGGAGGGTAGAGAGGACCCTGCCGGGCATCTAAGGGGCTTGCTCTGGAGGGGGTCGGGCACCCCAAGGCCCAGCCTGGCCACGAGCAGCAGACGGGCCCCCTGGCTTCCTGCAGGGCGACGACACTGTGTCTGACTGAGGGAGGGGCACTCAGGTCAGGCGGGGGCGCGAGGAAGCTCACCTGCAGGCTGGGCCGTGACGACGGTGCAGGCAGGGCTCTAAGTGGCAAGTTTTACGCAGACAGCCCCGTGGAAAAAAACAACTTACTTTGCACAATGATATTCCCTGCTTTTCAGAGCAGTTTTTTAGGGGTTGTTTAGGAGAAGTGGGTAAAGGTTTGTTTTGGTTTTGTTTTTGCCGACAGTCAGTCTCTCTCATGCGCAGGCCGGAGTGCAGTGGCGTGATCTCGGCTCACTGGTTCAAGCGATTCTCCTGCCTCAGCCTCCCAAGTAGCTGGGACTACAGGCGCCTGCCACCACGCCTGGCTAATTTTTGTATTTTTAGTAGAGACGGGTTTTCGCCATGTTGGCCAGGCTGGTCTCGAACTCCCGACCTCAGGTGATCCACCCACCTCGGCCTCCCAAAGTGCTGGGATTACAGGCGTGAGCCACTGTGCCTGGCAGGGTAAAGACTGTTAAGAATTTCAGTGACTAGGCCAGGCGCGGTGGCTCACACCTGTAATCCCAGCACTTTGGGAGGCCGAGGCAGGCGGATCATGAGGTCAGGAGATCGAGACCATACTGGCTAACACAGTGAAACCCCGTCTCTACTAAAAATACAAAAAATTAGCCGGGCCTGGTGGTGGCGGATGCCTGTAGTCCCAGCTACTTGGGAGACTGAGGCAGGAGAATGGCGTGAACCCGGGAGGCGGAGGTTGCAGGGAGCCAAGATTGCGCCACTGCACTCCAGCCTGGGCAACAGAGCAAGACTCTGTCTCAAACAAACAAACAAAAATTTCAGTGACTAAACTTTAAGAAGGAATGAAGCCCACACAGGAACTCTGTATGACTTTCAACCCGAGGGGCTCTGGCCTGGGCTTCCCAGTGACTGCCGGCATCGGGAAACGGCCTTGGCCCCGTTTCCCGTGCTGTGCCCCCCACTTGCTGCAGATGCCCTGAAGACAGGGTGGCCAAACAAGGGGAGGAGCTGTGAGCACAGACGGGGCCTGCTGGTCAACAGGGCGGGGAGAGCCAGCCTGGTGCTGAGCTTGCAGCTTGGCTGGGGGAGATGCCCGGAGCCCCAGTACCACACAGACTCTCCAGGATTGCCGGGGGTCAGTGAGCAGGACCCTCTGAGGTGTCAGGCCTGCCCCACCTGTGGGGGAAGGGTAGTACAGGTGGGACGCATGCAGGCTGAGCTGCATTGGGCGGTGAGGCTGGGGGACACCCTCACCCCGCTCCAGGCAGGCCCTTCACAACCATGGAGCCAGGAGTGACTGGGATGCACCACCAGATGTGAAAGGCACCTTGTCCCCTCCTAGAGGAATCCAGCCCGAGGACTTCCCCACTGTTGCCTGGACCTACTGGGAGCTCAGGCCTCAGGGTCTTTGCACAGCTGTGCCGTTGCTGGGTGCGCCCTCCTCCCCACGTCAAGCCCAGTCCTACCCTCCCCCTCAGGTTTACCTGGCCCTGGCATCTACCCCAGCGGTCCTGCCCTCCTGCTAACCCACGCCCTGACCCCAGAGGCCAGAGAGGTATCTGTTTACTGAAGGATCCCAGGGACCTTCCTGTGGCCCTGGGGACGGATGGGGTTCAGCTTGCTGGAGGGGCCGGCCAGCCTCCAACCTCCTCACAGGGAGAGCCTCCCTCTCCACTCTCTCCCCAGGGATGGCTCTTGGGGGCTCAAGGGAGCCTGGGCCTCTGCCAGCCTGCAAGCTGCCTCCAACTCTCAGTCAGGATTTGGATGCCCCCAGTGCAGTCCTGAGGCCGCCGCCCCCCATCCTACTATCCTGCTTCTGAGGCGTCTCGGAATCATAGGCCTCCCGTGGAAGGGGAGCAGCAGGCGAGGTCTGCGTGAGCCCCACAGATGCCCGCTCGCCTGCCAGACTTAAAAGTCTGTGCCCCTCCCCGACCACCAGGGTACCCAGATCCCAGGCGGCTCAGCCAGGCCCAGAGCCCCAAGAGCTGGGCTGTTCTCTCCAACTGGGATCTGGGGTAGGGGCTGCTCCCCCAAGTCCCTGGGGGACTGTCTGGGACATCCAGGCCCTGTCTTCTTGTCTTAACCACTCACAACAGAGAACACGATGTTCTGTCCACGAAAGAAGGCCCCACACTTCTCCCATCTGGCCTCCACGTAAACGCGTGGGCACCACCGCCGCCTCAGCCAGCCTCTGAAGGGTCACGGGGCCATGGGGGAGGCAGTGTGGAGAAGACCCTGGCCTGGCCTCACCTCCTCTCAGGGGAGCTGAGACCTGGGGACAGAGCCTGGAAGCCACGCCCTATGCACCCGGCAGGCCCGCCCCCGCCACGCCCCACACACCTGCCGACAGCCTCCTCTGTCCTGGCCACTGTGGGCAGCGGGGGGGCCTCCCGGCCGGGACCCCTGCTCACCGCATCCATGGCACTCGCTGCCTTCTGGTCGCCATCCTCGCTGTGGGAGCCCCCAGAGGAGCTACTGTCAGAGGCCAGCAGGGGGGCCTTCCTGGTGACACACACGTTCCAGGCACATGGAGAAGCCGGGCTGACTGCAAAGTAGGAGGCCTGTGCTGTCCAGTGAGGCAGGAGGGGTCACAGGGTGCGGCCACTCCAGCCATAGGGTCCCCATACATGTGGCCCTCTCACATGCAGCCTGTTGCCTGCACACATGTGCCTGTGTGGGAGCCGCATGATGAGGCAGACAGGCTCACGCACCTGCCATGGGGTCTCCACACAAACAACCCTGTTGCCTCCCCCATGATACAGGGACACATGCCCTGGTCTCACAGGAGGACGCAGAGGCTCAGGGAGGGGCCCACTCCGCCTCGTGTGGTCCTGCCACAGCTCCTTTAAGCCCAAAGGACCCCAAAACCGGGGACACCAGTGTTGGGAGCCAGCTGTCACTCACCTGGAGCTCTCAGCCTTATCTGGGGGAGCTTCTGAGCCTGACTAGGGGGCTGGGGGCCAGGGGCTCTGATCAGGCCACAGAACAGCTTCCTGCCAACAACCCACCCACACACATCTCAATGCTGGGGTCCCAGTGCTGCTGTCCGGAATCCAGGGTGCAGACCTGAGCTGTGCCACCTACTCAGACCAGGCTCAGAGCCAGCCCAATGGCCTTGCTGCCTCCCCTCTGGGGGCCTCCCCATCTACACGTGGCTGCTCCAGTCCCATTGCTGTATCAAACCCCAATGTCACCAGAGACGTAGCAGCATGCGAGGCCCCGGCCACCTCCTCCCACTGCCCCCAAGGAGGGGGGCCAGCTGGCCTCAGGCCTTAAACTGGGCAAGGCTGGGTGCCGCCTGCACTGCTCCTACTCACAGGCTTTCTCAGGGCCTTGGCTCCGGCTGCCCTCAGCATGGCTGCATTCTGTGTCCACCGGAGAGCTGCACCTGGGCCCTGACTCGGAGCTGCATACAAGGACGAGGACAGGATCAGTCCTGGGGGACAGGTGCCTCCTGGCCCTGACAGGCACTTCCTGGCACAGCCCCCTCCTGCCAGCGCATTTGTTACCAGCAGAAAGGTTGGAAGTCAGTGAACTTGGCCCAGCCTTTCTCCTCTGGAGCTGAGGTGCCAGCTGCCCACACACTGGAACCCACGTCCCTCACCACTCCTGGGGCTGTGGGCGTTGAGTTCGCTGGCTCATCAAACACTGCCGTCCACATGGCGCCTGCTGGGGGAGAGACACAGTGGTCAGGCGTGGGCAGGCCTGGGGTGCTGCAGGCAAAGGGGAGGCAGCGCCCCTGCCCCGGGAGCCCCTCAGAGGTTGACAGGAAGATGGGGCTGCTCCAGGAGGGAGGCCCAGGCAGTGCCCGTCAGCCCCTCAAGGAGCAACAGGGGACAGCTCGAGGGTCCTGACAAGCTGCCGACACCCATGGGGCGTGTGACCTGGGGCTCAGTCAGGTGCCTGAGGGCCCCCAGGCCTCCAGCAGGACTGACACTGACAGTGTGGAGGTGATGCCACTGCCCTGTCCTACCCAGGACCGCAACCCACAGAGCCGGCAGCTCACCGAGCACCACTGGCCCCTTCCTGGCCTCGAGGATGGGGTGTCTTCCTCCTATCTGGGATGTTCCTGCTTCCCCAGGGTGTCACCCTTGCTCTGTCAGCGAAGAGCTCAGCCCCTCCTAACAGAGATCTCTGCCCCCGCCACCAAAGTCCTGAGTGCCTCAGTGCTGCCCCCAGGGCAGGGTAAGGAGAGGGGTCTCATCAGCCATGCGGCCTGTGAGGTGGACTGGCTCCTGCCATAGATGTCGGCCATGAAGGTGGCGGCCGGCCTGTGCTGCTGTGCTGGGGAGGGCGTCAGGCCTGTGCCTGACTGTGTGGGGGCTGGACGGACGATGGAGACTAGGTGGACACCACCCACCAGCCTTGGCAACGTGGCTGAGTGACCACAACTGCAAGGCAGGGGCAGGAGGCCACCTTGCGCTGGGCACAGCGCAGCACAGACCCCTACTCAGGACGGCTGGGAAATAGCTGGGGATTCAGGCTCCGGGCCACAGTGAGCCCCAAATGCCTCAGCTCCAAATGAAGCCTCCACAACACCCAGGCCGGGGTACCATGTCCTGTCCCCGATACCCACACTCCCAGCCCCTGGCGCCCAGCACCACCTTCTGAGTCACCCTCCACAGGGGGCGCTTCCTTCTTCCCGGGGGCCGGTGGGGCACCTGCCCCAGGTGCATCTCTGTGTGCTTCCAAGCTCGCCTTCCCATCCTGGCCTCCACGCTCTGGGCCATTCTTTGAGCAACTCTCTGAAGCATGGGGGGCTCCAAACCTGGGGGAGATTCAGAGTCAGATGTCTGGTGGCCCAGGACGGACGCCTAACATGGAGGGTCAGTGGCGGCCCCAGGCTCGGGGCTGAGGGTGAGCACAGATCGTCTCGAGAGAGGAGCACGAGACGCTCCAGGCCTCAGCTCTGGGCTCCTTAGGGTCACCCGCTGCATTGGGCCCCAGAGCTGGCAGGACAGGTGTGGCTGCTCTGCAAGCCAGCTAACGAACCACAGGGCGTCTGACAGGTGTTCTGGGGGCTGAACCTCCTCGGCAGAGGCTTTGTGGGGATGGGCAGGCCCCGCACCTGGGTCTGGCCATCACCCGGGCAGCACAGCGAGTGTCACTGTCCTCCCAGATGTCCTCGTCCTCATCATCATCAAAGGGCTGGATGCGGTCACTGCAGCAGGCCTCAAACAGAGCTGCGCTGGGCTGCAGAGTAAAACGCCAAGGTGAGTTTCCAGAGGGTCTGGGGGAGACAGGAGCCGCTCTCCCCATAGAGCTCCCAGAGGGGCTTAGTTCGGGATGTGGGAGCCCCGGGCTGGAGGGGAGGACGGGGAGGGGCAAGGAAAGCGACTGTTCCGAGCTCCACAGAGGGGCCTCTCCCAGCCCCACCGCACAGGCCCATGACAGACCGAGCCATGGGCATGGCCTGAGCTGCCTGGGAAAAGGGTGGCGGCACCCCACACAGCCCGGCTTGCTCACACTGTCCTCGTCAGCGTCGATGTTGAAGTTGATCTCTGCGATCCTGTCAAACGGGGCACTGCAAGAGCAAGGGGGATGGCTTCAGCGTTCCTCCAGGCCCACTGCTCATCTGGGGCCTCAGTGCTCCTCCCCCGGTGCTCATCGGGGGCCTCAGCACCCTCACACAACTGGGAACACCTGCTGTCTCCCGGGGACATCAGACGGCACTCCCGGCAAGACCTCAGGGAGCTGCCTCCACGGGAGCTCAGCAGCAGGGAGAGCCGCGCCTCGTGCAGAGTGCGCTCCAAGTAGACTCACTTGATGTTGTCGTCCTGGTCGGCAAACTCCTCATCATTGAAGCCAAACTGATCCACGAAGTTGGCTGTCATCTGCTGGATCTGGTAGTCAGAGAAGGCCTGGGAGGGAGGGAGGGAGGGAGGGACGGACAGACACCGGTCATGGAGGAGGCATCAGGCCTGGAGGCTGCTCTTTGGGAACCACAATCTCTCTAGTTGTTCGGGAGCTTCTCCTCCAGCACAAGTGGGCAGTAAACTCTGTTCAGGGCTCACGATTCTACCAAAACTCAGGCTGCGCGCTCGCTGCGGTCACATCTGAGATACGCCCCATATTCTCTGACTTTCGAGTCCATCTGCCGTGTCCTCAGTGCTCTCATCAAGGTGGAGTGACTTTGGGGTTCTCCCTTCAGACCCACCCCGCCCCATACGTGCTCGGAGACGAGCCCCCGCTCCCCTTTGCTAGTGAGATGCCATCAGACTCGTCTGGAGGACCAAGCGCAGCGCACACAGGTGCCGGGAAGGGCCCGGCAGGGTGCAGGTGCCGGCCACGCCCTCACCTGCTGAAGGGACAGCTCGTTAGGGAAAGCACCCTCAATGTCCTCGTCCTCACTTGAGGAGTGAAGGTGGTGAGTGCTCACCTAAAACACAGGCCAGATGGGGTGGGCGTGTGAGCCAGCCCAGCGCCCCAGACCCCACCCAGCCCAGCGCCCAGGACCATGCCCAGCCCAGGGCTCCCAGACCCCACCCAGCACATCACTCATCAGATCTCTGGGCCCAGGAGGCCGTGCTGTGTAAGGAGGTGCCTAGGTGAGGCCAAGGCCCCGTGACAGCCCGACCTCCATGTGCAGGGGGCAGGTTGTGGGTCTCAGGCAAAAGGAGCCCTCTGCCAACAAGCTACAGCTCCTGGAGTGGGAGGAAAGGGACCTGAGGCCAACACCGGCTCTGCACAGAGGTCCTCAGAGACCCAGCCCTGGGTGTGGCACAGGACGGGGTCTCTGTTACGGACATCAGCCCGGAGGACACACTATGCAGGGGCACCGCATAGTCAAGAGGAGCAGGCAGGCGTGCGGCCCTTGTGCCTCCCTTGGCCTCTGCCTCAGGGCAAAGGCAGGAGCGTCTGACGGCGTCCCAGCACCGTGCGTGCACCGAGGGGGCAGCCCCGAGCCTCCTCACCAGGTCCACAGTGTTCCTGCGGTTCGTCTCCGTCAGCGTCTCCTCCACGAAGCTCTCCCAGCGGCCACGGCAGTCCGCAGGGAGCCCTGCAAGGGAAGTGCTGCCTGGTGAGCCCTGGGAGACCCCGTGCAGATGGTGCAGGGCACCCGGGGGCTCCGGCAGGTGCATCCTGGGTCCGGGAGGATGGGGCGCTGCTACTGTGGTCAGCCCGTCTGAGGGCCTGAAGCAGGGGCTTTGCCGGATGAGAAAGAGGCAGCATAGCCGCGTGTCCGGAGGGGCCTGGGGCCACAGTGAGATTGAGGTGCAGCACCTGTGGGCAGGGTGGTGGGCACTTCTGCCCCTACCGAAACCCCAGTGGGCATCTGAGTTCCAAGTCTGTTGGGTGGAAGCCCATTCTGAGGAACTCCCAGAAACGCAGAAGCCGTGGAACAGAATCTGAGAAAGCAGCCAGCTTCCTTCCCCCCACCTCACAGGCCCAAACTCAGCAGCAGCCTACAGGCCTGGGCGCGTGTCCTGCCTGTTTTTCCGGGGAGGTCAGAGTCCTGGAAGGATTCACAATCTGGAGATCGTATGGAATGATCCAACAGCTTCCTGCTTGCCCCTCGCCTCCTTAAACTGCCCCTGCCCTGGGGAGCTGTCCCTGGCCTCCACCTCCACCCATCTACTTTGCCCTCCAGGATGTGGGGAAGCTCCTCCTGCCCTGCTTTTATTATTTGTGATGGCAGCCGGCAGGCCTGACCTCGCCAGGGGCTAATGGAGCCCAACCCAGGAGTCCCCTCACTATGGTCCTGGGGTGCGGGGAGGACTATCCAGAGCTTCCTCACCTTACACGGGTATAGGGAGGAGAGGCCACAGCTGGGCCCGCCTCTGCCACACATGTGCTGTGCCTGCGCCCACCTAACCCACTGCGTTCTTAAGAAACAGGCTGCAACCTGCTCCCCTGAGACTTGTGCTACGAAATCTCACACCTGAGTGAGAATGAGACTCTCCAATCACCTGAGTGCAGAGCACACAGCCAGGACAGCCTAGCCAGGCAGGGCTCCCTGAGCTGCAAGGAGCCCGGTGGCGCTAACGGCTTCTGAGTGCCAGCTCCGGAGTCACCAACTACCCCGGGAGGGACTGTCTCTTGTGCCACACGCTGACGCCTGGCAGGGTCTCCACAGAAGTCCGCCCAATAGAACTGACACATGAGACCCAGGCCCCCACGAGGAGAGATGTGATGTGTGAAGTGAGAGGACAGAGGTGGCCATGGGTCTCTCACTGTCAGTGCAGTCAGCACCTGCTGCCGGGCAGAGCTTAGTCTCAGGCGGCAGCTCCTTCGGGGTCCCGGTGCCCGCGACCAGCAGAAGGATGACCGGGTTGGGGGCTCACCTCGGATGACCTCGCTGATGTGCGTCTGCACAGGGCCCCGCTCCAGGTTCTGCACCACCGCGTTGGCGATCCGTGTGAGGTGGCCCATGTTCCCACGTCTCATGCCACCCGCTGCCCTGAAAGCAACAGGCACCATCGGGGCGGCCTCCTGGCCCCGACCTTGCCAGACCCACGACCCAGAGAGCCAAGTGGCAGAGGCCTCCAGGTTCACTTCGGAGAGCAAGTGCCCGGCCCCTGCCCAGTGTCCGCGCCCCCGGCCCTCCTCCAGGTTCACCTCCAGAGCAAATGCCCGGCCCCTGCCCAGCATCCATGCCCCCGGCCCTCCTCCAGGTTCACCTCCAGGGCAAGTGCCCGGCCCCTGCCCAGTGTCCGCGCACCCGGCCCTCCTCCAGGTTCACCTCCAGGGCAAGTGCCCGGCCCCTGCCCAGCATCCATGCCCCCGGCCCTCCTCCAGAGCAAATGCCCGGCCCCTGCCCAGCATCCATGCCCCCGGCCCTCCTCCAGGTTCACCTCCAGGGCAAATGCCCGGCCCCTGCCCAGCGTCCGCGCCCCCGGCCCTCCTCCAGGTTCACCTCCAGGGCAAATGCCCGGCCCCTGCCCAGCATCCATCCCCCGGCCCTCCTCCAGGTTCACCTCCAGAGCAAATGCCCGGCCCCTGCCCAGCGTCCGCGCCCCCGGCCCTCCTCCAGGTTCACCTCCAGGGCAAATGCCCGGCCCCTGCCCAGCATCCATGCCCCCGGCCCTCCTCCAGGTTCACCTCCAGAGCAAATGCCCGGCCCCTGCCCAGCATCCATGCCCCCGGCCCTCCTCCAGGTTCACCTCCAGGGCAAGTGCCCGGCCCCTGCCCAGCATCCATGCCCCCAGCCCTCCTCCAGGTTCACCTCCAGAGCAAATGCCCAGCCCCTGCCCAGCGTCTGCGCCCCCGGCCCTCCTCCAGGTTCACCTCCAGAGCAAATGCCCGGCCCCTGCCCAGCATCCATGCCCCCGGCCCTCCTCCAGGTTCACCTCCAGGGCAAATGCCCGGCCCCTGCCCAGCGTCCGCGCCCCCGGCCCTCCTCCAGGTTCACCTCCAGAGCAAATGCCCGGCCCCTGCCCAGCATCCATGCCCCCGGCCCTCCTCCAGGTTCACCTCCAGAGCAAATGCCCGGCCCCTGCCCAGCGTCTGCGCCCCCGGCCCTCCTCCAGGTTCACCTCCAGAGCAAATGCCCGGCCCCTGCCCAGCATCCATGCCCCCGGCCCTCCTCCAGGTTCACCTCCAGGGCAAATGCCCGGCCCCTGCCCAGCATCCATGCCCCCGGCCCTCCTCCAGGTTCACCTCCAGGGCAAATGCCTGGCCCCTGCCCAGCGTCCGCGCCCCCGGCCCTCCTCCAGGTTCACCTCCAGAGCAAATGCCCGGCCCCTGCCCAGCATCCATGCCCCCGGCCCTCCTCCAGGTTCACCTCCAGAGCAAATGCCCGGCCCCTGCCCAGCATCCATGCCCCCGGCCCTCCTCCAGGTTCACCTCCAGAGCAAATGCCCGGCCCCTGCCCAGCGTCCGCGCCCCCAGCCCTCCTCCAGGTTCACCTCCAGAGCAAATGCCCGGCCCCTGCCCAGCGTCCGCACCCCCAGCCCTCCTCCAGGTTCACCTCCAGGGCAAGTGCCCGGCCCCTGCCCAGCATCCATGCCCCCAGCCCTCCTCCAGGTTCACCTCCAGAGCAAATGCCCGGCCCCTGCCCAGCGTCCGCGCCCCCAGCCCTCCTCCAGGTTCACCTCCAGGGCAAGTGCCCGGCCCCTGCCCAGCATCCATGCCCCCGGCCCTCCTCCAGGTTCACCTCCAGAGCAAATGCCCGGCCCCTGCCCAGCGTCCGCGCCCCCTGCCCTCCTCCAGGTTCACCTCCAGAGCAAATGCCCGGCCCCTGCCCAGTGTCCGCGCCCCCTGCCCTCCTCCAGGACACTTCTGTTTGAGTAGCACCTGCCACGTGCAGCAGGCTCACCCCAACCTCACTACCAAAAGTGCCACTGAGACAGATGAGGAAACAGACACTGCTCTCACTCCATTTTACAGACAGGGAAATGGAGGCAGAAAGGCCGTGGCGTGGCCTAAGTCCCGCTGGTGGCAGCAGTGGCGCAGGAGGTGAGCCCATGCTGCCAGCTACCAAGCTCAGGCTCAGCACCCCAAGGGGAGGGTTGGGCGGGACCTCCATGCTGTACAGCCCAGCTCGGCCTCTGCTTCCCCACAGCTGCACTCAGACCCCTCCCAGCTCCCTGGAGTCCCTCCTCATATCGCCCAGAGCCAGACAGTTCCCAGCAGGACAGCAAACGGGTGGGGATGGCTCTGGGCCCACGACAATAAGCGGGACATGTGTCCTGACCAGAGGGAGCACCCATTAAGCAGAAGATGGAAAGACCAAAATAACGCGTCCCTGTGTGCGAGTGCTGACGGAGGGCCCGAGTTCCTGGGGAAGATCAGGAACGGACAGCGGACCCACAAGAGGGCAAAGCCAGGCTGGGCGGGGGCCAGAGCAGGTGCCTGGTGGGGACGGGACCGCTTCCTGTCGGCTCCCTGTGTCCCCTCCCCAAGTAGCATTTGCAGCTGTCCGCCCAGTAGAAGGGCCCCTTGCACAGCAGCCCCAGAACGTGGAGCCACGTCGCACACCCTACACTCCACCCGATCCTGCAGTCCTGCACGCAGCGTCACCAGGGCTTGGGTGAGGTGCGTCTCTGCATCCCTGACTGGCCAGGCTGGGTCCCTCCACGTCCGAGCGGCTCTTACTGCGTGTGGTCGTTGGCTTCCCAGGCCTCCAGGATCCTCTGCACCAGGCAGCACTTCTGGAACAGCTGGGGGGCGGGGCAGGGGGACAGCGTGAGTCAGGGTCTGAAGGCGGCACGCACCCCTCCACCCATCCCTGGACTGGGCAGGGCTGGCTGGCGGCCACGTCTGTGTGGACTTTGCAGGCCCTGACTGCTGCGCACGCACAGCCCCAGCCTCCGCGGTCCTCACCAAACACCAGAGGAGGGTGCGGTTCGGGGCTCATACTGCTGAGCGCCCTAAAGATGAAGCCCGAGAAAAGGACCCTCTCCCTTCTCCTCCAACTCCTGGAATTGCCCCCTGACCCCTGTCTTCCCCTGGGCCTTCTCCCCGTCTCTCCATTGCCCTCCACTTTGGCCACTCTCCTGCCCTCTTTCTCTGTGTCCGGAAGAACGACTAGGGCTGTCTGCCCTCAGCACTTTCTCTCACCTCCAGGCCCTGACACAGATCACTTCTTGTACCTGAGATGTTTTTCCTGGGCTCCACCTCACACTACGATATACCTGTGGCCTTGCTATCCGGGTGACAGTCCCTGGTTGGCCTGCATGTCCCTCAGCATCCCCTCCCCACCGTGTGGCTCCCATCACTGACACTGCTGGCTCCCTGGGCATTTATTCCCTGGGCCTCCAGCTGGAGGCCAGACTGAACTCATCTCATCCAGTGCTAACCCTTGCCAGGCCTGCACGTGGAAGGCACCAGTACCCCTGCTGAAGGCAGGTAGGAATGAGATCTGCAAGACCCACTCAAGCCCCACTGTCTACGAGCGTCTGACCAGACACCTGGGGACCCTTTTCAAAGCCCTGCCCCCGTGTCAGCTGCACAGTGAGGTCCGGCACACGTCAGCGCTGACATGGACACGGTCTGAGTGGGGCGCAGTTGGCGCTGATAAGATGGATGCTTCTTGGACTCACGTGGGTCACCATTGTGTTGTCAGGGAGGCTGGCGGCCGGCTGGGGAGTCTCCAGGCTCCGGTTCCCGTTCTCATGCGGAGGCTCCACCCTGCTCTCGGATCCGCTGGCTTCTGTCCTCTCCTCACGGGCAGCGTGGGAGAGAATAGCGGCTATGCATAGTTCCACTTGGAAGTGCAAAAAGTTATTCCAGGTGTACTTAAAGAACAAGTCCTGGGTAAACAGAGGACAGAAGACAGTTCTTAGATCGGTTTTCTCCTGCCGGCTACACCACAAAGCTGAGGGAAACCCTTCCTAAAGGTGGCGTCCTAACTCCTCACAAGTCCAGTCTCTGGGTAGCTAGGAAGGAGTTTTAAGCGTTTTCCTGAGGGTCATCTCTCTATTACGGAGCTTCTTCAAATAGCCACTGAGCACTTCTGCCTCCTGCCTGTGGGTGTCTGTTGGTCTCTGCTTCAATCTGAATCATCACCTTTCTACTTTCTGCGGGTTTATTCTTTTTTTTTTTTTTTTTTGAGACGGAGTCTTGCTTTGTCTCCCAGGCTAGAGTGCAGTGGCACGATCTCGGCTCACTGCAACCCCTGCCTCCTGGGTTCAAGTGATTCTCCTGCCTCAGCCTCCCTGGTAGCTGGGATTACAGGTGCCCACCACCATGCCCAGCTAATTTTTGTATTTTTAGTAGAGACGGGATTTTGCCATGTTGGTCAGGCTGGTCTTGAACTTCCAACCTCAGGTGATCTGCCCGCCTCCGCCTCCCAAAGTGCTGGGATGACAGGCATAAGTCACCAGGCCTGGCTTCTTTTGTCCTTCAGTTGGAAGCTCAACTCATTAATTGCAGCCTTTCTTTCCAGTCTGTCTTTAAAGGCTACATTTCCCTGTATACAATCAACTTTAACTACATTCTACACATTTTGCTAAGTAGTATTTTTATGATTCTTCAGTTCTAAGTATGTGAGAAGTTCCTTTATGATTCTGTCTTTCTCATGAATTATTGGAAGTGTGTTAGACTCTCAAGCACATGAGGATTCCACCCAGGATGGGCAGGCGTGTGCATATCGTCCACCACACAAACGTGAGACTGTGAGGGGCACATTCAGACACTCCCCAAGGGAGCCCAGACTTAACCAGCATGGGCTGAAGCCCAGAGGTGGTTCTGGCCACCTAGATACTCCCCTGGGGGACAGAGGTGGCTGAACGAGGACAGCTGCCATCTCTCACCTCCCATGTAGCTTCTTCCAGATGAGGACAGAGAGGGGGACATAGGTCTGACGCACTCGCCCCCCACTGCCGTCTCTTACATTCCAGGGCCACGGCAGCCTGTGTCCCAGACCCTCTTCTGCCTCCATGGAGAAGGAGGACTGTATGGAGAGGGGAATGGGGTGAGGTGTATATTCCACACCAGGATTCGAGCTTGGGCTCCTCGTTCCACACAGTGGGGTTGGAGCTAGAGAAAGGCAGGAGGCTCATTTGCTTCATGTTCTCCACAGAAACGTAGTCCTAAATCCTGGCTTCACCTTCTCTGCCCATGTGACCTTGAGCAACCTTGGAGGAGGCTTTCCTGTGTCACCTCATCTGTAACATGGAGTCAGACCTACCTCTCAACAAAAAGCCCGTACCAGATGGCTTTGCTGGTAAATTCTACCAAACATTTATTTTGTTGTTTGTTTTTCCTTTCCTGGCGATGAGGTCTACCAAACATTTAAAGAAGAGTTAACACTAATCCTTCTCAAACTCTTCCAAAAAACTAAGAGAGAATACTTTCTAATTCATTCTGTGAGGACAGAATTACCTCTGATACCAAAGCTGAATGAGGACACTACAAGAAAAGAAAACTACAAACCAATGTTCCTTATCAACATGGATGCAAAATACTAGCAAACCAAACTTAGCATCATATCAAAAGAATTATATACCAGGATAAAGTGGGATTTGCTCCTCAAATGCAAGGATGGATCGACGTATGAAAATCAATCAATACACCACATTAACAGGATAAAGGACGAAAGCCAAATGATCATCTCAACTCATACAAAAAAAATCTGATAAAATTCCACATACGGCCAGGTGCGGTGGCTCATGCCTGTAATCCCAACACTTTGGGAGGCCGAGGAGGGTGGATCACCTGAGGTCAGGAGTTCAAGACCAGCCTGGCCAACGTGGTGAAACCCCATCTTTACTGAAAATACAAAAATTAGCCGGGCATGGTGGCACACGCCTGTAATCCCAGCTACTTGGGAGGCTGAGGCAGGAGAATCGCCTGAGCCCAGGAGGCGGCGGTTGCCGTGAGCCAAGATCATGCCACTGCACTCCAGCCTGGGCAACAAGAGCAAAACTCTGTCTCAAAAAAAAAAAAAAATTCAACATACTTTCTTGATAGAACACTCAAACTAGGAATAGAAGGAAATATCTTCAGTATGATAAAGGCACCTATGAAAAGCCCATAGCTGACAACATATTCAATGCTGAAAGACTGAAAGCTTCTCTAAGATCAGGAGCGAGGCAAGGATGCCCACTCTCACCACTGCTATTCGGTCTTCTCTTAGCAGTCCCAGCCAGAGCAATTAGGCAAGAAAAAGAAATAAAAGGCATCCAAATGGTAAAGGCAAAAGTAAAATTATCTTTGTTCCCAAATGACATGATTTTTTTTTTTAGAATATGTATTTTTTTTTTGAGCAAGGATCTTGCTCTGTTGCCCTGGCTGAAGTACACACAGTGGCGTGATCTCGGCTCTGCAGCCCTGACCTCCCAGACTCAAGTGATCCTCCCTCTTCAGTCTCCTGAATAGCTGGGACTACAGATCTGTGCCACCACACCTGCCTAATTTTTATTCTTATTTATTTTGTAGAGACCAGGTCTCACTATGTTGCCCAGGCTGGTCTTAAACTCTTGGGTTCAAGCAATCCTCCTGTGTAGGCCTCCCAAAGTGCTGGGATTACAAACATGAGCCACCACACCTGACCTGATATGATCTTACACATAGAAAATTCTAAATATTCCAGATAAATTGCTAGAGCTAATAAATGAATTCAGCAAAGTTCTAGAATACAAAATTGACACACAAAAAAGCAGCTGCATTTCCATACACTAGCACTGAATAATCCAAAAAGGAAAGTAAGAAAACAATTTTATATATGACAGCATCCAGAAGAATTAAGTCAAGGAGATAAAAGATTTGTACACTGAAAACTACAAAACACTGCTACAAGAATTTAAAGACCTATTTAAAGTAAATGGGGCCAGGCACGGTGGCTCATGCCTATAATCCCAGCACTTTGGGAGGCCAATGTGGGCAGATCACTTGAGGTCAGGAGTTTGAGACCAACCTGGCCAACATGGTGAAACCCCATTTCTACTAAAAATATAAAAATTGGCTGGGCGTGGTGGCTCACGCCTATAATCCCAGCACTTTGGGAGGCCAAGGTGGGCGGATCACGAGGTCAGGAGATCGAGACCGTCCTGGCTAATATGGTGAAACCCTGTCTCTACTAAAAATACAAAAAATTAGCCACGCGAGGTAGCAGGCACCTGTAGTCCCAGCTACTTGGGAGGCTGAGGAAGGAGAATGGCGTGAACCTGGGGGGCGGAGCCTGCAGTGAGCCGAGATCGCGCCACTGCACTCCAGCCTGGGCGACAGCGAGACTCGGTCTCAAAAAAAACAAAACAAAACAAAAATTATTTTGTGGTGGCGGGCACCTGTAATCCCAGGTACTCATGAGGTTGAGGCAGGAGACTTGTTTGAACCCGGGAGGCAAAGGTTGCGGTGAGCCGAGATTGCGCCACTGCACTCCAGCCTGGGCAACAGGGTGAGGTTCTGTCTCAAAAATAGAAATAAATAAATAAATACATAGGAACACATCTGTGTTCATGGATTGAAGACTTAATATTGTTAAGAAGACAGTATTACCCAAAGTGATCTATAAATTCAATGCAATCCCTACCAAAATCTGAACAGCAATTTTGCAAACATTGAAAAACCCATCCCCAAATTCATACAGAATCTCACGGGATGACTTTGAATAGCCAAAACAATCTGGAAAAAGAACAAAGTTGGAAAACTCACACTTATCACTTACTACAAAGCTACAGTCACCAAAACAGTGCGACACTGGCATAAGGACAGACATATAAACCAACGAAACAGAACAGAGAGTCCAGAAAGAAACCTTTGCACACATCACCAGCTGTTTTTTTTTTTTTTTTGAGATGGAATCTCGCTCTGTTGCCCAGGCTGGAGTGCAGTGGCACAATCTCGGCTCACTGCAAGCTCCACCTCCCGGGTTCACACCATTCTCCTGCCTCAGCCTCCCAAGTAGCTGGGACTACAGGCACATGCCACCACACCCAGCTAATTTTTTCATATTTTTAGCAGAGACGGGGTTTCACTATGTTGGCCAGGATGGTCTCAATCTCCTGACCTCATGATCCACCCACCTCAGCCTCCCAAAGTGCTGGGATTACAGGCATGAGCCACTGCGCCCGGCCGGCCAGCTGGTTTTTAACAATTAGGCCGAGACCATTCATGGGGGAAAGGACGGTGTTTTTTTTTTTTTTTTTTGAAACAGAATCTCGCTCTGTCACCCAGGCTGGAGTGCAGTGGTGTGATCTTGGCTCACTGCAACCTCCGCCTCCCAGGTTCAAGTGATTCTCCTGCCTCAGCCTCCCAAGTAGCTGGGATTACAGGCGCTGCCACCATGCCTGGCTAATTTTTGTATTTTTTGTAGACATGGGGTTTCGCCACATTGGCCAGGCTGGTCACAAACTCCTGACCTCAGGTGATCTGCCTGCCTTGGCCTCCCAAAATACTGGGTTTACAGGCGTGAACCACCGTGCCCGGCCTAGGACAGTCTTTTCAACAAGTGCTGGGAAAACTGGATAACCCCATGCAAAAGAATGAAGCTGGACCCTTACTTTACACCAGATACAAAAATTAATTCAAAATGGATTAAAGACCTAAACATAAGAGAGAAAACATACAACTTTTTGAAGGAAGCATAGAGGAAAAGCTTCATGATACTGATTTGGCAATGACTTTTTTGGATATGACACCGAAAGCACAGGCAACAGAGAAAAAAAGATAATTGGATTTCATCAAAATTTAAAACTTGTGTGTCAAAGGTCATTATCAAGGAGTAAAGGCTGGGTGGCTGGTGGCTCACGCCTATAATTCCAGCACTTTGGGAGGCCACGGCCGGAGCATCACTTGAAGTCAGGAGTTCAAGGCCAGCCTGATCAACATAGCGAGACCCCATCTCTACAAAAAATATAAAAATTAGCTGGATGTGGTGGCGCATGCCTGCAGTCTTAGCTACTCAGGAGGCTGAGGTGGGAGGATCACTTGAGCCCAGGAGTTCAAGGTTACAGGAAGCTATGATCACTGTACTGCAAGACCCTACATCTAAAAAAAATTTTTTATGTAAAAAGATAACCCAAAGAAAATATTTGCATATATCTGATAAAGGATTAATATCCAGAATATATATAGAACTTCTAAAACTAAAAAAAAAAAACAAAAAAAAAACTCAATTCAAAAATGGTCAAAGGACTTGAATAGACATTTCTCCAACGAAGCTATTCACATGGCCAAAAAGCACGAGAAGATGCTCGACATCACTTGTCACACGGAGACACTGTTCCACACGCACATCAGATGACGAGCATCAGCCACACGGAGACACCGTTCCACACGCACATCAGATGACGAGCATCAGAAGAAGGAAGACAAGTGTCGGCGGGATGAGGGGGAGGATGAGGAGAAAGGGGAGACTTTGTTGACAGGAAGATAAAATGGTGCAGCCACTGTGGAAAGGTCTGGCCTCAAAACTTAATCATGGAATTGTCACATGACCTGGCCTCATAGGTATTTATCCAGAAGAACTTCTTCTTACTTTCAGAAGAACTGAAAGTAAGGACTCAAACAGGTATTTGTACACCCACATATACAGCAGTGTTATTCACAATAGCCAAGGCTGGAAGCAACCCAAGTCTCCACTGATGGATGGATGAATGGACAGAATGTGGCCCACCCACACAGTAATTTTTCAGCCTTAAAAAGGAAGGAAATTTGGACATACAGTACAATACTGAATGAACCTTGGGCACATAGTGCTAAGTGAAATAAGTCAGTCACAAAAAGATAATACTTTATGATTCCACTCATAAACTGTACCTAGAATAGTCAAATTCAGAGACAAAGACAATGGTGGTTGCCAGAGACTGTGGAGAGGGAGAATGAATGGGGAGTTAGTGTTTAACGGAGAGAGTTTCTGTTTGGGAAAATGAAAAACTTCTAGATGTGAATAATGGTAATGGCTATACAAGATTGTGAATGCACTGAGTGACACACCTTAAAATAGTTAAAACAGCCAAGTTTATGTTATGATATTTTACCACAGTAAATATAAAAGAGAGGAAGAAAGTGGAAGACAGAATTCTTTTGAAGAAGGAAAAGGGGCTGGGTGCAGTGGCTCAAGCCTGTAATCCCAGCACTTTGGGAGGCCAAGGCGGGTGGATCACGAGGTCAGGAGTTTGAGACCATCCTGGCCAACACGGTGAAACCCCGTCTCTACTAAAAATACAAAAAAAAATTAGCTGGGCATGGTGGCGCATGCCTGTAATCTCAGCTACTCGGGAGGCTGAGGCAGGAAAATCGCTTGAACCAGGGAGTCGGAGATTGCAGTGAGCCAAGGTCCCGCCACTGCACTCCAGCCTGGCGACAGAGAGAGACTCCATCTCAAAAAAAAAAAAAAAAAAAAAAAGAAGAAGAGGGAAAAGGAAAGTAGGTCTCTTTTGTAATTGCTTCCCTGATGCAGACTGGGATCTCACAGCCAAAGCAGTGCCCAGAACTCATACACGCTGACAGACGTTCCACACGCGGACAGACCTTCCACACGCTGACAGACGTTCCACACGCGGACGGACCTTCCACACGCTGACAGACGTTCCACACGCGGACGGACCTTCCACACGCGGACGGACCTTCCACACACTGACGGACCTTCCACACGCGGACGGACCTTCCACACGCGGACGGACCTTCCACACGCGGACAGACCTTCCACACGCTGACAGAACTGAGCCAGACAGCACTTCGAGCCCAGTTCTGGGACTAAGATTGCAGGGAGATTCCAGCAGAGCCCCAGAGCCAGGCAGAAGACGGGGGCTGCGTCTGCCAACAGGACCCACTAGGGCAGTGCCCTTCGTTCTCAGGGGAGCAGCCTCATGCTCTCCGCAGAGGAGCCCGCCACCCACAGCCAGGGCTGCTCACTGGCACTACTTGCCAGCACCGCCTGCCCCTTCCTCTCCTCAGCCACCTGGAGCATCATGCAAGCCGTCTGCGGGATGGAGAGGCACTGCCCGCTGGCTTTGACAAAAACTGCCAGGTTGGCCTTCTACTGTGGACGACAGGAGCTTCTCTTTTAGCCATTTTATACCTAATAACCACCGTGTAAGTTCTATGTTGTTCAGTCAGAACATGAGAAAGGAGGTAGACGTGTCACTCTATTCCATCAAACCGGGTTAGAAATCCGCCTTCTGCTTTCAGGGCAATTCTACGGTAGACTCGTCACTTCCCATGAGCCTGCAGCTGAGACACACCCCACTGCTGCTCTGTGCCCCGCCAGAGACCTGTAGTCCAGCCTTGGGACTTGGGACTGGAACCTCCCCGTGGCAGAGCTTTGTCCAAATGCTGGGGCCCTGCTCTGCTGCTCCTGACAAGTCCACAGGCCATGCCCGGCACACTCACAGACATGCAGGGCTGGCTGAGGGGCCCACTTACCAGCAGTAAGTCCATCGTGTTGAGCCGGCAGAGCTCCTGGTTGATGCTGGGTGTGTTTGTGTGCAGCAGTGCTGCCATGAGGCGGGCGCCATGCAGACGGGCATTCCCCAGGGGCTCCTCCAGCACACCAATGGTGGTCAGGATCGCTTTCTTCTGCAAACACAGAAGGCACCACCCAGTTAGGCCCTGTGAGCAGTGAGGCCACTGCTGGAGTCTCTGGGCTCATGCCCATCACTCTAGGCTGGGACCCAGCCTGGGGTAGCGAGGTATGTGGTGGGGGTTCCTCAGGGAGGGCCGTCTGCCAGAAGAAATGAAGGCATCAATGGGGTGAAGAGCCTGCTGCTCCCCTCAGGGCTTCAGAGAGTGCTCCCAGGATGCTCACGGGCACTCCAGTCTGAGCCTGCAGGGCCAGAGAGCCGTGCACCTCAGCGGGTGAGATGTCCAAGATGGGGCCAGCAGTACCGGTCTAAGGCCAGAGCCCTTGGCACGATGCCTCACTGAGGATGCCCAGTGGGGGTCCCTCTGCGGCCACAATCTCAGAACACCAAGCTAACAAGTGTCCCATGAACACACTTTGGGGACACTGACGGGAATGCCTCCTCCGATGGACCGCGGTCTTTTCTGATCCCCCACACTCAGCCTACTGCACCTACCTTCTCTTCACTGAAACCTCCAGCTGACAAAACAGAATCTTGGCCCCCACAGAGCTCGCTAGTGGGACAGGTGGATCTTACCAAGGTGGCGAGTGAGAGGAACTGAGCTATAGGTCAGGAGGGTGCTATGCAGCAGGGGTCGGGTTGTGTCTGGGGAGGGTGAGACGGGATGGGGAGTTGCCTGGCTGGCAGTCTGAACCAGGAGGAGCCTTTGTGTGCCTCACCCCCCTCAACATGCTGCTGAGCAGGGCAAAGGGCCTCCCCTGCCACCCCCTGGTCCCCTCTCAGGAGCCGAGCACCCCTTAGCTAGGTGCCCCCAACTTGGAGGCCAGGCTTATGGTGACCTCGGGGTCATTTGCAGAGGCAGAGATGAGCATTTGCAGATCTGGGAGGGGCAGTCCTGAAAATGTGTTTTGGCACCTGCCCGGTGCTTCTCAAGTGGGGGTGTGGGAATGGCCGTCTTAGAACACATTCACTCCACACTCTGCTACCTATGGGACAAGCTGTGGCTTCTCCTCCCTGCAAATCAACCTCTCCTGCGACGCCTCCAAAGGCACTCAGCAGTCGCCACGGCCATTTACCTTGGGCGGGTTGAGCAGGAGCTGGTGGAAGTCCTTCAGCCGAGGCTCGATGCCGTGTAGTACGCTGCTGCTGACAGCGTATGACCTTTCCAGTCCCTGAGAAAAGGAGTCCACCAAGCCCTCTGTCCTGTGGATGAGGAAAGCAGATGGAGACCGGGGACACCAGGACCCTGTCCAACCTCACCAGCAACTCAGTGCACCCGCTTCTTCCAGAAAGAGCCCTTTTAACTTTCCCAAAAAGAAACCCTAGAGCAGTGCAGCTACCCAGCGTCTCCACACGTGATCTGGTGACTGGTACAGGCAGAAGAGAAAGGTACTAAAGACCTTCAGGCAGATGCTTGCTTGCGACATCCGAGAATATGGAGGCAGGGCAAGTGACACAACACAGGACTCACTGGCCCTAGCACCAGTTAGAGGTCCTGCTCTGTCCCACTTTTAAAACCTTCACTGCTATCCCTGTCTCTTTCACTGTTCCTGTGTCGACTTTTATTTTTATTTATTTTTATTTTTTTTGAGCCAGAGTCTCGCTCTGTCACCCAGGCTGGAGTGCGATGGTGCGATCTTAGCTCACTGCAACCTCCACCTCCTGGGTTCAAGCGATTCTCCTGCCTCAGCCTCCTTTTTGTATTTTTAGTAGAGACAGGATTTTGCCATGTTGGCCAGGCTGGTCTCGATCACCTGACCTCAGGTGATCCACCCGCCTTGGCCTCCCAAAGTGCTGGGATTACAAGCGTGAGCCACTGCGCCTACCCCCTGTGGTGTTTTCAAGCAAGTCTTCTGAGATATTTATTTAAACACTCTTTCCAGTTGTAAAAGTAATACGTAATCATATATTTTTTAAAGTAATATGCAAAATAATTTTAAAAATCAGAGAGCCAGGTGCAGTGGCTCACACCTATAATCCCAGCACTTTGGGGGGGACAGGTGGGAGGATCGCTTGAGCTCAGGACTCTGAGGCCACGCTGAGATATGATCGTGCTGCTGTACTCCCACGTGGGTGACAGAGCAAGACACTGTCTGAAAATAATAATAATAATAATCACAATAATCTAAGAGAAACAGCTGGCTTATCTCTGTTTTCCTGATTTTTACACAGTCCCCTCTATCACATACAGGGTTAAGCTTGGGCCTCAGAAGTGGCTCAGCTTTCCTGGGTTTATGAAGATTAAAATATCAATATTCCAGTTGCCTAACTAGAGAAAACGGTAACATTATAACACTACTTCTGGTTAATAAACTAACAAATATGTATTAGGTACTACCAGAGACAGACAGAGAGAGAGAGAGAGAGAGAAAGAGAGTCCTAACAACCTCACTATCAAGGTTAAGTCAATTTCTTATCATTTTCTCATTGTTCCTTTTTCTTTCACTTTAAAAAAGCACAGGCTATCAGTGTTGGGGGCTGAATTATGTTCTCCCCAGAACGTGGAAATAAGGGAGCTACGGCCACCTTGGGAGAGTTAGACATCGTCCCAGCCTGTGATGGAACGGAGACGACGGAAACGTCCTGAGACATCAGGTTCCTGCCGGCATGTGGGGAACCTGAATCCAGAGATGGGGTTCAAGGGCCAGGGTGAGGCCAGGAGGGGAAGTGCCCAGAGGACACTGATGTGGCCCTTTTGGGACACACCCTATAGGATCTCCTGGGCACCTGGCGGGCCAACCACACCCCCTTGTGCCAATGCCTCCCTCACAGACTCCACTCGGCTGTCTTTCCATTTGCGCCTCATGGGCATCCTCTTTGGAGTTTCAACTGCTTGAACGGCTCTGGCAGTGCCCAGCCTTCTATGACTTGAGGGAAGGACTAGGCCACACTATGATCCAGAGAAACAGTTTCAAACACTTCCTGAAATTTCTACTGGGGGTCAGAGAAGGGTCTCCAGCACCTATATCCTCAAACAAACTCAACTTTCACCCGAACTCACTCTTCTGCTGCTGACTCCTCTGTCTCTGCCCATTCACTGTCGTGACTCAGCAGCCTCCGACAGCTGCACCTCAGGACAGCGATGTGGGGTCACAGCAAAGGAGCACCTCCAAGCAAGCTCCACTCTCCTCTGCCACATACTGCCCCATGCTTGTGTCCACACTGGGACCCCCTCACTGCCTCATCCAAGGAGCTGTGTCTGACCAGATGCGGCCTCTCAGGGAAAATGTCCCTGACTGCGAGGCTCCACCCACCAGCCCCATGTGGGTCCCTTCTTGTGAGCCCCGAGGCACTGGGTGCATGTCTACTGCACTCGCCACTCTGCATCACCCTCGCTGTCCACAGACGGGCCTCCTGTGCCAGACTGGGAGCAATTAAAGGGGAGGGGCTGTGTCTCAGTTCTCTGTCTCCTCGGGCCCGTGTTAGTGCACAGTGGGTGCAGAAATGACACCTGATGAATGAGAAAGGGCAATGGAGGAGAGTCGCCTGGGAAAAAAGTGCTCAGCACGACGCTCAGCAGGCGGTGCCGACCCGTGGGTGCACAGGGCACGGGAGACAGCGGTGAGTGTCACACCCCTGCCCTGTGAGGGCCAGTCTGCATGGGAGATAAACACATGTATATGTAACCATGCATCAGAGTGGAAACCCTGCGACACACACACAAACACACACGGGAGCTGTGGGGACTTGTCGGAACAGTCCTTGGGGAAAACCTGCCAACCACACCTGTTCCACGCACATCGACAAATGCATCGCCAACTGGTCGTGACGAGCAGCTTCAGGCTGGAGAGGGAGCACCAGTGATGATGAGGGTCTAAGGGGACTTGGCCACAGCCATAAAGTCAAGCCTTCAACAAGGGGAATCTATCCATGTTGTTACTTGCATAATCAAAAATTAAAACCACAAATGACATAATCCAGACTGCTCGTGTGGGCTGCCATATCACTGAGGCGTCAAGTTCAGCTCTACACGATTTCTCCTCGTGAGACTCACCCAACCCGCCTGGTTTCCAGCAAGGTGAGTAACACCTGAGTCCCACTGACGAGGCAGCTCTCCGTCCGGTCTCCATCAAACATGTTCTTCAGAAGCTGCTCCACACAGTCCTGCCTGCTGGACACACACAGAGGTCACTGCCTGGCAGAGCAGACACACACACAAAGGATGCAAGGATGCTCCTTCCTCCCCGTGGAGGACCCCAGCAAAACCCTCAACCTGCTCAGGCTCAAGGCAAGGCGCCAGGGTTCTCAGGACACTCCTGCTGCTGCTGGCCCACTCTCTAGACCCACCAGGTGACTCCTCTGGAGACCCCTCCCTCTGGAAACAGGCCCCAAGTTAACATGGGCTCTGAACCTGGGGTTCATTCGAATGTGAATCAGAGGAGGTGGCAACATATCCTGGTGCTCAGAGCAAGGCTCACAGACGTCCCCATGACCCAGAAAGGGAGGCCCACCAGCACCACGGCCCACCAGCACTCACGACTCCAGCGCTGTGAGGAGCGGGTCTGGCTCCAGAGCCTCTTGCAGCTGACTGCCCTGGTCTCTGCCCAGCCTAACTATGTCACAGAGAGTCTGAGAAGCATTTGACTGCCTCTGAAAAGACAAGGGAAACACAGAGTCCCTCAGTGTGGAGAAGAAACAGCAGGACCAGCCCTGCTGGGCACACAGGGCACAAGTCCTGCTGCTTCTCTGGCAGATGCTAGACTTTCGTTGTTGTTCAATACCACTGTGATGTTCAAATACTTTTTCTTTTTTTTTAAGATGTGGGACTTTTGGCCAGGCACAATGGCTCAGGCCTGTAATCCTAGCACTTTGGGAGGCCAAGGCAGGCAGATCATCAGGTCAGGAGATCAAGACCATCCTGGCTAACACGGTGAAACCCCATCTCTACTAAAAATACAAAAAATTAGCCGGGCGTGGTGGCGGGTGCCTGTAGTCCCAGCTACTCGGTTGGCTGAGGGCAGGAGAATGGCTTGAACCTGGGAGAAGGAGCTTGCAGTGAGCCAAGATCGCACCACTGCACTCCAGCCTGGGTGACAGAGCGAGACTCCATCTCAAAAAAAAAAAGAAAAAGATGTGGGACTTTCTCTAAACCAGTTTCCTACAAAGAAAGATTCCAGACAACAGCTTCATTTCAAAGAAGCCTGTGTCTGCCTTTTCTGTCGTCAAAATGTAGATCTGGTTAGAGTTTTCTTTTTTTTAAAGCTGCATTGAACTATCTTCAGGAATTCAAAACAGGGCTAATAATGGTCAGATATGCAATGCAGATACTGGGCTATACCTGTGATCCACGTTTTGAAATATGCTGAATATGTGGCCATGTTACTGATACTATATTTTAAATGTGGTAATAAGTAGCTGCTATTATTCAGAATGAGTCCTGTAAGCTAATGAAAATAGGGAAGTTGCTACCAAGAAAACAGAGGACTCATCTTTTCTAGGGAAACATTAACACGCAATCCGTGATGGGAACGTGCCCCTGCTGACAATGTAGGGCTGTTCTGTAGGTAAGACAAATGTGATTAAGAGAGAAACAACCCCTGACTCCCTGCAGCATTGGTTCACATGCTGTGGGAAGACTGAGGGAAAGCAAACACTCACAGGAGTATTTTAGGGAGAAAAGAAAGCAGCCAGATTAGCTCTCAGGTCTGCCTTTGGGACCCAGGCCAGGCCATCAGCCCACAACACCCACATGCATGGGTGGGCTCCAGTTCTCAGGCAGGGCGGCCTCCTTGCTTCCTACAGACGCCAACATCAGGCAGGGCGGCCTCCTTGTTTCCTACAGACGCCAACGTGGCCTCTCCTGTCTGTCTGATCAGCCCTGTGGGCTGATGGAGAACAAAGTAGGGTGGTTGGCCAGGCAGCGGTGAAGGCCTCAGACACGAGTCAGCACCACTGTTTTCCAATCTGCCAAGGACACGTGGTTGTATGTATAGATCGGTATGTGTAATGCTAGGAAAAGGCCTACTGGGATATACCCCAAACTCTCAACAGGGATCACCACAGGGAGCCCCATTGTCACCTTAGGTGCTTCCAGGGTGGGTGGCTCCTAGGGGGCCCCTAGCAATCCCGTCCTGGAGTTCATGCCTTTATAGCCCCCATCTCTTTTAGTGTGGGCTGGACCCAGCCACCCAGGTCTAAAGAGCCAAATACATTAAGAGTGAGGGGAAAGCTCAGCTCCACGTTGTGTGCTGCCCTGTGGAGACGCCCATGTGGTGCAATGCTGAGGGCGGCCTCGGCCCACAGCCCTGAGGAACTGGATGCTGCCAAGCCATCTGTGACCATGGAGCTGGCCTCTACCCCAGTGGAGCTCTGAGATGACTGTATTTTGTGAGACTCAACAGAAGAGCCACTAAGCCACATTCAGACGCCTGATCCACAGAAACTGATACTGCTACAGGTAAAAATACTTGCCATAAGCAACTACATTTCAGGGTAATTTGCTATTCGGTCACAGACGACTGATACAATTCTATTAGAATTGTTCTTTGGTTTGCTTGTTTGTTGAGACAGAATCTCACTGTCGCCCAGGCTGGAGCACAGTGGTGTGATCTCGGCTCACTGCAAGCTCCCCTTCCTGGGTTCAAGTGATTCTTGTGCCTCAGCTTCCTGAGTGGCTGGGATTACAGGCACCTGACACCACACTTCGCTAATTTTTAGTAGAGACAGGGTTTCGCCACGTTGGCCAGGCTGGTCTCAAAACTCCTGACCTCAAGTGATCGGCCCGCCTCAGCCTCCCCAAGTGCTGGGATTACAGGCATGAGCCACCGCGCCTGTCCTATTTTTATAATACACATAGATTATTTTTCAGTTAAGAAAAAAAAGTGTAGGCCAGGCATGGTGGCTCACTCCTGTAACCACAGCACTTTAGGAGGCTGAGGTAGGAGGATCACTTGAGGCCAGGTTTTTGAGACCAGCCTGAGCAATGTAGTGAGACCTCATCTCTATTTAAACAACAACAACAACAAGAAGAAAACAGCCTAGAGGCTGGGTGTGGTGGCTCACCCGACTGGGTGAGCAGGAGAATTGCTTGAACCCAAGAGGCGGAGGTTGTGGTGAGCCGAGATTGCACCACTGCACTCCAGCCCAGGCAACAAGAGCGAAACGCCATCTCAAAAAAAAAAAGAAAAAAAAAATCCAGCCTAGAAGTCAGTGCTTGATTAAAGAAAGAAAAGTACCTAACCGATCCTCATCTTAGGAAAGGGATGACTTGCCCTCCCTCGCCCCCTGGCCCGCAGCAGTGGGTGACCTGGCAGCACAGGCCTGGACTGATGCACGAAGCTCGGTAAGCAGCACACTCACATCTTCATCCTGGCTCGGGTGGATCAACTCCACAAGCCTCTGGATGACCTTCTCTTCATTCAGCCACTGAAAGAGAAAAAGAGGCCTTTCAGTGTCGCTGCTCAAGTCTAAGTAAACAACAGGAACCTTTCCCCTTTGGTGCAGCACTGCACCCGTTTTCTAGAATATAGACTCTTTGCCTGACACACCCCAGACCCAGAAAGAACACACATAACACACAATGACTGAGTTCTGGGAGGTTCTGGGAGTGGCTCAAAAGATGATAAAGGATGACCACCATCCCTCTGTCCTAATGGTGCGTATGTAAGCTCTGTCTTCAGGACTTCTCTCTTAAGGACCAGGGTGCAAATGAGCCACACAAGCTATAGCTCAGGAGCCCCGCTGGATGCTGAAGCCAGAGAAGCCTCAGCTGTTCCCTGCAGCACTGGGGCCTTCCCATGTTGAGGAAGAGTAACTCCACCCTGGAGAGGCTACACGAACACTGTGGGGTAAAGCTCAAGGGCAACGGGGGCCCAGTGTGAGTGTCGGGGTCTGGCAGGCCTGGGCCGTACCTGGCTACCGCACCGCACTGCTGCGCCCTGTGCCTAAATTCCTTATCCAAAAATGGGATGAGCTGTCCCCCCGTGGCTACTTCGTGAAGTGAATCAAGTAAAGCAGCTAAAAGGCTGCCTGACGTACAGTTCTGCAGGCTTCCCACTAACGGCTATGACCACAGCTAGTACTGATCCTGTGTCCACTGTGTAAAGGTTGGTGGCGGTCAGTCATTCCTGGTGAGAAGCTCCTCCCTGAGGAAGCATTACTAACCTAAGAGTGAGAGTGGTCATCGGATGAGTCCTGATTCCAGGAGCTGGGAAACAGGCAGAGCGCCTCAGGGTTTACTCTACTCTATTTTAAACTTCACCACAAACAAAGCTGGCCGAACAGTGAGCAGAAGTTTGTCAGCACGGATTTCCTGGGCTTATCTGGGGGGCATCCTCCTCTTTTCGGGAACTGTAGCACCTGTTCTCACTGACTAAACACCATCAGAACAGACGCATCCACACTCCAGGGTAAACAACGGGGCTCTGCAGGGAACTGCTGTCCACCGGGGCTCTCCTGGCAGGCACAGGCCTGGACGCAGGGCTAGCACCTCACTGACCTCCTGCTCTAAGCCACAGGGGTGGGCGCTGGCAGGGGAAAAGGAGGCAGGCGAGGAAAGTCCATTTCGGCCTCTTCACAGAGCCGGAGGCTGGAGACTGCGGGGAGAAGGGACCTCTCTGCTCTGTGCTTCTGAGCGAGTTAAGTCGGGACAGTGGAAAAGGTACAGGCCACAATCCTTGACAAGAACCCCTAACAGCCCCACGGAGAAATGCACGCTAGGTGGAGAGATGGGGGCCGGGCGCCCTGGTGCTCTGAGCTCCTGCACTTAACCAGCTGGCTTCCTGCAGCACCCCTGCCCTCGGGAACGGGGGGGGACTCCCGCACTCACGTGCAGGACGTCCTGCCGGAGCCCGGCTGGCTCCACACAGCTGACCAGGCGCAGCAGCAGGTCCATAAGCGCTGAGGTGCCGATGTGCTTCAACACCAGGCTGATGAACTTGTCCTTCTTCTTCAAAAACGTAATCACCTGAAATCACACACACCTGAGAGGCAGGCGGGGCCGACCCTGACAACCCTGAGACACCTCCTCCAAAAACTCTCATGGGAAAGTTGAACTAGTAATTATATTAAGCAGAAATAACGGAAAGACCCAGACAAGATTGTAAGAAAGCCCCCTCAAGGGACAGGCAGAGTCCTACCAGGCAGTGGTGTATGTGAGGGTCTGGGCGGGGGGGGGGGGGGGGGGGCCACTGCACAGGGACCCCTGTGGCTCTGCACCGACAGGACACAGCTGTCCCAGGTGGGGCAGCACAGGCTGCCGTGAGCAGCTGCCATCCAATACCTACTGGTTCGGGTTTTTCCAACAGAAACGAATGGTATAGACAGAGCTGAGCTGAGCTGATGGCCATCACTGGCAGCCCCAGGCCTAGAACACACATCCAGGGAGCACAGAGTGCACAAGACGCCAGCTGCTGACCAAAACCCATGAGCGGTTGAAGGGGAAAGAAGACTGAGGTTTTAGAAAAGAAAAAGAGGCATCCTGCAGCTGGCTGATGACCAGTGCCAACAAGGTGTAGACAGCTAAGCGTGAGGCCATGGGGGGGCACAGCACCCATCACAGACGCAGTGGGCTGCTCAGACGGCGGATCCAAGGTAACAGTGGAGAAGTGAAGGCTGGGCTCGCTGCAAATTCAGCTCAACTCAGCCTACAGAAATAAGTGTCTGCTATGTCCAGGCTACTGGGCTGGGGGCTGGGGTAGACCCAGCCCTCCACTGGAAACAATGGGAACACAGAGAAGGCCCACCTGGCTGCAGGGCCTCAGCCTCACTCCCCAGTGCTGCAATGAGGAGGGACAGTAGGAAAAGGAGTGGTGGGAAAAGAGAAGGGGAAGAAGGAAGAGGAGGGGGTAGGGGAGGAGGAGAGGAGGATGGCTCTTTGAAAAGGATGATTAAACTTCTAGAAAGACGAAGGACAAAACAGAAGGTACAAATAACAATATTAAGAATGAAACAAGGGGCATCGCCAAAGATCCTACAGAAATAAAAACTATTATGAGAGGTTTGTAGTTTTGTTTTTATGTTTTTGAGACAAGGTCTTACTCTGTCCCCCAGGCTGGAGTGCAGTGGTGCGATCATAACTCACTGCAGCCTCCACCTTCTGAGCTCAAGTGATTCTCCCACCTCAGCCTCCCAAAATGCTGTAATAATAAGCAGGAGCCACCACACCTGCTATATTATGAGAAATTAATAGAAACAATTTTATGCCAGTTTTTGTAAATTTAGAAAAGAAATTTCCTTGAAAAAAAATACTTATCTGGCCAGGTGCGGTGGCTCACGCCTGTAATCCCAGCACTTTGGGAGGCCGAGGTGGGTGGATCACCTGAGGTCAGACCAGACTGAGGTCGAGACCAGCCTCAACATGGAGGAAACCCCGTCTCTACTAAAAATACAAAATTAGCCAAGCGTGGTGGTGCATGCCTGTAATCCCAGCTACTCGGGAGGCTGAGGCAGAATTGCTTGAACCTGGGAGGCGGAGATTGCGGTAAGCCAAGATCGCACCATTGCACTCCAGCCTGGGCAACAAGAGCAAAACTCTGTCTCAAAAAAAAAAACAAAAAAAAAAGGACTTATCTAGGCCAGGCGCAGTGGCTCACACCTGTAATCCCAACACTTTGGGAGGACGAGGCAGGTGGATCACCTGAGGTCAGGAGATCAAGACCATCCTGGCTAACATGGTGAAACCCCGTCTCTACTAAAAATACAAAAAAAATTAGCCGGGCATGGTGGTGGGCACGTGTAATCCCAGCTACTCGGGAGGCTGAGGCAGGAGAATAGCATGAACCCAGGAGGCAGAGCTTGCAGTGAGCCGAGATCACGCCACTGCACTCCAGCCTGGGTGACAGAGCAAGACTCCGTCTCAAAAAAAAAAAAAAAAAAAAAAAAAAAAAGGACTTATTTAAACTGACAAGAAACAAAATCAGAATAGTTCCAGAACATACTAAAACTCCACAAAATCTATAATTAATAGGCTCTCTATACAGAGAAGGTTTAATGGCCTAATAAATTCTTCCAAACATTTAAGAAAAAATAACCCCAGGCTGGGCATGGTGGCTCATGCCTGTAATCCTGGCACTTGAGGGAGGTCAAGGCAGGCGGATCACTTGATCTCAGGAGTTCAAGGCCAGCCTGGCCAACATGGTCTCTACTAAAAATATAAAAATTAGCAAGACGTGGTGGTGGGTGGCTGTAATCCCAGCTACTCGGAATGTTGAGGCATGAGAATTGCTTGAACCCAGGAGGCAGAGGTTGCAGTGAGCCGAGATCACACCACTGCACTCCAGCCTGGGGGATAGAGTGAGAGTCTATCTCCAAAAAAAGAAAAAATAACCTCTATTTTTTTTGAGCCCATAATGATCGATGGATCATATTCACACATTCACATCAATATTCTAGTTGTGATATTCTACTAGTGTTTTAGAAAATGTCACCATTGGAGGAAACATGTCAAAGCATACAAGGATTTTGTTTGTTTTTTTGAGATGCAGTCTCACTCTGGCCCAGGCTGGAGTGCAGTGGCGCAATCTCGGCTCACTGCAAGCTCCGCCTCCTGGGTTCATGCCATTCTCCTGCCTCAGGCTCCCGAGTAGCTGGGACTACAGGCACCCATCACTACGTCCAGCCAATTTTTTGTATTTTTAGTAGAGACAGAGTTTCACCGTGTTAGCCAGGACGGTCTCGATCTCCTGACCTTGTGATCCGCCCGCCTCGGCCTCCCAAAGTGCTGGGATTACAGGCGTGAGCCACTGCGCCAGGCCTTGTTTTTGTTTGAGACAGTCTCCCCTTTGTCGCCCAGGCTGGAGTGCAGAGTCACAATCTCGGCTCACTGCAACCTCCACCCTCGGGTTCAAGTGATTCTCCTGCCTCAGCCTCCTGAGTAGCTGTGATTACAGGTGCCGGCCACCACGCCCAGCTAATTTTTGTATTTTTAGTAGAGACAGGGTTTCACCATGTTGGGCCAGGCTGGTCTCAAACTCCTGACCTCAGATAATCCGCTTGCCTTGGCCTCCCAAAATGCTGGGATTACAGGTGTGAGCCAGCACGCCTGGCCTTTTTTCTTTTTTTTTGGAGACAGAGTCTCGCTCTGTTACCTAGGCTGGAGTGCAGTGGCCCAATCTTGGCTCACTGCAACCTCCGCCTTCAGGTTCAAGTGATTCTCCTGTCTCAGCCCCACCAAGGAGCTGGGATTACAGGCGTGTGCCACCACACCCAGCTAATTTTTATATTTTTAGTAGAGACGGGGTTTCGGCATGTTGGCCAGGCTGCTCTCAAACTCATGGGCTCAAGTGATCCACTCACCTCGGCCTCCCAAAGTGTTGGGTGGAGTGAGCCACTGCTCCTGGCCAAGGATTTTCTTCATATTATTTCATACAACCTCATGTAAATACAGTAATCTCAGTCAAAATTTCAATTAAAAAGATACCATTTAAAGGCCGGGTGTGGGGGCTCACACCTGTAATCCCAGCATTTTGGGAGGCCAAGGCCGGTGGATCACCTGAGGTCAGGAGTTCAAGACTGCCTTGCCAACATGGTGAAACCCCATCTCTACTAAAAATACAAAAATTAGCGGGTCATGGGGGCAGGCACCTGTAATCCTGGCTACGCGGGAGGCTGAGGCAGGAGAATCACTTGAACCAGGGGGCGGAGGTTGCAGTGAGCCGAGATTGTGCCCCTGCACTCCAGCCTGGGAGACAAAAGGGAGACTTTGTCTCAAACGAAAACAAAAACAAAATCCTTGTATGCTTTGACATGTTTCCTCCAATTGTGACATTTTCTAAAACACCAGTATAATATCACAACTAGAATACTGATGTATGTGAATATGATACATTGATCATTATGGGCTTGAAAAAAATAAGAGGTTCTTTTTTCTTTTTTTTGGAGACAGAATCTCACTCTATCCCCCAGACGGGAGGCTGAGGCACGAGAATCCATGAGAATCGCTTGAACCCAGGAGGTGGAGGTTGCAGTGAGCCAAGATTGCGCCACTGCACTCCAGCCTGGACGACAGAGCAAGACTCCGTCTCAAAAAAAAAAAAAAAAAAAAAAAAAGACACCACTCAAAATAATACAAAGATATCAAATACCTAAGAATAAATCTAGTGAAAGATGCTTAAGACTGCCATACAGAGAACTGCAGTGTATTTCTGAGAAATCAAAGTAGCCTGAGCTACCAGCTGTGCTGCTGTGGTGTGAAAGGAGCCCCGGGCAGCGTGCACAGGAATGGAAGTGGCTGTGCTACACTAAGACCTCACTCACACAATCAGTGATGGCTGCTTTTGGCCTGTGGACCACAGTTTGTCAGACCCAACTACAGCCAATGCAAACCTCATCAAAATTTCAGTAGGTTTATTTTTGGGGGGCAGGGTATGGAGAGGGAGAATGTAGAAAGTGACAAACTCATTCTAAAATTTGCTTATTCTAAAACAATAAAAAAGAGAAAGCAAAAATTAAAAAATAGAAAAGAAAAAAAATAAAAACAAAAAACAAAATAGGCCGTGTGCAGTGGCTCACACCTGTAATCCCAGCACTTTGGGAAGCTGAAGCAGGCAGATCACCTGAGGTCAGGAGTTTGGGACAAGCCTGGCCAACATGGTGAAACTCTGTCTCCACTAAAAAATATAAAAATTACCCCAGTGTGGTGGCAGGCGCCTGTAATCCCAGCTACTTGGGAGACTGAGGCAGGAGAATTGCTTGAACCCTGGAGGCAGAGGTTGCAATGAGCCAAGGTCACGCCACTGCACTCCAGCCTTGGCAACAAAGCAAAACTCCATCTCAAAAATCATCATCATCGTCGGCCGGGCGCGGTGGCTTACGCCTGTAATCCCAACACTTTGGGAGGCCAAGGTGGGCGGATCACGAGGTCAAGAGATTGAGACCATCCTGGCCAACATGGTGAAACCCTGTCTCTACTAAAAATACAAAAATTAGTTGGGCGTGGGGGTGCACGCCTGCAGACCCGGCTACTGGGGAGGCTGAAGCAGAAGAATCGCTGGAACCCGGGAGGCGGAGGTTGTGGTGAGCTGAGATTGCGCCACTGCACTTCAGCCTGGCGACAGAGCAAGACTCTGCCTCAAAAAAATCATCATCATCATCATCATGATCAAAAGGCAAAGAATCATAAAAATAATCTTGAAGAAAAACAAATAAAGAGATATAGAAGAAATGTGATTAGCCATGAACAGATGATGTGGAATCTGAGTGACAGAGACATGGGGGTTCATGAAATATTTTCTCTCATTTGTAGACGTTTGAAAGAATTCATAATGAAGGGCGGGGAAAATGCGGACGGTCATTTCACTGAAGCCCCACCTTTAGGCTACTCCCACAGTTTCAGGAAACACAGGAGGAAGGCTCAAGGCATCCCTGCCTCACAGCTGGCCGTGAGAACAAGCCAGCTGCTGGGTGATGGAAAGTTTCGCTCTTGTTGCCCAGGCTGGAGTGCAATGGCGCAATCTCAGCTCACTGCAACCTCTGCCTCCTGGGTTCAAGTGATTCTCCTGCCTCAGCCTCCTGAGTAGCTGGGATTACAGGCATGTGCTACCACGCCCGGCTAATTTTGTATTTTTAGTAGAGACGGGGTTTCTCCACGTTGGTCAGGCTGGTCTCGAACTCCTGACCTCAGGTGATCCACTCGCCTCGGCCTCCCAAAGTGCTGGGATTACAGGCGTGAGCCACCGCACCCAGCCAACAGAAGAAATGTTTAACAGTTCAGTTCATATTACTTTAATGCCTTAAGTACTGGGTGAGAGAATGGAAGAAAAATATTATATGAAGCAGTAAAATTATAAAGAAAATATCCGAAAGTGGCAGGGGAATAAGATCAGGTTATGGCAAATTATGAGATACATGCATCTAGTCACTGGGCTGCAAGGGCCAGGTAGTAAAGGTTTTTACAACATCTACTACCACCTCACAGCCACGACAATCCCCCGGCCCACACCACAGCTCCCCGCTGCCTCCACTCCCACTCCCATTCTGCCAGCAGCCTCACACCCAGCACGACCCACTGCTGCTGGCGACCTTCACTCACACTCAGCTTCAGAAGGAGCTGAGGTGAGGCAGTCCCCTGGCGGCCCTTGCAACTCTCAGATTTACAGCGCAAGGGAAGACGGCATTCCACTGAACACTCACATGCATGCTGAATGTCGTCAAGGGGAACCGCGGCCTTCGTGGAGCTGCGCTTTCTCAGAGCTCAAAGCAGATGTAAGATACTGGTTTGTGCCCTGACTGAATGTTTGATGGTATGAAACAATTACGGTTAATATTTTTGGAGTGTGATCATGAAATTCTGATTATATTTAAAAGAAAAAAGTCTTTATTTTAGAGATACATAGCTGGGCATCGTGGCTCACACCTGTAGTCCCAGGACTTTGGGAGGCCTGGGCAGGCAGATCACTTGAGCCCAAGAGTTCGAAACCAGCCTGGGTAACATGGGGAAACCCCATCTCTACAAAAAATATTTTAAAAACTAGCCAGGTGTGGTGTTATGTGCCTGTAGTCCCAGCTACTCAGGAGGCCGAGGTGGGAGGATCACCTGAGCTTGAGGAGGTTGAGACTGCAGTGGGCTGTGTTGGAGCCAGTGGACTCTAGCCTGGGCGTAGTGAGACCCTGTCTCAAAAATAAATAAATGTACATACATACTGAAATATTTACATGAGAAATAATCTGGTGTCTGGGATTTGTTTTAAAATACTCCCATCAGGGATGGGCGGGTGGGGCATGACACAGGAAAGAAGACTGGCCAAGGCGGACTGCAGGGTGCAGGCACAGGGACCACCACGCCTCTCTACCTGTGTGTCCACAGCCTGGAGGGGCAGAAGCCCAGGTCAGGTCACATGTAAGGCAGGAGCAAGGATGGACTCCAGGAAGACCCCGTTACAGCTGGCTGAGATGAATTCACTAACTGCTTTTGCAGAAGTCTAATGCTAGAAGTGACCTTTGTTTTGAAAGAATAAATGCTCTGGACAGACAGACACGCCACCCAGACAGATGAAGCTGCAGACCTGAGAAAGTGGATGTCCAAGGTCCTGCCATGATGCCCCAGGACCTCACACCTCCACCTGGTCAGTGACAGCACAAGATGGCCTACTTTGGGGCACTGTGCAGCTCCCAGGGATGGTGGGAAGTGCTGCTTATTCCAGAGCCAGCTATAAGAAACACTCCTTCTTTTTTTTGAGACAGTCTCACTCTGTTGCCCAGGCTGGAGTGCAGTGGTACGATCTCAGCTCACTGCAACCTCTGCCTCCCAGGTTCAAGCGATTCTCCTGCCTCAGCCTCCCAAGTAGCTGGGATGACAGGTGCGCACCACCACGCTCAGCTAATTTTTGTACTTTTAGTAGAGACAGGGTTTTGTCATGTTGGCCAGGCTGGTCTTGAACTCCTGACCTCAAGTGATCTGCCCAGCTCGGCCTCCCAAAGTGCTGGGATTACAGGCTTGAGCCACCGCACCCAGCCAGAAACACTCTTTCAAATTCCAGCTCCCAGACTGGCAAAACCCACACACTGCTCCACGTGTTGCGCAGAAGAGTCACAGATGCTGTTCCCGCGGCCGGAGGATGAGTCGCACCGCCAGGCTCACAGCAGGACACGTCAGCATCCACCATGACGGTGCCCCAAGTCACGGAGGCTTTGCACGTGATTTACCTGTTCGGTTTTTCTTGCAATGAGATTGCCAATGGTCTTGCTGAAAAAACTGGCGAGCAGAGGATTGAGAGGCGGCTCATGGTCCAAGAAGTCGTACAGGAGGCTCAGCAGGCTCTCGTCCCCACCGAGGCGGTCGCTGATCTGCGGCACATCACAAGTCAGAAGCTCACAGGCTGTGTTTGGATATCTAAAAGGGCACAGTCCAAGCACTGGAGGTGAAATTAGACTTCTCCAACTCTTAGGAAGCTGCTTACATAGTCTGCTTCTTAGGAAGCAGACCCACGTGATCAAACAAACACTACAGACCTCAGAACAGAACAAAAACGTGACTACCTGTGACCAGCTGGTATTTCTGACTACTAGAAGTTCAGTTTTTTAACATACCTTCTATGCTCCTCATGCCCTATACGCTGATATCTGACATTTTCTGACCCTACTCCCATTCTTTAAATAACCTTTCTCAGTCTTCCGGCTTTTCCTCTCTCCAGGCCTTCACACTCGCCTGCCAGGTCTCTCACCTCCCTCTAGGCCTTCACACTCGCCTGCCAGGCCTCTCACCTCTCTCCAGGCCTCTCACCTCTCTCCAGGCCTCTCACCTCCCTCTAGGCCTTCACACTCGCCTGCCAGGTCTCTCACCTCTCTCCAGGCCTCTCGCCTCTCTCCAGGTCTCTCACCTCTCTCCAGGCCTCTCACCTCTCTCCAGGCCTCTCGCCTCTCTCCAGGCCTCTCGCCTCTCTCCAGGCCTTCACACTCGCCTGCCAGGTCTCTCACCTCCCTCCAGGCCTTCACACTCGCCTGCCAGGCCTCTCACCTCTCTCCAGGCCTTCACACTCGCCTGCCAGGTCTCTCACCTCTCTCCAGGCCTCTCACCTCTCTGCAGGTCTCTCACTTCTCTCCAGGCCTCTCGCCTCTCTCCAGGCCTCTCACCTCTCTCCAGGCCTCTCACCTCTCTCCAGGCCTTCACACTCGCCTGCCAGGCCTCTCACCTCTCTCCAGGCCTCTCACCTCTCTCCAGGCCTCTCACCTCCCTCCAGGCCTTCACACTCACCTGCCAGGCCTCTCGCCTCTCTCCAGGCCTCTCACCTCTCTCCAGGCCTCTCACCTCTCTCCAGGCCTTCACACTCACCTGCCAGGCCTCTTACCTCTCTCCAGGCCTCTCACCTCTCTCCAGGCCTTCACACTCGCCTGCCAGGCCTCTCACTTCTCTCCAGGCCTCTCACCTCTCTCCAGGCCTTCACACTCGCCTGCCAGGCCTCTCACTTCTCTCCAGGCCTCTCACCTCTCTCCAGGCCTTCACACTCGCCTGCCAGGCCTCTCACCTCTCTCCAGGCCTCTTACCTCTCTCCAGGCCTCTCACCTCTCTCCAGGCCTTCACACTCGTCTGCCAGGCCTCTCGCCTCTCTCCAGGCCTCTCACCTCTCTCCAGGCCTTCACACTTGCCTGCCAGGCCTCTCACCTCTCTCCAGGCCTTCACACTCGTCTGCCAGGCCTCTCGCCTCTCTCCAGGCCTCTCACCTCTCTCCAGGCCTTCACACTCGCCTGCCAGGCCTCTCACCTCTCTCCAGGCCTCTCACCTCCCTCCAGGCCTTCGCACTCGCCTGCCAGGCCTCTTGCCTCCCTCCAGGCCTCTCACCTCCAGTCTAACCACACTGTTTCCGCGAGGCCACATCTGTGGCCATTTCCATCTTCCCCTCCACTGAGCCTCTCCTTTCCTTCTAAGCCATGCCCCTTCCATCAACAAACACAGACCACTCCATCCCTAGACGGGAGAAACACCCATCAGCCGCTCAGGAACCATGTGAGGGATGAGGCACTACGCAAGAACGTTATGACTAAGAAATACCAACACCTGTGAATAAGGTACTTTGCTCCCTCTTTTGTAACTGGTAGACAGAGGTGGGTGACAGCCATCGCCCCAGGAGAGGTACACCCCACAGCCCAGGACGCAGCCCTCAACAGCAGCCCCCATAGCAAGGCCTGGTGCATGACCCTGCCTCTGGGAATGCTGGGGAGGAGCCCAGGGCCCACCCAGTGGGAGCGTCCTGTAGGAATGGCTGTCTCAGAACAGGCCTGTCCTGACACCAGCAAGTGACCTGTCCTCTCTGTGTCTGGGTTTTCTCATCTGAACGTGCAGGTAAGGACGGGCACGGTGGCTTACACCTATAACCCCAGCACTTTGGGAGGGTGGGCAGGTGGATCACTCTTGAGCTCAGGAGTGGGAGACTAGCCTGGGCAACATGGTGAAACTCCGTCTCTCCAAAAAAAAAAAAAAAAAACAAGAAAGAAAGAAAAATTAGCCAGGCGAGGTGGCACATGCCTGTGGTCTCAGCTACATGGGAGGCTGAGGTGGCAGGATGGCTTGAGCCCGGGAGGCGCAGGATGGCTTGAGCCCGGGAGGCAGAGGTTGCCGTGAGCCAAGATCACACCACTGCACTCCAGCCTGGGTGGCAGAGTAAGACTCTGACTTAAAAAAAGAATATATGCCGGGTGCAGTGGCTCACACCTGTAATCCCAGCACTTTGAGAGGCCGAGGCAGGTGGATCACCTGAGGTCAGGAGATTGACACCATTCTGGCCAACATGGTGAAACCCCATCTCTACTAAAAATACAAAAATTAGCCAGGTGTGGTGGTGGGCGCCTGTAATGCCAGCTACTGGGGAGGCTGAGGCAGGAGAATCACTTGAACCTGGGAGGCAGAGGTTGCAGTGAGATGAGATCAAGCCACTGCACTCCAGTCTGGGTGACAGAGCGAGACTCTTGTTTCCAGAAAAAAAAAAAAAAAAAAATAGAATGTGCAGGTGACAGTGCCTGCCCATGCCTGTCACACAGCAAATGTGTGCTCAAGGTCAGCTGCTATGACCTTCCTTCTCTTGCCAACATGTGGCCACCGCCAGGTAGAGAGGCAGCCCTAGCACTGGACCTAAGCCAAGGTGGTCCACGCGACCGGCTGGAGGGGCCAGGGTTTGAGAGACTCTATAGGAAACAGCTGGCCAGGCCTGGCAGCCGACCAAGTGTGGAAGGGGAAGAAACGCAATGATCTCGGCTGGCTGGGGGGTGGGTGTGCCTCATCAGCCCAGACAAGAAAGTGCCACTTTTAGAGCTCTGAGGAACAGCGCCTGTGAAGGGCAGGTGGAGTGTAGAGGGTCAAAGAGTGGCCCAGCAGGCTTGGGTTTGGGAGAGAGGACCTGGCTGGGGCCCGATGGAGTAGGGTCAGGGCACAGGGGCACTGCAAGCTGGATGTGTGGGCAGAGAGGGGGCCTGAGAGCTGGCGCAGGGGGCTGGGGCAGGCCCAAGCTCATCCCCTCACTAGCCGACCTCACTAGCCGAACTTTCTGGCCTTTAGTGTCCTTGTCTGTTAATTGGGGCAGGCAGTACCCACCCTGTGGGATGTCAGAGGGGCTGGCCAGCAAGTGGACAACACATGGTCCCTCAGGGCAGGAGGACCAGAGAGCAGGAGAGGAGGGCCAGGTTGGCAGCCTCAAAGGCCACAGTGAGGCCCCAGGTCTACCAGATCTCTAACACTAAGACCGGTGAGCTGGGCAGGGGGAGGAAGTCACATCCCATGGGGTGAGGAGGAAGATCAAACGTAAGGAAGCAGAGAAACATCCAAATCATTCCTTGAAGAAGTGTCTCAATACCACAGGGAACAAACTGATTTTTTTTTTTCTTGAGACAGAGTCTTGCTCTGTTGCCCAGGCTGGAGTGCAGTGGTGCTATCTCAGCTCACTGCAACCTCCGCCTCCCGGGTTCACGTCCTGTCTCAGCCTCCTGTGTAGCTGGGATTACAGGCATGCACCACCATGCTCGGCTAACTTTTGTATTTTTGGTAGAGACGGGGTTTTACCATGATGGCCAGGCTGGTCTCGAACTCCTGACTTCAAGTGATCTGCCTGCCTTGGCCTCCCAAAGTGCTGGGATTACAGGCGTGAGCCACCACACCCAGCTCCAAACTCATCTTGTCTACACACGGACAAACGTGTGCACACATGGCACAAACCAAGCTAGAAGACACTGATTCTCTAGATGGAGGGACTAAGATTTTCTTTTTTCCTTTATCAACATTTTACAGTTATTCTTCAAATGACAGGTGCTGCTCTAGTAGTTTTAAAAATGTATACAAGGTATAGAAATTCCAGTCAAACACAGCAGATGGAGCACACAGGCTTGTTCATATTCCCTCTCAAACTCCATCTCAAATAACACAAAGAATTAAAAAGACAAGAATGGAGAGGCAGAAACGACGAACCAGCCTGGAGGACTGAAGCAGCCGGCCACGTGAAGACTGACTTGGCACAGGGAAGGCTGAGTTTCAGGAGCCCACAGAAGGGGCATCAACTAGAGATGAGAATTCAGGCCACAGAACTCCAGAGAGGCCTGGACACTGATTTGGCGGCCAGTAAGGGCAGGGTGGGCTGAGAACTTACAGGCCAGGGCAGTGGGACATGTCCCTTCCTTATGGCTCCTGGGGCCAGGGACACCAGGCACAGCCACAGGGTGACCAGACACCATCCAGAAATAGGGAACTTGGTAAAAAAAAAAAAAAAAAAGAAACTGGGGTGCCCCCAGCCCTCTTCCCAACTCAGCTCCTGATACTGACAGGTCCATTCCCCACAGGGGAGAGCTAGAAGGATTCTTTTCTGGGAAAAATAATGGGACAAAGAGAAAAGTCAACTAGTGGCCTCTAAGCTGTGGTGAGTAAGCCCCATGCAGATCCCAAACTCTGTGCAGGATCTAGGGCCCCACTTATGAAAGAAGCGTGGTGCTGACCAAGCAGAAAACAAGGCACACGGAGGAGAGCAAGTGTAGAGAACAGAAGGAAACTCTTTTAAACTACAATGTTCTCAGAGATGACACATTAAGACTGTGTATCCATGAATGAGAACTTGAAGCTTTTATTAAAATATATGAGAATAAGAAACTGCTCTTAGAAATTAAAAATATGGGCCAGGCGTGGTGGCTCACGCCTGTAACCCCAGCACTCTGGGAGAACAAGGCGGGCGGATCACTAGGTCAGGAGATCAAGACCATCCTGGCTAACACGGTGAAACCCTGTCTCTACTAAAAAATACAAAAAAATTAGCCGGGCGTGGTGGCAGGCGCCTGTACTCAAGAGGCTGAGGCAGGAGAATGGCGTGAACCCAGGAGGCGAAGCTTACAGTGAGCCGAGATTGTGCCACTGCATTCCAGCCTGGGCGACAGAGTGAGACTCCGTCTCAAAAAAAAAAAGAAAAAAGAAAAAGGGAGGCTGAGGCGGGAGAATGGTGTGAACCCAGGAGGCAGAGCTTGCAGTGAGCCAAGATCGCATCACTGTACTCCAGCCTGGGCGACAGAGCGAGACAGACTCTGTCTCAGAAAAAAAAAAAAAAAATTGGCCTGGCGCGGTGGCTCACGCCTGTAATCCAGCACTTTGGGAGGCCGAGGCGGGCGGATCACGAGGTCAGGAGATCGAGACCATCCTGGCTAACACGGTGAAATCCCGTCTCTACTAAAAAATATAAAAAATTAGCCGGGCGTGGTGGTGGGCGTCTGTAGTTCCAGCTACACGGGAGGCTGAGGCAGGAGAATGGCGTGAACCCGGAGGTGAAGGTTGCAGTGAGCCGAGATCGTGCCACTTCACTCCAGCCTGGGCGACAGAGCCAGACTCCATCTCAAAAAAAAAATAAAATTTTAAAATATGACAGATGTTAAGCATGGTGGCACCTGTGGTTCCAACTGCTTGGGAGGCTGAGATGGGAGGATCACTTGAGCCCAGGAGTTTGAGTCCAGACTGGGCAACATAGCAAGACCTCACATCTAAAAAACAAACAAAAAATAATGGTAGAACTTTGAAAAGTCAATAAAAGGATGAGAACTTAAAAGATGAAGAAGTCTCTCAGATGTAGGCCAAAAAGGCAAAGTACAAAACATTAAAAGCAAAAATAAGGAAAGCATTAATTTGAGTAATCTAACACCTCATTAGAAGTCCCAGAAAGAGAAAAGAGGGAAAATATCAAAGAAACAATATGAGAAATTTCCCTCAGCTAATGTCACAAATGTACAGACTAAAAGGGTTCAGGGAGCCCAGAACAACAAATGAAAGAAATGGATATCCACTGTTGACCTCATTTGTCTACTCGGGATATCTTTGCTTACTTATACAACTTTTCCCTTAGAGTCAATATTTTTCTGTTTGCTTGATTTTGTACTTACCTATTACTAAATTCGCCCAAGCTCTGACTATGAAACTCTCTTGGCTCAATGATGCTCTTTGGGGATCCCCTGTCCTGACCCATGGAATAATTCCACATTACTGGGAAATTGAGAAACAATAGGGCTTAGAAAAGAACCTAAATGCCCTCAGAGAGGAGAGAAAACAGGTGACACACGTGAGCCAGGAGCTTGCTACATCAGACTTGTGAGACTAGAGGACAACACGGAGGCTCCCAAAGCCCAGGGGGTAATGCCCAGTCTGAACTTCTAATCAGAGGGTCTCAAACACGCAGGCCCGATGCCCTAAACATCACCACCCACGAACTCCATCTCAGGAAGCTGTTTTAACAGAGTGTAATTTACCACAGGAAGTCAACCGAAGAAGAGGAAGAAGCCATGACAGGAGATGGACAATGGATGTGGAGTGGATGGTCAGTGGCCCAGGAACTGTTATGGCAAAGTTCCCTTCCTCCCAGTGTTTCCCTTGGTGGAGACGCTGTCTTTCTTTCAGTTCTGCCCTGAGTGCAGCAAGTCTCTCTGCGGCAGGGGGTGCTTCCTGGGGGCCCGCTGTGACCCACTGCTGCTTCCCACTGGGTGAGCAGTTCTAATTCTGCAATCAGGAATGAGGAAGCCCACAGCTCAGAGTTATAAATGACACTGCTTTATGAGTAATGAAAGCGACAGCTTGGTGTCTCTTACTGACTCTTCTGTCTTATTTCTCAAATAATCCAGATCTTGGCAAGCAAACTAGACAAGAGCTCACGAAAAGACCAGGAGCATCCCCAGGCTCTAGGGCTGACCATGTGACTGCTGCTGCCTCCAGCCCTGGGGTGGCGCCCTCTGCTGTGGCCTGGGCAGGCAGTGCTCTGACTCCAGAAGGTGACCAGCCATCTTACAGTCACAGTGGCTTTTCAGCCAAGGGCTGCTCCGCAGAAGCAGGGCTAGCTGCATGTGAGGCCTTAGGAAGAGGCAGCGTGTGGGCCTCACCTCCCTGGAGCAGCCCCTGGCTTTAATTAAGCAGGGTCAGTGGCTGCTACCTGATCCCAATCCACCCAAACCAAGTGCAGCTTCTCTTGAGCACAGACAGCTCAGGCAAATTCTCCACTTTCAAGAAGAGTCCTCCCATAATTGAGCCTGTGGTCATGGAGGTGTTCTGCCAGGTCTGCAGGAGAACCCTGACCTCCAAGGCTAACAGGTTGCGGGAGGCGGTGTTTAACCTGGCAGTGCCACTAGGCAAGGATAGCAGAGTCGCGAAGCACAGGTGCTGCTCTGTATAAATGAAGCCTTCTTGGAATGTAGCCCCATCCATTTGTTTACTATTTTCTGTAGCTGCTTTCATGCTACAACTTCAGAGTTGAGCCGTTGCAACAGAGACCTTACAACCTGCAAAGCCTAAAGTATTTACTCTCTGACTTTTCATAGATACAGTCTGCCAACTCCTGGTCTACATATATATTTATATCTTCTCCATCTTTTTTTATTTTTTAAAGAGATGACAGTCTTGCTGTGTCATGCAGGCTGGAGTGCACTTACTCTCTCAGCTTCCCAAGTAGCTGGGACTACAGGCACCGGCCACCACGCCTGGCTAATTCTTTGTATTTTTAGTACAGACGGGGTTTCACCGTGTTAGTCAGGATGGTCTCCATCTTCTGACCTCATGATCCGCCCGCCTCAGCCTCCCAAAGTGCTAGGATTACAGGCGTGAGCCACCACGCCCGGCCCCTATTCTATTTCTCAAAAAAAGTGTTTTTTGTTTCACTTTATTTACAAGGCTAGTCATGTGACGCAGACAGACTGAAGAAGGAAGAAAGAAATCTTAACTGCTTGTGACCAATTAGGTGTAAACACTGCTGCACTTTGACTAGCCTCAAAAAAAGTGTCTTCTGTAATCTTAGCACTATCCTAGCACTTTGGGAGGCCGAGGCAGGCAGATTGCCTGAGCTCAAGAGTTCAAGACCAGCCTGGCCAACATGGTAACCCCGTCTCTTCTAAAAATACAAAAAATTAGCCAGGCATGCTGGTGTGCGCCTGTAGTCCCAGCTACTAAGGAGACCGAGGTAGGAGAACTGCTTGAACCCAGGAGGCGGAGGTTGCAGTGAGCCAAGATCGCGCCACTGCACTCCAGCCTGGTTGACAGAAAGGACTGTGTTTCCAAAAAAAAAAAAAAAAAAGTCTTAATATGTTTTTTTTTTTAAATAAAGAAATAGAGATGGGGGCCGGGTGCAGTGGCTCATGCCTGTAATCCCAGCACTTTGGGAGGCTGAGGCAGATGGATCACCTGAGGTCGGGAATTCGAGACCAGCCTGGCCAACATGGTGAAACCCTGTCTCTACTAAAAATACAAAAAATTAGCTGGGTGTGGTGATGCATGTCTGTAATCCCAGCAACTCGGGAGCCTGAGGCAGGAGAATCACTTGAACCTGGGACGCGGAGGTTGTAGTGAACCGAGATCGCACCACCGTACTCCAGCCTGGGCGACAGAGTGAGACTCCATCTCAGACCAAAAAAAAAAAAAAAAAAGAGATGGAGTCTCGCTATATTGCCCAGGCTGGTCTTCAACTCCTGGGCGTAAGTGATCCTCCCACCTCAGCCTCCCAAAGTGCTGGGATTACCAGCGTGAGCCACCACACCTGACTTTCATGTTTTTTATACAAGTGATATGTGCACGTGCTTTAAAACCTCAGATGACAGGGCTGGTGAGGACAGGCCCCCCTGCCCCCATCCCAAGTCACACTCCTCAGAGAAAAGCTCAGAGATGACAAGGCTGGTGAGGACAGGCCCCCCCGCCCCCATCCCAAGTCACACTCCTCAGAGAAAAGCTCAGAGATGACAAGGCTGGTGAGGACAGGCCCCCTGCCCCCATCCCAAGTCACACTCCTCAGAGAAAAGCTCAGAGATGACAAGGCTGGTGAGGACAGGCCCCCCCGCCCCCATCCCAAGTCACACTCTCCTCAGAGAAAAGCTCAGAGATGACAAGGCTGGTGAGGACAGGCCCCCCTGCCCCCATCCCAAGTCACACTCCTCAGAGAAAAGCTCAGAGATGACAAGGCTGGTGAGGACAGGCCCCCCTGCCCCCATCCCAAGTCACACTCCTCAGAGAAAAACTCAGAGATGACAGGGCTGGTGAGGACAGGCCCCCTGCCCCCCAGCATCCCAAGTCATGCTCCTCAGAGGCAATCACTGGACTCTTTCAGCAGTTTTCTCCAACGTTAACCTCCATGTTTCTAAATAATACACACATACATTTCTTCTTTGTTCACCAATTTTAGACATTATGAATTAACTTCCTACAATGGAAGGCAAAGCTTTCCCACCACCCGACTTCCCTCTCCCTTTCCCTCCCTCCGAGTCACAGGGTAATTTAGATGGATATCCTGACCTGGATTGTTTACTCAGGGCATCTCTGCTTACTTAGGGAAGTCTTCCCCTAGTCCTCTTGCTCTCCCTCCGAAGTCACAGGGTAATTTAAATGGATATCCTGACCTGGGTTGTTTACTCAGGGCATCTTTGCTTACTTACGGAAGTCTCCCCCCAGGTTCATAGTCCTCTTGCTCTGTTTGCTTGGTTCTGTACTTATCTACTACTGATTTCTCCCAAACTCTATGAGACTCTCCCGGCTCACTGATGCTACTCTGGGATTCCTGTCCTGATCCAGAAGACCCCTCCCCACTCTCCTTGCCCCATACCTGTCTCTCAACTCTAATTTGTCACCAGACTGGGCCACATTTGAAAGTGGGAGGGATGGGGACTGTCAACAGTGATGCTGACACAGCAGGTGTGACCAGAAGCCACAGCAGCTTCTGGCTGCAGCTGCCCCACCCTAACCCTCAGTTCCTTACAGCAAGGCCCTGCTCAGGCTAGAACTCTCCTCCCCAACCCAGCACTGCTCCCCTTACCTAAGAGGACGCCTGACCACCCTAAATGAAGTACTGACCACCCCCTGCCACAGGGACACCCTGGCTCACTATCCTGCTTTATCTTCCTTCTAAGACAAAGGCCAGCAAAGAGTTTCTATAAATGGCCAGGGAGGAATTATTTGCCGTGGCCCCTGCTGGAGCTGCTCAACGCTATGAGACGTGGATGAGTGTGGCTGTGTCTAACAAGACTTTATTGGTGGATACTGAAACGTGTTTCATATCGTTTTCATGTGTGTGACAAAATATTCTTCCTTTGATTTTTTTTTTTTTTTTTTGAGACGGAGTCTCACTCTGTCGCCCAGGCTGGAGTGCAGTGGAGCGATCTTGGCTCACTGAAACCTCTACCTCCCAGGTTCAAGCAATTCTCCTGCCTCAGCCTTCTGAGTAGCTGGGATTATAGGCACATGCCACCACACCCAGCAAATTTTTGTATTTTTAGTAGAGACGGGGTTTCACCATGTTGGTCAGGCTGGTCTCGAACTCCTGACCTCGTGATCTGCCCGCCTTGGCCTCCCAAAGTGTTGGGATTACAGGTGTGAGCCACCACACCCGGCTTTTTTTTTTTTTTTTTTTTGAGCCAGAGTCTTGCTCTGTTGCCCAGGCTGGAGTGCAATGGCGCAATCTCAGCTCACTGCAACCTCCACCTCCTGGGTTCAAGCCATTCTCCTGCTTCAGCCTCCCGGAGTAGCTGAGATTACAGGCGTGCGCCACTACGCCCTGCTAATTTTTGTATTTTTATTAGAGACGGGGTTTCACCATGTTGGCCAGGCTGGTTTCGAACTCCTGACCTGAGGTGATCCGCCCGCCTTGGCCTCCCAAAGTGCTGGGATTACAGGTATGAGCCACGATGCCCGAGCTTCGATTTTTTTTTCCCCAACCATTTAAACAGGTAAAGGTAAAACGAGCCAGGCACAGTGGCTCACACCTATAATCCCAGCACTTTGGGAGGCCGAGGTGGGTGGATTGCTTGAGCCCAGGAGTCTGAAACCAGCCTGTGCAACGTGGTGAAACCCCGTCTCTACAAAAAAAATACAAAAATAAATTAGCCGGGCATGGTGGCACGCACCTGTAGTGCCAGCTACTAGGGAGGCTAAGGCGGGAGGATCACTTGGGACCAGGAGGCAGAGACTCTAGTGAGCCGAGATCATGCCACTGCACCCCAGCCTGGGCGATGGAGTGAGACCTTGTCTCAAAAAACTAAAATAAAAAATAATGTAAAACCATTCTTCACTCACAGGACACACGGAAAAGGACATGACCTGCAGGCCGAGGTTTGCTAACCTGTATGTATCTCCCACTTCCTAATGAGGCGTCACCTGGGGACACTGCGGGTCATGTGTGCCTCGCAGATCTGCACCATGAGGAGCTGGAGGCCAGCTCCGCCCTGTTCTCCCTCTCGCCCCAGCCCCATCCTTGCTCACCCTTCTGTCCTGACTCAAGGCCCTGAGGCTCCAGCCATCTCGCCACACTGCCCCCTCCCTCTGTGTCATCTCCTAGCATCCTGGCCAGGGCTGAATGGGCGTTTCAGGAAAAACTCTGAGAACGGACGGTACCACGAATGACAATGATCTATTTCCTTCGAGCTGAAGACCCTAAAATGAAGCATGTCCCAGGACTGTAGGTCAGATACTGCATATCTCTCCTGCCTAGCCATTTTGTGGCCTGGAGCCAACCCTGCTGACAGTACAGCCTTATGCTGCAATAACACCTGCATCTCTAGCATGGGATCAGTCTTTTTTTCCCAACATATTGCCACTCAAAACACTCTGACGTGTACCAACCTAAAATTAACTTTACTTAGAATGAAAAAATGCCGGCACAAGACAGTCAAAACTCTTTTTTTTTTTTTTTTTTTTGAGACAGAGTCACACTCTGTCACCCAGGATGCAGTGCAGTGGTGTGATCTCAGCTCACTGCAAGCTCCACCTCCCGGGTTCACACCAACCTCCTGCCTCAGCCTCCTGAGTACAGTAGCCTCTGGGACTACGGGCGCCCGCCACCATGCCCGGCTAATTTTTTGTATTTTTAGTAGAGACGGGGTTTCACCGTATTAGCCAGGATGGTCTCAATCTCCTGACCTAGCGATCTGCCTGCTTCGGCCTCCCAAAGTGCTGGGATTACAGACATGAGCCACTGTGCCCGGCCTTTTTTTTTTTTTTTTTTTTTTTTAAAGACAGGGTTTCACTCTTGTCACCCAGGCTGGAGTGCAGTGGCACAATCATGGCTCACTGCAGCCTCAACCTCCCAAGTTCAAGTGATCCTCCTACCTCGGCCTCCCGAGTAGCTGGAACCAGAGGTCTACAACACCACATCTGGCTAATTTAAAAAAAAAAATTTAATAGAGACAGGGTCGCACTATGTTGCCCAGGCTGGTCTCAAATTTCTGGGCTCAATTAATCCAACCTCCTCAGCCTCCCAAAGTGCTGGGATTACAGGCGTGAGCCACTGCACCCAATCTCCAAACTCTTCAACCTCAGACCCCATGGGAGTGCCCTCCTCACTTCTCACATGGGGTGGATTTTTACGGCTCGCTTCTTCATCAGAAATCCCCAACTATGGCCATCCTCAGACACTGCCTGCGGCCTGCCTGCAGCACTGCCTGGCGTACTGGCCCGTCACAGCTTTGGTACATACTTGAAGCGGACCTTCTCCTCCATGTCCAGGGGCGGATCCTGTGTGATGAGGCTCACCAGCTCCTCCATGCACTGCTGCCTGCACAGGAAGTCCAGCAGCTTCTGGTTCTGAGCCTTACACTCCTGCAAGATGTCATCTTCATCCATTAACTCCTGCAGCGTCACATGCTCCTTGTCCAGCAGCTTGTCAACATGGGACGTGGTGTTCAAGTCAAACTTCCAGAACATCGTGACGGCCGCAGAGCTGCAAACGAGGGCAAAGGGGTCACGTCTCTCACCCTTGCAAATCCACCTTCAGCAACACTAGACCCAAGTCCAAAGGGGTCATTTCTCTCACCTCTGCAGATCCACCCTCAGCAACACTAGACCCAAGTCCTGGAAGTCCATCTGCAGCATGAACACACAAGATTCCCAGAGCTCAGGATGGTGGGGGCCCTCCCCAGTAACCATTCCCATCAGACCTCTCCAGGTTGGGCTCACAAAGTTAGCAGACTTCCCAGCTGCTCAACAGCTCTGAGGCTGCACCCCCAGCTCCAGGACCTGCCTCCCCAGGTTCTCCTCTGGGCTAACCCCCTCCTTTGCCCTCCTTCCCCACACTGTCCCCCACCCACCAGCGTGCTCGACATGCCCCTCAATGCTCTTGCTTGCTCTGTAGTTCTGTTAGGCGAATGCGCCCAGGTGTCTCTCCCATGTGTCAGGGATGTCTTCTGTCCTGAGTGAACACTGGACATCTCCCCTCTGAAAGTCTCACATTTGTGAGCAAACTCAGCAAGTCAAAATCAAGACAGCTGATGCTGCCTGACCCTGCGCTCACTCCTCTGCCTCCCCCAGCCACCCGGCCCATCCACTCATCGTCCCCATCTTGCTGAATCACACCCAGGGTTCTCTCTGAAGCAGGCACCTCCTCACACATACACCAACTGGGCACTAGGTCTTGCCATAGGCACCTGAGGAATCACCACTGATCCAGCCCCTCCTCTGCTTCCCAAACATCCCAGCTCTTGCTGTCTTTGTCTGGACAGTCCTTCCTAGTGTCTCACATGTCATTCTGCAGGCCAGGGCTGGTTAGCAACAAAGTTTTCACTATTCTGATAGAAAGTGAAAACATAAAGCCTACATCTTTCACAAAGTTAAAACTTTACTGTGAGATTACAAATCTTTTCAATGTTACATGAAACATTTTAAAAATTATAGTAATAGTAGATGGAATTTATCTTATCTAATTTTTTACTTAGAAAAACAAAAGGCTGACCACAGATGTAAATGCCCAGGTTTGTCTGACTGTAAAGCCGGTGATGCCCTAGGACCCCTGACACGGGAGCCTCCATCGTCCAGCCACACTCCCACAGCCTCTGGCTTTGGCTAATTCAAACTCACTTGATGTCTACACATCTCATCTCAGCTCCAAAACCTCTCCTGGCCCCAGATACCTACCTGGCTGCTTTCTACAGCATGCCACCAGGTCCTCTGGGCAGCTCCTGGGTCTCCTGGACCCCATCCGCACTACAAGGATGCTGCATTTTTCTTCCCATGCAGATGGCACTTTCCTACTTGTACCCTCCTGCACAGGCTCCCCAGCACGCGACAGCTGCAGCTAAGGGTGAGGCCCTGCAGCCTCCGATCTATACACACCACTGGGCGGGCACTGCCCATGGGCTTAGAGGTGAAGAGCCCAGAGCTGGAGCTCTTGAGGCCCCAAAATGAAGCTGCTTTGACTTTCAGCACAAGGGACTCCATATATACACTGACACTACCTTCAGTTTTGATTTTGGGGTGGGTTTTTTTTTTTTTTTTTTCTGTAGAGACAGGGATTCACTATGTTGCCCAGGTTGGCCTCGAACTGCTGAGCTCAAGCAATCTGCCCTCCTTGGCCTCCCAAAGTGCTGGGATTACAGGCACTGAGCCACCAAGCCTGGTCTGCAATCAGTTTTCCTTCTAGGTCTTAAGATCTTCCTTATTCTTCTTGTAAGGGGTGTGGATAGATATTTATGAGTGGTAGCGGCAAACTTCAGAGGACCAGAAATAATGATTCCTAAAAGGACTTTCAGGAAAAGATGGCTGCCTCCACACACATATCAGATACTCCTCTCTCTGAAATGCACTACCAGATGTCTCACGTACTTGGATGACACACAATCCAGGGAAAGAAGTGAATCCAACCTTGTCAAGGCTTTTTTTTTTTTTTTTTGCCAAAATCAGAACTTGCAAGATAGGGCAGTTACAGGTGACTTCTGGACGGTCCTGTTTCTAGCCACAGAGAAGGTGGAAGCCTGGGTGGATTACAAAAGACCATCGACGAAATAGGATCCTGCTAGAAGAATTTTTCTAGTAGTATAATTTAAAACAACTGGATTAATCCAAAAGACCAAAACTAATAATAAAAATACAAGGAGATAAGCAACAAAAACAGAGGAGACAAAATAAAAAAAAAAAACAGCAAGATACCAGACATAAATTCAACCATTTCAATAAATGCATTAAATGCAAATAGTCATTTCAATTAAAGACAAACATTGTCAGACTGGATTTTATTTTTAAAGATGGTGTTTCGCCATGTTGTCCAGGCTGGAGTGCAGTGCCACAATCATAGCTCACTGCAGGCTCAAGCAGTCCTCCCATCTCAGCCTTCCAAGCAGCTAGGAATACAACCAAGAAATACCATGACCAGCTAATGTTTACATTTTTTTTTTTTTTTTTTTTTTTTGAGACGGAGTCTCACTCTGTAGCCCAGGCTGGAGTGCAGTGGCACGATCTTGGCTCACTGCAACCTCCGCCTCCCAGGTTCAAGTGATTCTCCTGCCTCAGTCTCCTGAGTAGTTGGGATTACAGGCATGCACCACCATGCCCAGCTGATTTTTTGTATTTTTAGTAGAGATGGGGTTTCACCATACTGGTCAGGCTGGTCTCGAACTCCTGACCTCGTGATCCGCCCACCTAGGCCCCCCACAGTGCTGGGATTACAGGTGTGAGCCACCGCGCCTGGACTATGTTTAAATTTTTTATAGAGATGGGGTCTCACTATGTTGCCCAGGCTGGTCTTGAACTCTAGGCCTCAAGCGCCTTGGCCTCCCAAAATGTCGGGATTACAGATGTGAGCCACTGCATCCGGCCTGAATTTCTTTTCTTTTTTTTTTTTTTGAGACGGAGTTTTGCTCTCTCACCCAGGCTGGAGTGCAGTGGCACGACCTCGGCTCACTGCAATCTCCGCCTCCTGGGGTCAAGCGATTCTCCTGCCTCACCCTCCTGAGTAGCTGGGATTACAGGCGTGTGCCACCACGCCCAGCTAATTTTTGTATTTTTAGTAGAGATGGGGTTTTACCATGTTAGTCAGGCTGGTCTTGAACTCCTGACCTCGTGATCTGTCCGCCTCGGCCTCCCAAAGTGCTGGGATTACAGGTGTGAACGACCGCGCCCGGCCCTGAATTTCTTTTATTATGTTGACACATATTTAGGATTGTTATGTCTTCTCTTTTTTTTGAGACGGAGTTTCACTCTCATTGCCCAGGATGGAGTGCAATGGTGCAACTTTGGCTCACTGCAACCTCTGCCTCCTGAGTTCAAGCGATTCTCCTGCCTCAGCCTCCCAAAATGCTGGGAATACAGGTGTGAACCACCACGCCTGGCCTGTTACGTCTTCTTGATGATTAATTCTTTGATCATTTTGAAATGTCCTTCATGATCTCTGGCAACATACCTTGTTTTGAAGTCGGCTTTGTCTGATATTAACATAGTACACCAATCTCACCATTCTTGTGATTCATGTTTGGTATGTCCTTTAACATCCTTTGACTTTCATCTACTTGTGCCTTTATATTTAAAATGTTTCTCTTGAAAAACGGCATATGGGCTGGGCGCGGTGGCTCCCGCCTGTAATCTCAGCACTTTGGGAGGATGAAGCGGGTGGATCACCTGAGGTCAGGAGTTTGAGACCAGCCTGACCAACATGGTGAAACCCCATCTCTAATAAAAACACAAAAATCAGATGGGCGTGGTGGTGGGTGCCTGTAATCCCAGCTACTTGGGAGGCTGAGGCAGGAGAATCGCCTGAACCCGAGAAGCAGAGGTTGTAGTAAGCCGATATCACACCACTGCACTCTGGCCTAGGTGACAGTGAGAGACTCCATCTCAAAAAAAAAAAGAAAAAAAAAGAAAAAGAAAAAAGAAAAAAATCTCCGCATAACAAGAACATTTCTATGTTTCTATCAGCTCTCCCCACATTCTAAGAAACACTCAAAAATGATCACATCAGGCTGGGCACTGTGGCTCATGCCTGTAATCCCAGCATTTTGCGGGGCCAAGGCGGGCAGATCACTTGAGGTCAGGAGTTCGAGACCAGCCTGGCCAACCCCATCTCTACCACAAATACAAAAATTAGCCAGGCATGGTGGTGCACATCTGAAATCCCAGCTAGTCGGGAGGCTGAGGCAGGAGAATCACTGGAACCCAGGAAGTGGAGGTTGCAGTGAGCTGAAATCACGCCACTACACTCCAGCCTGGGCGACAGAGCGAGAGCCGAGATCACGCCACTACACTCCAGCCTGGGCGACAGCGCGAGACTCCATCTCAAAAAAAAAAAAAAACAAAAAAAGATCACATCAGAGACATCCTTTAAGAGTTCACTGCAATGGCACTGGTTTAGTTACAGCTAATTTCACTGTCAAAGAAACTGGTATAAACTGACTCCAGAACATTTACTAACATAATATTACATACTTCTTTTTTCCAAGTTTTCTCCTATCTGCACAACTACACCCTATCCTCCAAACAGATGCTAGCATCTTCCTGGTTGGCCCTCACCTACAGGGAAGGCCTTCCATTTCCTTCCCTACATGACCTCAAGGTCAGCACTGGCAGCATCTTCAGAACAAACAAGTGGTCATGGCCTGGCTTGTTGGTTTAAGGAATTTCTGGTTACATCGGAAGTCTCAACAGAGCTTAAGGACTCCTCTCACATCCTGACTCCCATCCTCAGTGGTCCATCTGGGATGTCAAGCACAGTATGACCAACATCTTCTAGATTCTTACCCAAGGCTAAATGAAAGGAACTTGAAGTTCAGCTTCTTTCCTTTTTCAGGATGGCATATCCGTCAGACAGAAGGTAGACTGCAACAGAATGTTGCCCATATGATCATATAGTTCCATGAAAGCGCCCTTTAAAAAACAACATTCTGTGATAGAGACTGTTGCTAAGAGAAAATTAGAATCTGAAATGCCCTATTACCTGTCTGGCCACAAATCATTTTTTTTTCTTTTCTTTTTTTTTTTTGAGATGGAGTCTCACTCTGTCCCCACGCTGGAGTGCAGTGGCACAATCTCAGGTCACCGCAACTTCCGCCTCCTGGGTTCAAGCCATTTTCCTGCCTCAGCCTCCTGAGTAGCTGGGACTACAGGTGCCTGCCACCATACCCAGCTAACTTTTGTATTTTTATTAAGGACTGGGTTTCACCATATTGGCCAGGCTGGTCTTGAACTCCTGACCTTGTGATCTGCCCGCCTCGGCCTCCCAAAATGCTGGGATTATAGGCGTGAGCCACCGTGCCTGGCCCTTTTTAAAAAATTTATGTGTATTTTTGAGACAGGGTCCTGCTCTGTGAGCCAGACTGGAGTGCAGAGACCTGAACACAGCCACTGCAGTCTTGAACTCCTGGGCTTAAGCAACCCTCCCACATCAGCCTCCCAAAGTGCTAAAATTACAGACATGAGCCACCTTGTCCAGGATTTAGGCTTATTTTTTTTTTTTTTTGAGATAGGGTCTTGCTCTGTTGCCAAGGCTGGAGTGTAGTGGTGGGATTTTGGCACACTGCAGCCTCAACCTCCCAGGCTTAAGTGATCCTCCCTCCTCAGCCTCCCAAGTAGCTGGGACTACAGGCATGCGCCACCACACCCAGCTAATTTTTGTACTTTTTTTGTAGAGACAAGGTTTTGCCATGTTACCCAAGCTGACTGTTTTTTTTTTTTAATCCTAAAAAAATTTTTTATAGAGACCACATCTTGCCATGTTGCCCAGGCTGGTCTTGAACACCTGGGCTCAAGCGAGCCACCTGCCTCAGCCTCCCAAGGTGCTGGGATTACAGCATGAGCACTGGGATTACAGCATGAGCCACTGGCGCCCAGCCACTGTTTTGTTCTTTTAAAGATTTATGATCAAAGTCCTAGCTCTGCGGTGTGAGCTGAGGCCACTCACATGATCTCTCATGCCTTGATTTCCTCACCCGTAAAATGCAGCATCGACATCCCCTGTGGGGAGGATTACTAAGTTATTCCACATAAAGGCTCTAGAACAGTTCCCAGCACGTTTCATTCTCAAAGACCCTCAGCGTAAAGAGACGGAAACAGAGATAAAGTCACTGTGCCCACAGAGGGCGTGCGCCGCGGTGGCCCAACCTGAGCCCTCATACCTCTCTTCCCTCTTCCACCTTCAGGACATCACCCTGGCAGCTCAACTCCAACGTGGTGGGAGTATTAACGCCATGGAAATCAGCAAGTGTTACAAACCAGGAGGTTTTTTCCTCCCCAGAAAGCCCGTTGTTAAACATTTACCAACATACCACTGGATAGGCTGAATGCTTGATTTCCATTTGGCCCGGAAAAAAATGGCAACGTGAGCACATGAAGCACAATGACTATTTGTACAACCAAGGAACAAACAAGACTATGTCGATCCTGAGCATAGTCCACCGGGGAAAAAAGACCAGGAAAAAGAGTCTAACTTTAAAAAGGGGGTGGAGTGGGACAAACAAGTTAAGTAAAAATCCAAAATCAGAAGTGAAAAGAGGCACATGGCTCATGCTTGTAATCCCAACAATTCGGGAGGCCGAGGCTGAGGCTGAGGGTCACTTGAGCCCAGAGTTCAAGACAAGCCTGGGCAACACAGCAAGACCCCAGCTCTACAAAAAAAGTTTTAAAAACTAGCTGGGCATGGTGGTGTGGGACTATCATCTCAGCTACTCCGGGAGCCTGAGGCAGGGGGATCGCTTGAGCCCAGGAGGTTGAGGCTGCCCTGAGCTATGATCGTACCCCTTCACTCCAGCCTCGGTGATAGAGCAAGACCCTGTCTCAAAAAATAAATAAATGATTTTAATTTAATACATACATAAAGTTCGCAAAGGCTGCTTCTTCCCAAAAACAGTAGTAAGGTACCGCGGAAGAGCAGGACAGATAGGAAGAGAGGGCCTGGATCCACACCCTCCACCTGTGTGACTGCAGGCAGGTGTGGGGGACATTCTACTTGTCCCCAGTTTCCAGTTTCCCTTTCTTCAACAGAATAGAGGTCAGCTGGGTACATGGCCACCCTCCTTCAGCCTAACTTTTCCAACCCTCCTTACAGCCAGCTATCATCATGTGACTAAACTCTGGGTAAATGGGTTGCGAGTAGAAGTAACTAACACTGGAACCTCAACCTCTTACTGTTGTGAGCTTCCTTCGTTCTGATTTTACCGCCTGGTGGGAAACCAAAAACCATAAAGACCCTTCTAGATCCACGAGTGGAAGCCACAAGCTGAGGAAGGCCACCTGGCAGACCAGACTGTTAGAGGAGAAAGAAATGTGCTTGCACCTTGCTCAAGCCACTGTTCTTTGGGACCTCCTTGCTGCAGAAGCTCGGTTTGTACCTTACTACAATTTGAGCAAGGTTCTTTACTTCCCTGAGTCTATGGCTTGAATATATAACCACTCCAAAACTCATGTTAAAACTTAAGGCCGGGCGTAGTGGCTCACACCTGTAATCCCAGCACTTTGGGTGGTCGAGGCAGGTGGATCACCTGAGGTCAGGAGTTTGAGACCAGCCTGGCCAACATGGCAAAACCCCATCTCTACTAAAAATACAAAATTAGCTGGGTATGGTGGCGGGCACCTGTAATCCCAGCTACTTGGAGGCTGAGGCAGGAGAATCGCTTGAACCCAGCAGGCAGAGGTTGCAGTGAGCAGAGATTGCACCACTGCACTCCAGCCTGGGAGACAGAGCAAGACTCCATCTCAAAAAAAACAAAACAAAACAAAACAAAAAAAACCTTGTCCGGGCGCAGTGGTTCACGTCTGTAATCCCAGCACTTTGGGAGGCTGAGGCGGGCGGATCACCTGAGGTCAGGAGATCGAGACCATCCTGGCTAACACAGTGAAACCCCGTCTCTACTAAAAATACAAAAAATTAGCCTGGCGTGGTGGCGAGCGCCTGTAGTCCCAGCTACTCGGGAGGCTGAGGCAGGAGAATGGCATGAACTGGGGAGGTGGAGCTTGCAGTGAGCCTAGATCGAGTCACTGCACTCCAGCCTGGGAGACAGAGCAAGACTCCGTCTCAAAAAAAAAAAAAAAAAAAAAAAAAAAGCTGGGCGCGGTGGCTCATGCCTGTAATCCCAGCACTTTGGGAGGCCGAGGCAGGTGGATCACCTGAGGTCAGGAGTTCAAGACCAGCCTGGCCAACATGGTGAAACCCTGTCTCTACTAAAAATAAAAATATTAGCCAGGCATAGTGGCAGGTGCCTATAATCCCAGCTACTCAGGAGGCTGAGGCAGGAGAATCGCTTGAACCCGGGAGGGAGAGGTTGCAGTGAGCCGAGATAGCGCCATTGCACTCCAGCCTAGGGGATGAGAGCAAGACTTCGTCTCAAAAAAGGAAAAAAAAAAAAAAAAACTTAATCCCTGGCTGGGGGTGGTGGCTCATGCTGTAATCCCGGCATTTTGGGAAGCCAAGGCAGGTGGATCACCTGAGGTCAGGAGTTTGAGACCAGCCTGGCCAACATGGTGAAACTCTGTCTCTACTAAAAATACAAAAATTAGCCGGACGTGATGGCAGTGCGTGTCTGTAATCCCAGCTACTCGGGAGGCTGAGGCACAAGAATCGCTTGAACCTGGGAGGCAGAGGCTGCAGTGAGTCTAAATCGCACCATTGCACTCCAGCCTGGGTGACGGCGTGAGATTCTGTCTCCAAAACAAAACAAAACAAAACTTAATCCCAGTGTGGCAGTATTGAAAGGTAGGGCCTTTAAGAGGTAATTGGATCATGAGAGCTCTGCCCTCAAGAATGGATTAATCCATTTGTGAATTAATGAGTTATCATGGGAGTGGAACTGGTGGCTTTATAAAAAGAAGAGGTTAGGTACAGTAGCTCAGGCCTGTGATCCCAGAACTATGGAAGGCTAAAGGCAGGAGGCTCACTTGAGGCCAGGAGTTTGAGACCAGCCTGCTAGACATGGCAAGACCCTGTCTCTATGGAAAACAAAACAAAACAAGATTAGCTGAGCATGGTGCTGTGCGCCTATAGTCCCTGCTACTCAGGAGGCTGAGGTGGGAGGATCGCTTGAGCCCAGGAGGTTGAAGCTGCAGTGAGCCATGATTGTGCCCCTGCACTTCCAGCTTAGGCAACAGAGTGACACCCCATCTCTTAAAAAAACAAAACAAAAAAAAAAGGAAGAAAGACCTGAGCTAGTACACTACTCAGCTCCCTTGCCACGTGATGTCCCACGCCACCTTGGGCCACCACAGTGTCCCCAGCAGCAAGAAGGCCCCCACCAGATATGCCTCTCAACCTTGAACTTCTCAGCCTCCATAACCATATGAAATAAATTTCTTTTCTTTTCTTTTTTTGAGACGGAGTCTCGCTCTGTCGCCCAGACTGGAGTGCAGTGGCGCGATCTTGGCTCACTGCAACCTCCACCTCCCAAGTTCAAGCGATTCTCCTGCCTCAGCCTCCTGAGTAGCTGGGACTACAGGCACCCGCCACGACGCCCGGCTAATTTTTTGTATTTTTAGTAGAGACGGGGTTTCACTGTGTTAGCCAGGATGGTCTCGGTCTACTGACCTCGTGATCTGCCCACCTCAGCCTCCCAGACTGGTGGGATTACAGGCGTGAGCCACTAAAATTTCTTTTCTTTATAAATTACCCAGTCTCAGGTATTCTAAACAGCAGAAAACAGATTAAGACACTGAGCTTCATATAAAATAATATTTTCTTCAAAAGGCCACAGGAGTTATGTAATGCACCTGGCATATTATAAGTGCCCAACAAATCATACTTGAATTTACTAAATGAATGAAAGAAGGGATGTGATGTCACTAACACACGAGCTCAAAGGTGTTCATCCTTCTTTTTTTTTTTTTTTTTTTGAGATGGAGTCTCGCTCAGCCGCCCAGGCTGGAGTGCAGTGGTGTGATCTTGGCTCACCGCAACCACCATCTCCCGGGTTGAAGCGATTCTCCCGTCTCAGCCTCCCAAGTAGCTTGGATTACAGGCATCCACCATCATGCCTGGCTAATTTTTGTATTTTAGTAGAAACAGGATTTCACCATGTTGGCCAGGCTAGTCTTGAACTCCTGACCTCAGGTGATCCGCCCACCTCAGCCTCCCAAAGTGCTGCAATTACAGTCATGAGCCACTGCGCCTGGCCTCATCCTTTTCCTTTTTAAGTTAATTTTTTAGCACCCACCCTCTCATTTCCCAGTGGCAGAAAGATAACAGCCCCATATGGCTGCTTGTCTTAAGCACAGCAAGAAAGAAGGAAGCTGAGGAGGCTAATTCCTATGTATTCTCCATCATAAACAAGAAGGCCCAAGGAACCCACTGAAAGCAAAGAGACAGGGAACAAGACATACTTGGGGGCCAAGGCTTAATGCTACCTGGCGTTCCTTCCTGGCCACCGCCTACCAAAAGAGAAGCAATCTCTCTACTATGTAAGGTGCTATTCTCTGGTTTAGAATTCTGTATTTGGGAAAACACGGGCAACCCTAAAAACAAAAATTAAAAACTAAAAAATACAGTCAATTCTTTACCCAAACAGCAGAATAAGACTTCCAAAAGGACTCGAAATGAAAACACTTTCTTAATGAGACCAGGACCACAGGAAAAACCAGGACACTTGGGCAAACCAGGGCTGATGGGCACCCTACCAATATAAAAACACCAACATCTTAAAACAAGATCTTTGACACATGGAATGAATTGGAATTCTTCAATCACACCTTGAGTATTCATGGACCCCTTCATTTTCATATCATTTCTAAATCAGGCCGGGTGTGCTGGCTTATGCCTGTAATCCCAGAACTTTGGGAGGCCAAGGCAGACAGATCACATGAGGTCAGGAGTTTGAGACCACCCTGGCCAATATGGTAAAACCCCATTTCTACTAAAAACACAAAAATTAGCCAGGCGTGATGGCATATCCCTGTAATCACAGCTACTCGGGAGACTGAGGCAGGAGAATCGCTTGAGTCTGGGAGGCAGAGGTTGCAGTGAGCTGAGACTGTGCCATTGCACTCCAGCCTGGGTGACAGAGTGAGACCCTATCTCAAAAAAAAAAAAAAAAAAATTTGCTTGTAAATTTCACCCTTTTCCCACACCCTCACTGACAATCTCGGGTTTTTTATTGGGATTGCACTCAATTTCTCGATCAGTTGGAGAAGAACTGGTATAACAGTAAGTTTTCCAATCCAAAACCAGGGTACCTCTGCCCATTTATTCAAGTCTTTAATTGCTTTCAAAATTGTATAGTGCTCTCCATAAAGGTTTTACACATCTTTTATTTTATTCCCAGGTATTTTTTATTTATAATTCTACTTTTTAACTTCAGTGTGTTTGTTGGTGGTACACTGTAATTTATTTTTGTTTGAATTTTTTTTTTTTTTTGGAGACGGATTTTCACCCTTTTGCCTAGCCCAGGCCTGGGATTACAGGCGTGAGCCACCATGCCTGGCTTAGTTTTTGTATTTTTAGTAGAGACGGGGTTTCACCATGTTAGTCAGGCTGGTCTCGAACTCCTGACCTTGTGATCCGCCCGCCTTAGCCTCCCAAAGTGCTGGGATTACAGGCATGAGCCACCGTGCCCTGTTTGACTTTTTTATCCAGACAATTGCTAAAAGATTATTGACTTTAAAGCTGTTTGGGTAAAGAATTGACTGTATTATAGCTTTGGATCATTTTGGATTTTCTACATACATAATAGTATCACCAACGAATAATAGATTGTTTCTTCCTTTTAAATTCTTTTATCTTTTTATCCTTTTTCTGATTTATTGGGCTAAGACTTCCATCACTATTCTCAAGTGGTAAAAGCATGCACCCTGTCTTCTTTCCATTTTCACAGGTTAAGTTTTCAATATATATTATCATTTAGTTAATGGTTGCTAAAAAAATTGTTGCAGCTTTTCCTTACAAGAATAAAGGAAGGTCCACTACTTTCTCTTCACTAATTTGGAAATTGTACAGTTTCTATTCCTTTTTTTTCTTTTTTTTTTTTTTGAGACGGAGTCTCGCTCTGTCACCCGGGCTGGAGTGCAGTGGTGTGATCTCAGCACACTGCAAGCTCCGCCTCCCGGGTTCACGCCATTCTCCTGTCTCAGCCTCCTGAGTAGCTGGGACTACGGGAGCCCGCCACCGTGCCCGGCTAATTTTTTGTATTTTTAGTAGAGACGGGGTTTCACCGTGGTCTCAATCTCCTGATCTCGTGATCCACCCGCCTCGGCCTCCCAAAGTGCTGGGATTACAGGCGTGAGCCACCACGCCTGGCCAGTTTCTATTCCTACAATAATTCCTTAGAACTTGTAAACTGCACTTATTAAAATCTACAGTTAATCCCTATCCTAGTTTGCTGTAATTTGGATATGGTTTCTTTGGCCCCACCAAGCCTGATGTTAAACTGGGATGCCTCATGCTGAGGTGGGGCCCGTGTGGTGCTGAAGTGGGGCCCGTGTGGTGCTGAGGTGGGGCCCGTGTGATGCTGAGGTGGGGCCCGTGTGGTGCTGAGGTGGGGCCCGTGTGATGCTGAGGTGGGGCCCGTGTGGTGCTGAGGTGGGGCCCGTGTGATGCTGAGGTGAGGCCCGTGTGATGCTGAGGTGGGGCCCGTGTGGTGCTGAGGTGGGGCCCGTGTGGTGCTGAGGTGAGGCCCGTGTGATGCTGAGGTGGGGCCCGTGTGGTGCCCCATGCTGAGGTGGAGCCTGGTAGGAGGGGTTCTGGTTGTCGGGGAAGATCCCTCGTAAATGGTTTGGTGCCATTCTTGAGGGAGTAACTGAGTTCTCTTTTTTTTTTTTTTTTTGAGACAAAGTTTCATTCCTGTCACCCAGGCTGGAGTGCAATGGCGTGATCTTGGCTCACTGCAACATCCACCTCCCAGGTTCAAGTGATTCTCCTGCCTCGCCCAGCTAATTTTTTTTTTTTTTTTTTGAGATGGAGTCTCGCTGTCGCCCAGGCTGGAGTGCAGTGGCGTAATCTCGGCTCACTGCAAGCTCCGCCTCCTGGGTTCAGGCCATTCTCCTGCCTCAGCCTCCCGAATAGCTGGGACTATAGGTGCCCGCCACCACGCCCGGCTAATTTTTTGTATTTTTAGTAGTGAAGGGGTTTCACTGTGTTAGCCAGGATGGTCTCGATCTCCTGACCTCGTGATCCACCCGCCTCGGCCTCCCAAAGTGCTGGGATTACAGGCGTGAGCCACCGCACCCGGCCAGTTCTCACTCTTAGTTCCCAAGAGAACTGGTTGTTGAAAAAGCCTGGCACCCAGGCACAGTGGCTCACACCTGTAATCCCAGCACTTTGGGAGGCAAAAGTGGTTGGATCACGAGGTCAGGAGTTCGAGATCAGCCCGGCCAACGTAGTGAAACCCCGTCTCTACTAAAAATACAAAAATTAGCTGCGTGTGGTGGCGGGCACCTGTAATCCCAGCTACTCGGGAGGCTGAAGCAGGAGAATCACTTGAATCTGGGAGGTAGAGGTTGCAGTGAGCCGAGACTGCACCACTGCACTCCAGCCTGGGTGGCAGAGAGACTCCATCTCAAAAAAAAAAACATCAGGCGTGGTGGCTCACGCCTGTAACCCAGCACTTTGGGAGGCTGAGGCGGGTGGATCACGAGGTCAGGAGATCGAGACCGTCCTGGCTAACACGGTAAAACCCCATCTCTACTAAAAATACCAAAAAAAAAAAAGAAAAAGACTGGCACCTTCTCTTTCTCTCTCTTCCTCTCTATCACCACGGGGTCTCTACAAGCTAGCTTCCCTTTGGCTCCCCTTGAACTTTTGCCATGAGCGGAAGCAGCCTGAAACTCTTACCAGAACCAGAACTGTGTCAAACCTCTTTTCCTTATAAATTACCCACCCTCTGGTATTCCTTTATAGCAACACAAATGGACTAAGACACAGCTACTACAAAGACTGGAATGTTTTAACTTCATTTACTCTCCTTCATGACTTATTTGTTACTATTTTCATGTATTATGAAATTCTACCTTGATTTTACCCCATAGATATTATTATATTACTAAACAATTAGTGGGGTTTTTTGGAGGGGACAGGGTTTCGGTCTGCCACCCAGGCTGGAGTATGGTGGTGTGATCACGGCAATGTCAACTTCCAAGGCTCACGTGATCCTCCCATCTCAGCCTCCTAAGTATCTGGGACTACAGGAATGTGCCACCATGCCCAGCTAATTTTTTTATTATTTGTAGAGACAAGGTCTCCCTATGTGGCCCAGGCTGGTCTCAAACTCCTGGGCTCAAGTGACCCTCCCAAAGTGCTGGAATTACAGGCAGGAGCCACTGCACCCCTCCAATGCTAATTTGAATTTGCTCACATATTTGCTTTGCATTCTTTTTTGAATCTCAGTTCTTCCATTTAGGATCACTGTTTTCTGCCTAAAGTCCATTCTATCTTTTATTTTACTTTGATACGGGGTCTCACTCTGTCACCCAGGCTAGAGTGCAGTGGTGTGATCTTAACTTACTACAGCCTCCACCTCCAGGCTCAAGTGATACTCCCACCTCAGCCTCCCAAGTAGCTGGAACTACAGGCATGCACCACCGCTCCCGGCTAATTTTTTTATTTTTTTGTAGAGACGGGGTTTCACCACATCACCCAGGCTGGTCTCAAGCTTCTGGACTCAAGCAATCCACCCTTCTTAGCCTCTCAAAGTGCTGGGATTACAGGCATGAATCACTGTGCCTGGCCCCTATTCTTGAGAATTGTATTTAGTAAAGGACTGTGTCTTAGCCTGTTTCTGCTGCTATAACAAAATATCTTAGACTGGGTAATTTATAAACAACAGAAAATTATTTCTCACAGCTCTGGGAGATGGGAAATCCAAAACCAAGGCAGCAGCAGATTCAGTGTGTGATGAGGACCTAATTTTCACAGATGGTGCCTCCACTGTGTCCTCACATGGCAAAAGGGACTAACAGACTCCCTCAAGCCCTTCTACAAGGCACTAATCCCATTCATGAGAGTGGAGCCCTCACGGCCTCATCATATTCTAGGCCTCACCTTTTTTTTTTTTTTTTTAATTGGGACAGGGTTTAATTCTGTTGCTCAGGCAGGAGTGCAGCAGTGCAATCATGGCTCACTGCAGTCTCAATCTCCTGGGCTCGAGTGATCCTCCTGCCTCAGCCACCCAAGTAGGTGGGTCTACAGGCATGCCCCACCAGGCCCAGCTAATTTTTTTTTTTTTTGTAGAGATGGGGTTTCACCATGTTGCTCAGGCTGGTAAGCCCCACCTCTTAAAACTATTGCATTGGGGATTAAGTTTCAATATGAATTCTGGAGGGACATAAACATTCAACTACAGTAGATAATTTTTTTTTTTCAGAGTTTTGCTCTTGTTGCCCAGGCTGGAGTGCAATGGCGCCATCTCAGCTCACCACAACCTCCACCTCCCAGGTTCAAGCAGTTCTCCTGCCTCAGCCTCCCAAGTAGCTGGGATTACAGGCATGCACCACCACGTCTGGCTAATTTTGTATTTTTAGTAGAGATGGGGTTTCTCCACGCTGGTCAGGCTGGTCTCGAACTCCCCACCTCAGGTGATCCACCTGCCTCAGCCTCCCAAAGTGCTGGGATTACAGGGTGACCCACCGCACCCAGCCTACAGCAGATAATTTTTTTGAAAGATAATTTTTCCTGATATAAAGTTAGAAGTCAGGAATTGTTTTACTTTCAGCACAATGAAAATATTACTCCACTGGCTTCTGGTTTCCATTGTGGCACTTAAGAAGTCAGCCATCATTCTTACTGCTGCTCAGATAAAGTTGATCTGTGTTTTTCGTTTATTTTAAGAACACTCTTTGGTGCTTTGTAGTTTTACTCTCCTTTGGCTAGCTATAAATTTTATTTTTATTTATCCTGCTTACCATTCATTTGTCTTCTCAAATCTGTAGACTTCTTTTATTTTGAGACGGAGTCTTGCTCTGTCACCCAGGCTGGAGCGCTCAAGCTCAGCTCACTGCAACCTCCGCCTTCTGGGGTCAAGCAATTCTCCTACCTCAGCCTCGTGAGTAGCTGGGATTACAGGTGCGTGCCACCACGCTGAGCTACTTTTTGTGTTTTTAGTAGAGACAGGGTTTCACCATGCTGGCCAGGCTGGTCTGGAACTCTTGACCTTGTGATCCTCCCGCCTCAGCCTCCCAAAGTACTGGGATTACAGGCGTCAGCCACCGCGCCTGGCCTAAATCTGTAGACTTCTTTCACCAATTCTGAGAAATTTTAGTCTTTATCTTTTCTAATAATAAATCTGCCTCATTCTCTCTTTTCTCTTTACAGAACATTAAGTAAACATCCATTAGACATTTGCCCTCGATGTCCCATGTTCTGGCCTATGTTTCCCATCATTTTCTCTGTGCTTCATTCTGGGTAATTCCTTCTGACCTGTTTTCTGGTTCACTGATTTTCACTTCACTGTATATATTTTGTTATTAAACCTGTACACACTGAATTATTATTATTATTATTGAGAGAGGGTCTTGTTCTGTCACCCAGGCTGCAGTGCACTTGCACAATGATGGCTTGACCTCCTGGGCTCGAGTGATCTTCCCACCTCAGCCTCCCAAGTAGCTGGGACTACAGGTGTGCACCACCACGCCTGGCTAATTTTAAAAATTCTTTGTAGAGACAGGTTTTCACCATGTTGCCCAGGCTGGTCTTGAACTTCTGGGCTCAAGTGATCTCCCTACCTCTACCTCCCAAAGTACTGGGATTACAAGCATGAGCCACCTCACCTGGCCTGAATTTGTGATACTGAATATTTTATTCTTTATTTCTAGAAGTTCTACATGGTCCTTTTTCAAATATTCTATATCACCTTTTACTGTTTCTTACAAATATTTTTATGTTGTTAAATATTTATTTCTTTTTATTTTTTATTTTTTTGAGACGGAGTCTCGCTCTGTTGCCCAGGCTGGAGGGCAGTGGTGTGATCTTGGCTCACTGCAAGCTCCGCCTCCTGGGTTCACGCCATTCTCCTGTCTCAGCCTCCCGAGTAGCTGGGACTACAGGCGCCTGCCACCGCGCCCGGCTAATTTTTTGTATTTTTAGTAGACACGGGGTTTCACCATGGTCTCCATCTCCTGACCTTGTGATCTGCCCGCCTCGGCCTCCCAAACTGCTGGGATTACAGGCGTGAGCCACTGCACCCAGCCAAATATTTATTTCTTTAAAAATAAGAAGCACACTCAGCCAGCATGCTAGATCACGCCTGTAATTCCAGTACTTTAGGAGGCCGAGGTGGGCAGATTGCTTAAAGCCAGGAATTCAAGACCAGCCTGGGCAACACGGCAAAAACCTGTTTTTACAAAAAATACAAAGAATTAGCCAGGTGTGGTGGTGTGTGCCTGTAGTCCCAGCCACTCAGAAGGCTGAGACAGAAGGATCACTTGAGCCCAGGAGGCGGAAGTTGCAGTGAGCCAAGATCACGCCACTGTACTCCAACTCCAGCCTAGGCGACAGAGTAAGACCTTCTCACACACATACAAAAAGTACACTTTTTTTATAGTCTGTTTCTAACAATTCCAATACCTGAAGTCTTTGAGGAAGTGTTTCTACTGGTTTTCCTGTTTTCATTTTCTGGGGGTTTTTTTGAGACAAGGTTTCACTTTGTCACCCAGGCTGGAGTGCAGCGGTGCAATCATAGCTCACAGCAGCCTCAAACTCATGGACTCAAGCCATCCTCCTGCCTCAGCCTCCCAATATGCTGGGGTTACAGGCATGAGCCACCACACCTGAACTGTACTGGTTTTAACTCAGAGTGGCTTATTTGCTTGTGTGCTTAGTCATTTTTGTCTGTGTACTATTAATCACTGTCTTTAAAAAATATCTGCAGGCGGATCACCTGAGGTCAGGAGTTCAAGACCAGCCTGGCCAACACAGTGAAACCCCGTCCTTACTAAAAATACAAAAATTAGCCGGACACACGCCTATAGTCCCAGCTACTTGCAAGGCTGAGGTAGGAGAATCGCTTCAACCTGGGAGGCAGAGGTTGCAGTGAACCGAGATTGTGCTACTGCACTTCAGCCTGGGATACAAAGCAAGACTCCATCTCAAAAAAAAAAAAAAAAAAAAAAAAAATCTGCAGGGATTCTTTGTATCTTAGGATGAAGGTAACTTCTTCCAGAGAGGTTTTATCTTTGTTCCTGTCAGATGACAAGCTAGAAACACCTTGAATTAAATTCATGCCCGATTTCCCTGAACTACCAGGCAATGTAACTGGGCTAAAAATCCTCACAAAGGCCAATACAGAGCTACAATTCTCAGGAACAGGTTTTTTTCCCTTTTCATCTTTTTGTGCTACATTTAGTAAAAAGACAACCAGATGAGGGCAAGGAACGGTGTGAGGCACATGTGCCTCTAGTCTGCCCTCACACCTTGAGGATAGAGCCCTTCAGAGTTCCATCGGTGTGGGGAGGGTCTCCTTTAGGCTATTTACCTTGAGAGGAATCGAGCTTAACTACTGTTCTTTTCACAAATCCTCTAAACTCAAAGCCCCACTTTGTCCACATGAGCAAATGCCCTCAGGACAAAAGCAGACCCCATTCTATGGTGTTTAAATTACCTTTCTGCGTTATTTTCAGTTAGATTTTGATCCAAAAGTTTCCTGCTTTTTTGTCAGTTCTTTTATTTATGTTTTTTCATCTAACAATTGTGGCTGTTTTTCTGGGGTGGAGGGTGGGGGAGTAGAAGGTAGTCTAACCTAGCCTAACATTCTCAGAAACATAAAACCTTGCCATTTTTCTTGCAAAATTTATTTGATAACACGATTCTATAATAAAACATACATGCTCTCGTCGCTTTGAGGAATTATTCTACTCTCTACTGGCTTCCATTCATGCTGCTGAGACATCTGTTGTCAACCTAGCTAATGTTCCATTTTAGGTAATCTATCTTTTAACTTTACCTTAACACCTTCTTTTTGTCTTTGGTGCTATACGATTTCAGTGTATGGGTGTGGGTTTGTTTTTTTCTTTTTCTCTTTTTTTTTTTTTTTTTTTTGAGACAGAGTCTCGCTCTCGCCCAGGCTGGAGCGCAGTAGCGTGATCTTGGCTCACTGCAACATCCATCTCCCACGTTCAAGCAATTCTCCTGCCTCAGCCTCCTGAGTAGCTGGGAATACAGGCGCGCACCACCACGCCCGGCTAATTTTTGTATTTTTAGTAGACACGGGGTTTCACCGTATTAGCAAAGATGGTCTCAATCTCCTGACCTTATGATCCGCCCACCTTGGCCTCCCAAAGTGCTGGGATTACAGGCGTGAACTACTGCACCTGGCTGGGTTTGTTTTTTTCTAAAAATATTGATTGGGACATATTGTGATTCCTAAACCTATGGATTTAGGTCTTTTATTAGTTTCTGAAAGTTCAAAGCTATTAATACTTCGAATAATACATCTCTTCAATATTCCTGATTTTTTCATTCTAGAATTCCAGCTACATATTTACTACCATCACTGATCTCTCAGGGCTGCACTTTGGATAATGTCTTTCACTGTGTTTCACTTTACCAATTCCATCTGCATCTGTGTTTAATCTGTTTAATCCATATGTTGAATTTTGGTGGGTTTCTTTTTTTTGAGACAGGGTCTGGCTCTGTCACCCAGGCTGGAGGGCAGCGGCACGATCTTGTCTCGCTGCAACCTCCACCTTTCAGACTCAAGCCATCCATCCGCCCAGCTGGGTCATCTTAATTTTTAACGCATCAGAGTGCTCACAGAAATTATATTTGGCCAAGCGTGGTAACTCACACCTATAATCTCGGCACTTTGGGAGGCCAAGGCAGGAGGATCACTTCGGCCCAGGAGTTCAAGACCAGTCTGGACAACACAGTGAGACCCCATCTCTAAAAAAATTGTTTTTAAATTAGCCATGGTGGGCTGGGTGCGGTGGCTCACGCCTATAATAATCCCAGTAATTTGGGAGGCTGAGGTGGGTGGATTGCTTGAGGTCAGGAATTCAAGACCAGCCTGACCAACGTGGTGAAACCCCGTCACTACTAAAAACACAAAAATCAGCCAGGCATGGTGGCTGGTGCCTGTAATCCCAGCTATTCGGGAGGCTGACGCAGGAAATTCGCTTGAACCCAGGAGGCGGAGGTTGCAGTGAGTCAAGGTCATGCCATTGCACTCCAGCATGGGCAACAGAGCAAGACTCTGTCTCACAAAAAAAAACACATAAAAATATATAAATAAATAAATTAGCCGTAGTGGTGCATTCCTATAGTCCCAGCTACTGAGGAGACTTAAGTGAGAGGTTCCTTTCAGCCTAGGTGTACATGGTTGTGGTGAGCTATGATCACACCACTGCACTCCAGCCTGGGTGACAAAGTGAGACCTTGTCTTGAAAAAAAATAAAGAATAAAGAAATTAGGCTGGGCGCGGTGGCTCACGCCTGTAATCCCAGCACTTTGGGAGGCCGAGGCGGGCGGATCACGAGGTCAGGAGATCGAGACCATCCTGGCTAACATGGTGAAATGCCGTCTCTACTACAAATACAAAAAAAATTAGCCGGGCGTGCTGGCGGGTGCCTGTAGTCCCAGCTACTCGGGAGGCTGAGGCAGGAGAATGGCATGAACCCAGGAGGTGGAGCTTGCAGTGAGCCGAGATCGCGCCACTGCACTCCAGCCTGGGCGACTGAGCAAGACTCTGTCTCAAAAAAAAAAAAAAAAAAAGAAAGAAATTATATTTATTCTAATTTATCCAGCATCTCACTGAACTGCAATGGAAGAGCCTCGTAAGAGTATCTTATATTGCTGGAAGCAGAGGTCCTTCCCTCCCCTTTTCATTTTCTGCGTAACTGTGTGGTTTGAATGGCAACTGTGACAGTGTATATGCTGTATCTCACATGTTCCCTGCAAGTGAGACGGAACATATACCTCATTAAATATGTGCAAAACTGTTCCTGTTTTGTCAGAATTAAACTTTGGACAGGGCGCGGTGGCTCACGCCTGCTATCCCAGCACTTTGGGAGGCCGAGGCGGGCGGATCACAAGGTCAGGAGTTCGAGACCACCCTGGTCAATATGGTGAAACCCCGTCTCTACTACAAATACAAAAATTAGCCAGGTGTGGTGGTGCGTGCCTGTAGTCCCAGCTACTTGGGAGGCTGAGGAAGAAGAATCGCTTGATCCCGGGAGGTGGAGGTTGCAGTGAGCCGAGATCACACCACTGCACTCCAGCCTGGGCAACAGAGCAAGACTCCGTCTCAAAAAAAAAAGAAGAATTAAACTTGGGCTTGGAAAGACCAAGCAACTTGCTCAAAAACATGCAGAGCATCTCAAAACCAGACACAGGAGGATCAAAAACCACCAAAAGACAACAGACCATGAGCACATCTGTTTTTTTGTTTTGTTTTGTTTTGTTTTGAAACAGAGTCTTGCTCTGTCGCCCAGACTGGAGTACAGTGACACGATCTCGGCTCACTGCAACCTCCATCTCCTGGATTCAAGCGATTCTCCTGCCTCAGCCTCCTGAGTAGCTGGGATTACAGGTACACACCACTATGCCCAGCTAATTTTTGTATTTTCAGTAGAGACGGGTTTCATCATGTTGGTCAGGCTGGTCTCGAACTCCTGATCTCATGATCCACCCACCTCGGCCTCCCAAAGTGCTGAGATTACAGGTGTGAGCCACAGTGCCCAGCCAGCATATCTTCTAAACTACGTTTTTCGCTGTGACCCATCTTTGAACTTCCACCTGTACAGAACTTTTACATAAATTACACAATAAAACAGAATCAAATTGAAAAAGAAACTTATCTTACCTTCTGTGGAAATCTCTTGTTTAAATCATGTATTCAGGCAAAACAGAAAAACATTTGTGGTTTTTTTCTTGGAGTATATGCAGCTTTAAGAAAATTTTTTTCATTCAGTGGAAGATTTATAATCTCTTTACCTGAAAAATAAGAGGAAAAATCTTGCTTTAAGTTCTTCCTCGGTAAAGTTAACTTATCAAAATGGCAGACAACAGGAAAAGGAGGCAGGGTGCGGTGGCTCACACCTTTAATCCCCACAGAATGGGAGGCCAAGGCGGCAGATCACTTGAGTCCAAGAGTTTAAGACTAGCTTGGGTGACATGGAAAAACCTCATTTCTACCAAAAAATACAAAAATTAGCCGGGTGTGGTGGCGCATGCCTGTAGTCCCAGCTACTCGGGAGGCTGAGGCGGGATCACTGGAGCCTGGGAGGCAGAGGTTGCAGTGAGCTGAGATCATGCCACTGCACTCCAGCCTGGGTGACCAGAGACTGACCCCATCTCAAAAAAAAGCAATTACAAAATTTTAAAAATAAAGCAATGGAACAGCATTTATTATCTGTCCCTTAAATATAAAATTTGTCTTTGATTTCATAATTCAACTAGCAAACATGACAGTTAAAATGATATTTTAAGATAGTTTTCTTTTTTTTTTCTTTTTTAAAGAGATGGGGTCTCACTATGCTGCCCAGGGTGGAGAGCAGTAGCTATTCACAGCTCCAGTCCCACTACTAACCAGCATGGGAGTTTCTGATGTGCTCCATTTCCAACCTCAGCTGGTTCACACCTCCTTAGGCAACCTGGCAGTCTTCCTTTTCTGGGAGGTCACCATACTGATGCCGAACTTAGTGCAGACACCCAGTTCACACAGCACATTACAGCCCTCAAGTGATCCTCCTGCCACAGCCTGCTGAGTAGCAGGAATTACAAGCACAAACCACTGTGCCTGGCTATATTACAACTTTAAAATTCCATTTTATAATTATCCTAGTCCCAGGTGAAATAATGTATTTAATAATTTGTAGGATGGGTGGAGTATTATGTTTAATTGGCGTTGTCAGGTATGAAGTCCTTCAGAAAATAAAATTTGTTTTAAAAAAGGTCTGACGTTTAGCTCTTGAACCCACTGTCACTTAAATTTCCAATAATGATTAAAAATATTTTTAAATTAGGATTCCCAATACCCTGACCTCTACAAAGGGTTTCTTAGAAATAGGTCCTACATTTGTGGCTGGGGGCAGTGGCTCACGCCTATAATCCCAACACTTTGGGAGGCCGAGGCGGGTGGATCATGAGGTCAGGAGTTCAAGATTAGCCTGGCCAACATGGTGAAACCCCGTCTCTACTAAAAATACAAAAACTAGCGAGGCACAATGGCAGGCGCCTGTAATCCCAGCTACTCGGGAGGCTGAGGCAGGAGAATCACTTGAACCCGGGAGGCAGAGGTTGCAGTGAGCCGAGATCACGCCACTGCACTCCAGCCTGGGCAACAGAGTGAGACTCCGTCTCAAAAAAATGAAAAGAAAAAAAGAAATAGGTCCTACTTTTAAACTTTTTTCTTTAAAACATAGCGTGGCCAGGCGTGGTGGCTCACGCCTGTAATCCCAGCACTTTGGGAGGCCAAGGCGGGTGGATCACGAGGTCAGGCATTCGAGACCAGTCTGGCCAACATAGTGAAACCCCATCTCTACTAAAAACACAAAAAATTAGCTGGGCGTGGTGGCAGGCGCCTGTAATCCCATCTCCTCGGGAGGCTGAGGCAGGAGAATTGCTTGAACCTGGGAGGCAGAGGTTGCAGTGAGCCGAGATCGCGCCATTGCACTCCAGCCCTGGTGACAGTGCAAGACTCCATCTCAAAAACAAACAAACAAGACGTGGCACATAGTTCTGTGCACTGTTAGTATTTGGAAAGCATCTTGAAAGATCAATGGAAAGCTAAAACATTCTAAATTTAACATGAATACACTTACTTTTGATTCAGAAAATAAAATCAGATCTTTCAAAATAAAAAAAAAGTGTCGATCACTGTCGAAGTTAGGTGATGGGTACATAGATGTTAATTATGTTTTCTCTACTTTTGCATATTTTTACATTTTATATACAAATCAAAAAGGTGGGATGTGGTGGCTCACATCTGTAATCCCAGCACTTTGGGAAGCCAAGGCAGGAGGATCACTTAAGTGCTGGAGTTTAAGACCAGCCTGAGCAACACAGCGAGACCTTGCCTCTACTTAAAAAAAAAAAAAAAAAAAAAATTACTTAGCTGGGTGTGGTGGCACACACCTGTGGTCCCAGATACTTGGGAGGCTGAGTGGGAGGACTGCTTGAGCACAGGAGTTCGAGGCTGCAGTGAAAGGTCAGGCGCGGTGGCTCACACCTGTAATCCCAGCACTTTGGGAGGCCGAGGTGGGTGATCACTTGAGGTCAGGAGTTCAAGACCAGCCTGGCCAACATGGTGAAACCCTGCCTCTACTAAAAACACAAAAAATTAGCCGGGCGTACGCCTCTAATCCCAGATACTCAGGAGGCTGAGGCAAGAGAATTGCTTGAACCCTGGAGGCAGAGGTTGCAGTGAGCCACTCCAGCCTGGGCAACAGAGTGAGACTCTGTCTCAAAAAATAAAATAAAATAAAAGGCTGCAGTGAGCCACAATCACACTACTGTACTGCAGCTTGGGTAACAGAGTGAGACCCCATCTCTAAAAAAATAAAAAATAAAAATCAAACAAAAAAGATACTCAAAGTGGTGCCAGTAGCCCAGGGATAAGTCAGTGTTACCACCTTCTAAAACAGGTAATACTTTTTATACCTAACACTTCATGATTAAAATTAAGCTAAATAACTCAAAATAGGCTTTCAGCCCACTTTTCTAAAACTTTATACAGTTTTCAAAATAAAGAAATGTGTTTTCTTTTTTTTTTTTTAGATGGAATTTCACTCTTGTTGCCCAGGCTGGAGTGCAATGGCGTGATCTCGGCTCACCACAACCTCCGCCTCCTAGGTTCAAGCGATTCTCCTGCCTCAGCCTCCCAAGTAGCTGGGATTGCAGGCACGCACCACCACACCCAGCTAATTTTGTATTTTTAGTAGAGACAGGGTTTCTCCATGTTGGTCAGGCTGGTCGTGAACTCCCAACCTCAGCTGATCCGCCCACCTCGGCCTCCCAAAGTGCTGGGATTACAGGCGTGAGCCACTGCACCCGGCCAAGAAATGTTTTTGATCTTGGGCCTGTTTATTCTAATCTTGAGTCAATGATTTTGTAGCATGCATCTTCTTAACAAATTCTACTCAGTGTGAGCTGGAGGAAGAATGTGTGTGTCCCTAAACAGCACCAGCATTAGCCAGGTGTGGTGGTGCACGCCTGCAGTCCCAGCTACTCAGGATTGAAGTGGGAGGATCCCTTCGGCCTAAGTGTGCATGGTTGTGGTGAGCTATGATCACACCACTGCACTCCAGCCTGGGTGACAAAGTGAGACCTTGTATTGTGGGCGGCAAGCTACCCAGGTGCCAAGGCAAGAGACTGAGGGCACGAGCTGTTCCAGTATAATAAATAAAATATATAAAGTAAGAATAGTTATACTAGAAATAGATTATAGATATATGTGAATATTATTAATCATTAGTTTGTAGCATTACTCTTTATTCCAATATTATAATAATCTTTGTTCTACAATTATAACCTAGGAAAAACCAGGCCATACAGAGATAGGAGCTGAAGGGACATGGTGAGAAGTGACCAGAAGACAAGAGTGTGAGCCTTCTGTCACGCCCAGACAGGGCCACTAAAGGACTCCTTGGTCTAGTGGTAGCGCCAGTGCCTGAGAAGGCACCCGTTACTTAGCAGACTGGGAAAGGGAGTCTGTCTCCCTTTCCTGGGCGAGCGACAGAAGACTCTGCTCCACCACCTCCTGTGGAAGGCCTGACATCAGTCAGGCCCGCCCGCAGCCATCTGGAGGCGTAAACGTCTCTGTGATGCTGTGCTTCAGCGGTCACGCTCCTGGTCCATTTTCATGTTTCGCCCTGTACACCTGGCTCCGCCTTCTAGATAGCAGTAGCAGAATTAGTGAAAGTACTAACGTCTTTGAAATGCATAGAAGAAATAATGACGTAAGCTCTTCTCTCTCTGTCCGCCTCGGCTACCAAACAGGGAAGGGCCGGCCCCCTGTCCAGTGGACACGTGACTCGCATGACCTTATCTATCATTGGAGGCCACTCACACTCCTTACCCTGCCCCCTTGCCTGTATCCAATAAATAACAGCGCAGCCAGGCATTCGGGGCCACTACGGGTCTCCGTGTCTTGGTAGTAGTGGTCCCCCAGGCCCAACTGTCTTTTCTTCTATCTCTTTGCTTTATGTCTTTATTTCTACGATCTCTCGTCTCCGCACACAAAGAGAAAAACCCACAGGCCCTGTAGGGCTGGACCCTACACTGTCTCAAAAAACAACACAAAACAAAAAATAAAGCAATTATATTTATTGTAATTTATCCAGCATCTAATTGGACTGTAATGGGACAGTCTGGTAACAGCATCTAATAATACTGGAAGCAAAGGTCCTTCCCTCCCTTTTTCATTTTCTACTTAACTATGTGCCTTGAATGGCAACTGTGACAGCATAGGAGAGACGGGCAGCTCCAGGCCCACTCCTTAACAGGTACATCCTAAGCATCCACCCCTCATCCTCTGCCCACTGCTCCCCCGGCAACATCACAGCCTCCTACACTCTCCCACTGCAGGATATAAGCCTTCTTTTGCCTGTGCCCTCCACCTAAGATTCTGTCTCAGGAGGGCAGACTTCAATCGCTTTCTTATCATTCCCTCAGCATCTCATTCTGTAGCCCTTGATTTTTCTAGGGAAACTTCTTCCAAGCCCTACTCCCATCATCTTCGCTACATACTCCAAGTGCTTTGATGCCTACCCGGGAGAAAGCCACCTCTGCCCTCCTATCCAGGCGTCCCCCGCTCCCCTGTCCAGGCATCCTCTGCTCCCCTGTCCAGGCATCCTCCGCTCCCACATCTCAACCAGAAAGTGGGTCAGCATTCTTCTAGGTGCCCGTGAGTATTTCTACACTAACTTAAGCTTTCATTAAAAAGCCTCCATTTTTTATGCTTTTGTTTCTGGCCAAGACGGAACAGACCAGATTTACTTCCCATCTGCAACAACTAAAAAAAAAAAAGAAAACATAGGGAAGCAATGGTTTTCAAGACACTAGACACTGGACGCCAGGCAGTGAAGGGTCCCTGAAAAAAGGAAACAAAAGACAGGAGGGAGCCCTGTAGTTGTCCAGCTTCTGCTGGAAAAGCCAGGCCACAGCCCAAGGAAGAAGAAGCAGTGGAGGCTGGCTGGCAGTCTCTGACTTGAAAAATCAAAACTAGGAGTTCAGGCAGTCCAAGGTAGCTCGAGTTCACAGGCAGAACACCAGAGGGCAGAGCTCACAGCAAATGCTGAAGATCCACACAGGACACCTCCCACTCCAGTCTCCAGCCAAGCACTGATCAGTGCATGTGTGTAAGGAAGGTATTCAAGCCAGGGAAAGCATCACTCAAAAAGATGAGAGGGGCCGGGTGCGGTGGCTCACACCTGTAATCCCAGCACTTTGGGAGGCCGAGGCCGGTGGATCACCTGAGGTCAGGAGTTCGAGACCAGCCTGGCCAACACGGTGAAACTCCATCTCTACTAAAAATACAAAAATTAGCTGGGCATGGTGGCGGGCACCTGTAATCCCAGCTACTGGGGAGGCTGAGGAAGGAGAACTGCTTGAACCCGGAGGCTGCAGTGAGCTGGGATTGCACCACTGCACTCCAGCCTAGGTGACAGAGCGAGACTCCATTTAAAAAAAAAAAAAAAAAAGATGAGAGGGAACAATCCTCAAAGCTCACGCAGAGCCTATTCCTGCCAGTTGCAGTGGAAAACCTTGTAATTCACAAGGCTTTGGACGTAATGCTCAGAAGACGTTTGCCTCAGTGGCAGAGCAAAACTAGCCCTAGACTAAAAATTACTAGGGTTCCACCTAACAAAGCTGAAATGCAAGACCTATCAGAATCAAACTGTTTCCAAGTAATTGAACCTCATCCCAGAACAAAGGTCAAGAATATTTATAGGAACACAAAAATGCTCAGTATCCAACAAGATAAAATTCACAAAGTCTGGGCATCTGATCAAAAAGTTCTAGGCATGCAAGGGAGCAGGAAAAGAAAAATCATAAACCATAATGAGGGGAAAAACAACACAAAACCAACCCAGAAATGACACAGATGAGTTAACAGATAATGCTGGTACAGGGGCTCATGTCTATAATCCCAGCTACTCAGGAGCAAGGTGGGAGAATCACTTGAGGCCTGGAGTTTGAGGTTGCAGTGAGCCAGGATTGCACCACTGCAATCCAGCCTGAGTGACAGAGCAAACAGAACACTGTCTCTAAAAAAATAATAATAAATAAAGAATTGATAAGGACATTTAAATGGTTCTTTTTTTTTTTTTTTTGAGACAGAGTCTTGCTCTGTCGCACAGGCTGGAATGCAGTGGTGTGATCTCAGCTCACTGCAAGCTCCGCCTCCCGGGTTCATGCCATTCTCCTGCCTCAGCCTCCCGAGTAGCTGGGACTACAGGCGCCCGCCACCACGCCGGGCTAATTTTTTGTATTTTTTAGTAGAGACGAGGTTTCACCGTGTTAGCCAGGATGGTCTCGATCTCCTGACCTCATGATCCACCCACCTCGGCCTCCGAAAGTGCTGGGATTACAGGCGTGAGCCACTATGCCCAGCCTAAATAGTTCTTATAAGTGTATCTCATGCCAGGCACGGCGGCTCATACCTGTAATCCCAGCACTTTGGGAGGCCGAGGCAGATGCATCGCCTGAGGTCGGGAGTTCAAGACCAGCCTGGCCAACATGAAGAAACCCCGTCTCTACTAAAAATATAAAATTAGCCAGGTGTGGTGGTGCATGCCTGTAATCCCAGCTACTTGGGACGCTGAGGCAGGAGAATTGCTTGAACCCGGGAGGTGGAGGTTGCGGTGAGCCGAGATTGCGCCATTACAATCCAGCCTGGGCAACAAGAGCAAAACTCCGTCTCAAAAAAAAAAAAAAAAAAAGTATCTCATATGTTCAAGAACCTAAAGGAAAGATTAAGTAAAGACATGGAAGATATACAAAGACCCAAAGAGAATCATAAAAGATTTTTTTTCTTTTTATGCCCACCTTCTAATACCATCACACATAAAAACATTCTTAATCCAAAATAAGGTAGAAAAAGACAAACAGGGAATAAAGAATACACCGTACTTCTGCTGTAAGCCTCTACACGATGACACATTAAGTGGGACCCGCACACAATACAACTTTGGCACTCTTTCCTCATCCCCACCTGATTCCATAACCGTACCAAAACTATCTAAATATGCTGAGTGTCTCCCCCAGCTAACACCTTTGCACACACAGACCCTCTGACTGGAATGCCTTCTTCCCACTTTCTCTATTTGACAAACTCTTGCCTGATCTTCCTATCTGAAGACCATCTATAGCTACCTTTGTCAACTTTCTGAGTCCCTCCTCAGTGCTCTCACAAGACTGTTTATATCTTTCAGAGAATTATAACTCAGTTTTAAATATTTTTATTTTTAATTATGAAATTTTTTAAATATATTGAAGTCTAGAGAAGGACATAATATCCATGTGATGAGACTTAACAAACACTAACATTTGTTTGTATGTGCCTCCTTCTTAAACAAATGTTTCTACGACACTGAGGAACCCAGGAACTCAAGCAATCCCCTTCTTGAGAGACAATCACTAACTTGCAGTATCCGTAATTTCATTATTTTATGACTTATATACCTAAAAATGGTACATTGCTTTAAATACATATTTCAAGTATGACACTTCTCTCATATACCAAGTTCCCATTTATACAGGGTCCTTTTCCAGGCTATCCATTCCACTGGCCTCACAATAAGTCTGAAAACCTGGGCCAGGCACGGTGACTCAAGCCTGTAATCCCAGCACTTTGGGAGGCCGAGGTGGGCAGATCACCTGAGGTCAGGAGTTTGAGACCAGCCTGGTTAACATGGTGCAACCCCGTCTCTACTAAAAATACAAAAAAACTAGCCAGACGTGGTGGTGCATGCCTGTAATCCCAGCTACTCGGGAGGCTTAGGCAGGAGAATCGCCTGAACCCGGGAGGCAAAGGTTGCAGTGGGCCGAGATTGCGCCACTGTACTCCAGCCTGGGCGACAAGAGCAAAAACTCCGTCTCAAAAAAAAAAAAAAAAAGTTTGAAAATCTGTTACAGCAACTCCCTTCTTATTCTTTTTCACACTTGTCTTGGTTATTCTTCACCCTTTACTTTAAAATTTTCTAGTAAAATAAGTAAATGGAACCAAATTGATGAGGAAACAGCAGAGACTGGATCCTGAAACAAGTCCCCCTGGAGCACGCTGAATGGTCAGATGAGCCCAGCTCTAGTAGGACTCCAGGTCCGTCCGTAAGAGCAGAAGCAGGAGAGAGATTGAAAGGCTCATGAGCAGCAGCTGCGGACAGCGGAGCTGGCTTCTCCATTCTGCAGGTTGCCAGCTCCTGACTCTACCATATGCCCTCAAGAAGAAGAGCCAAGAAACACAGTGAAAAGGTGGAGAATCTTCCTCCGGAAAAAGCTTTGCATGAGCATTGGAAGCACTCAGGCCTAGGCTAACTCCAGACACCAGGAATATGAAAGGGAAAAAAAGGAAGCTTGCTCTACTCAGAGATGAACATACTAGAGCACTATAATTCTGAAGTAAAAGCCTTTCTTAACTGTGGCAATGGAGAAGTGCCCAGTCACCCGACTGCTGATTCTCCTGCCACATCCTAAAGCACAGATTGCAACTTAAAGGCCTGCAGAACAAGGCAAGATGCTAAGTGTAAGGAAGGAAGCTGGCGGAAAAGACAGCAGCAGAGTGAAGGCTGCAGCACAAGAGGGCATGGAAGGGAGCAGAGACAGGCCCACCCCAGCAATCACAGCCGTGCAAGGACACAGGGCACCAGCACATGTCTGCTTCTACAAGAAGTGACAAAAATCCACATTTTTTTTAAATCCCCACATCTTCATGTTTATAATTAACTTTTGAACACTATGTGGGCCAATAAAATGCAGGACAAGCTAAATACATCCTCAGGCCACCAGTGGCTAAGGAGCCAGTCTTCAATGACTGCTCTGCCAGAGAGCCAGCCACCTTCTTGCCCTCCACTGACCCGGTGTCTTCGTATGCTTAGGCGGCCAGAATACAACACCTTCAACAGCAGACAATTATTCCTCACAGTTCTGGGGCCTAGAAGTCCAAGGTCAAGGTGCTGGCCAATTAGGTTGCTGAGAAAGCCTGTCTTCCCTGCCCTTAGACCATTGCCTTCTCACTGTGTCCTCACAGCAGGGAGGGTGAGAGCAAGCTCTCTGGTGTATCTTTGTATGAGGGTGTCAGTCCCATCTTGAGAGCCCCACCTGGTGACCTCACGGAACCTAATTATCTCCTAAAGGCCTCCCTCCAAATACCACTAAATGGAACTTAGGATTTCAACATAGGAATCTGGGGTGGACACGACACAATTCAGTCCCTAGCACCCTGCCTGTCTTTGAGCCCTTCCACCAACTAAGGATGGCATGAGGCCTCCATGCAGAGCACGTGCTCTGCAACGGGAACACAGTAAGGACTCAGCGACGGGCTGAGAAGAGCTGACGTCGCTGCACATTCCAAGGTCTTCAAGCTCCCAAGGTAGCAATTCTCCTCCCAGCAGCGGAGGCCCAGCTGGTCTCCCACCAAAGTCTCAGAAAGGTGACTTTAACACACAGCCCCGAGAGATGGCTGTCAGGCCCACGCCAGGCTCAGAAGAGTATCCTCCTGGCTGTTACATAGGATGAAGGCTCAAGTGAAAACTGAAAACCTCCATCTGCTCAACACTAGCAACCATGGCAGCTCTCCCAGTTAAGGACAGAGATGGCCAGCATTATGAGGATGCACCTTCCTCATCACCAGTGCTAAGGGCCCTAGCCCCGACTCCTCCCCTTCCTGGAGCCCAATGCAGACCCTCCAGGCAGCCAGAGAACCTCTTGAGCCAGGGAGGCCTGGCCACATCAGGGCAGTCCCTGACCACAAAGGTCCAGGCATAAAGTCCAGTTTCCATCACTGAGCAGCTCTGGAACCTTGGGCAAGTGCCTGCTGCATGTGCACTGCAGGTAAAAGTGTTGACTCCAAGACAGAGAACAGTCATGACTGCCACCACTGCCCTAGGACAGTGACTAATACCAGATGCCTCCAAGGGGCCTAGAGAGAAAAACAATCAACTGCAGGAAACCAAAGGCCCACCACAGCAAGGCCCTAGTCCGCACCTACGCGCACCACAAGACAGACAGCGCACCTATGCTATATTTGTTGTCAATAATATAATCCTGGGAAAACAAGTACCAGAACAAAGAGTCAAAGGCAGACGAGCAGGGCATACTCTGGGTCCTGGGTCAAAGGAAGACAAGCAGGGCATACTCTGGGCTGAGACTGTTGAAGGAAAAATAGCTGAAGGCAAGCTAGATAAAAAGCATTGTCAAACAAGCAGAAAACAGCACCAAAAAGCAGCAGGGAGGAAACTGGGGCAGTGAACAAAGCTCAAGTCCAAACAAGACGCACAGAAGAAGTAAGAGCCAACAAACTGCCTTTAGGGTTCCAGCAGCCACAGGAGAGTGGCAGTAGCTGGCTTCATCCGTACACTCAAAGCTCAAAGCCTAATGCAGCAGGTAGTTTCCTACCAACCCCCAGTTCACAAGTAAAAAGCAGAGGTCTCAGTAATTACATGACTAGCGCAACGTCATGGGCTAGTAAGTATCCGTTCTAGAACTTGAACCCAGGTTTGGCTGAGAGCAAAGCCCATGTTCTCAGTCTCCATATGATAACCAGATTCTGACTGAGTCAATGAAGAAAAAAAGGAGTTATCAAAGGAAATCCAAAAGGAATGACCAAGATTGAGGGTGATGACAGGAAGGCACTACCCAGGACCGAACTAGTCCAGGAAGGGCATCACAGCAAAGAGCTGAGAAAGGGTCAGAGCAGAGTTCCACAGGCTTAGAGATGGTGGGATCATGAGGAGAGAGAAGTCAAGTCTTCAAAGTGGAGCAGTCAACAGGATGATGAGTGACAGTCAAATTCTTGAAGAGCTCCTAAAGGTCTGACTGTCCACAGTAGCCCAGAGAGAGGACACTGGGCATCAGTCAGTTCATTCAGCAACAAATGTAGCTAATAATGGGACAAACCTAGTCATGCCCCAAGGAACCTGACGTCTAGCAGAGAAAACAGATACTGACAGACTCTACACAGTGCCAAACCTGAGAGAGACTGGTGTGAGCAGCAACAGTGGGCAGAAGCACAGGTCAGCTCCCTGGCTCACACCCAATAGGTGTCCTATCTGTGAGCTCTGACAGTGTAGCTAACTGCCAGCTTCTCTGTGGCTCCTCGGTAAACAGGGATAAAAATACAGATCTCCTGGGCCAGGAATGGTGCCTCACACCTATAATCCCCATGCTTTGGGAGGTCCAGGCAGGAGGATTGCTTGAAGCCAGGAGTTCAAGACCAGCCTGAGCAACACAGAGAGACCCCATCTCTAAAAACCTTTTTTTAAATTAGCCAGGTGTGGTGGCATGTACTTGCAGTCCTAGCAACTCAGGAAACTGAGGCAGGAGGGTCTCTTATGCCTGAGAGTTCAAGACTGCAGTGAGTCATGATCATGTGTTCATACCACTTGCACTTCCAAGTGGGCAGCAGAGGAGACCCTGTCTCTCTTAAAAAAAAAAAAAAAAAAGGCTGAGCATGGTGGCTCACGCCTATAATCCCAGCACTTTGGGAGGCCAAGGCAGGCAGATCATGAGGTCAAGAGATCAAGACCATCCTGGCCAACACGGTGAAGCCCCATCTCTACTAAAAATACAAAAATCAGCCAGGCGTGGTGGCACGCACCTGTAGTCCCAGCTACTTGGGAGGCTGAGGCAGGAGAATCGCTTGAACCCAGGAGATGGAGGTTGCAGTGAGCCGACATTGTGCCATTGCATTCCAGCCTCCATGACAGAGCAAGAGTCCATCTCAAAAAAAAAAAAAAGTGCTGAAAGGGAAAAAAAAAGCTGTTAACCTAGAATTCTGTATCAAGCAAAAATATCCTTTGAAAACAAAAATATAAATAAAGACATTTTAAGACAAACAAAAGCTGAGGGAATTTGTCCTTATCATACCCACATTACAAGAAATCCTGAAGGAAAATAATCCCGGATAGAAATCTGATCTGTAAAAGAAATGAAGAATTTCCCAACTCATTCTATGGGTCCCAGTATTACCTTGATACCAAAACCAAAGACATCAAAAGAAAAGAAAGTCACACACAAATATTTCTTAAGAAGGTAGATGTAAAAAGCCTCAACAAAACACTACCAAACCAAATCCAACCACATATAAAAAGGATTCTACACCATACCACAGGGGATTTAATCCCAAGAATGCAAGCTTGCTTTAACACCCGAAAATCAATTAATTTAACATATCACATGTGGATAAAGGACAAAACACAAGTGATCATCTCAACATACACAGAAAAAGCATCTGACAAAATATAAACCTTTTTCATCATAAAAAAAAACACTCCACAGGCCGGGCATGGTGGCTCATGCCTGTAATCCCAGCACTTTGGGAGGCCGAGGCGGGCAGATCACAAGGTCAGGAGATCGAGACCATCCTGGCTAACACGGCAAACCCCATCTCTACTAAAAATACAAAAAATTAGCCGGGTGCGGTGGTGGGCGCCTGTAGTCCCAGCTGCTCGGGAGGCTGAGGCAGGAGAATGGCATGAAGCCGGGAGGCAGAGCTTGCAGTGAGCGGAGATCACGCCACTGCACTCCAGCCTGGGCGACAGAGCAAGACTCAGTTTCAAAAAAAAAAAAAAAAAAAGACCAGCCTGGCCAACAGGATGAAACCGTGTCTCTACTAACAATACAAACATTAGCTGGGCGTGGTGGCTGGTGCCCATAATCCCAGCTACTCGGGAGGCTGAGGCAGGAAAATCACTCAAACCCAGGAGGTGGAGGTTGCAGTGAGTGGAGATCGCGCCACTGAACTCCAGCCTGGCAATAGGGTGAGACTCCGTCTCAAAAAAAGAGTTGGGGGGGGGGGGGGGGCGGTTCTTTTACACTACTTGGTTTCAGGATATACCATTAAGTTACAATAATCAAGACATCGCGGTGTTAACACAGGATAGAAAATAAACCAATGGAACAGAAAAAACAGAAATAAGCCTGCAGACATGTTTAATTAATTTATAACAAAGGTTCCAATGGAATTGAATGGAGAAGAGAGTCCTTTCAACAAATGATGGCAGAATAATTGCATATCCATATGGAGAAAAATGCATCCTGACCCCACCTCACATCACACACAAAAATTAAAGCAAGATGGATCATACAGAAAAGAGATCAGCAGTTGCTTAGAGAAGGAGGGAAAGGATAGAGTGGAAGGAAAGAATCCCAATGGCGCATGAGGAAATTCTGGGGACAATGAATATGTTTACTATCCTGACTATAGTGACAATTTCACAAATGTATACATATGTCAAAACTTATCAAATTTTATACTTTAAGCATGTATAGTTTATCATATTAATTTTATCTCAATAAAGCTGTTAAAAAGAAAAAGATGGATGACAGACCTAAATACAAAAGCTACCACTGTAAAGCTTCTACAAAAAACACAGGGCAGCATCTACACAACCTGGTGCAGGCAAAATTTTCTTAAGACACAAAATAATCATAACAGAAAAAATTGGTAAATTTTTACTATATCCAAATTAAAATGTTCTGTTCATCAAAAGATACCATTAACAAATAAGAAACAACAAAACAAAATAAACAAACAGGAGCTGGGTACACTGGTTCACACCTGTAATCTGAGCGACTCAGGAGGCTAAAGGTGGAGGATCACTTGAGGTCAGGAGTTAAAGAACACCCTGGGCTACGCAGAGAGACCCCCATCTCTACCAAGAATTTTTTTTTTTTTAAATTATCCAGGTGTGGTGGCTTGTGCCTATGGTCCTAGCTACTTGGGAGGCTGAGGTGGGAGGATTGCTTCCGAAGGTCAAAGCCGCAGTGAGCCACGATCACGCCACTGCACTCCAGCCTAGGCAACAAAGCGAGACCGTGTCTCAAGAAATTAAAATTTAAAAAATTTAAAAAATTAGCCAGGGGCCAGGTGCCAGGTGCGGTGGCTCACACCTGTAATCCCGGCACTTTGGAAGGCCAAGGAGGACGAATCACGAGGTCAGGAGTTAAAGACCACCCTGGCCAACATAGTGAAACCCTGTCTCTACTAAAAATACAAAAAAATTAGCTGGGCTTGGAGGCAGGTGTCTGTAACCCCAGCTACTCGGGAGGCCGAGGCAGGAGAATCACTTGAACCCAGGAGGTGGAGGTTGCAGTGGAGATCATGCCACTGCACTCCAACCTGGGTGACAGTGCAAGACTCCATCTCAAAAAAAGAAAAAAAAAAATTAGCCAGGGAGGCTGAGGTGGGAAGACTGCTTGATCCTAGGAGTTTGAAGCTGCAGTGAGCTATGATCACATTTACTGTACTCCAGCCTGGGTGACAGAGTGAGACCTCATCAAAAAAGAAAGAGAGAGAGAGAGACAGGGAGGAAAAGGGGAAAGGAAGGAAGGGAGGTAGGGAAAGAGAGAGAAAAAAGAAAAAGAAAAGAAAAGAAAGAAGAGGGATGGAGAGAGGGAGGGAAAGAGATGAAAGAGAAAGAGAAAATAAGCAACTAGTATAACAAAAAAAATTCACCCCCTTCCTCTTCCTCCCCTCACTATGTATGTATATGCATATACGCATGCACACACCACAAAGGACTTGTAACCAGAATTTATTTTTGTAAACTCCTAAAAGTGAATAAAAGAACAATCCAATAAACAGTGGGTAAAAGCATGAATAGATATTAATATTTCACAAAAAAATACACGAATGGCCCGTAAGGCACCTGAAAAGTTGCTCACCATCATAATTCATCAGACAAACTCAAATTAAAACCACAGTAAGATACCACTACCGCCTGAATGGCTAAAAGTAAAAAGGCTAAGTGCTGTCATAGGCAAGGAGAAAGGAATTCTCACCCATTACTAGTAGGAGTGTAAAATGTTTCCAGTTTGGAAAACTGGAAGTTTTGTTTTTGCTTTTTTGTTTTTTTTTTGAGACAGAGTCTCCCTCTGTCGCCCAAGCTGGAGGGCAGTGGCACGATCTTGCCTCACTGCAACCTCTGCCTCCCGGGTTCAAGCAATTCTCCTGCCTCAGCCTCCCAAGTAGCTGGGATTATGGCGCCGGCCACCATGGCCGGCTAATTTTTTTATTTTTTGTAGAGACGGGGTTTCACCATGTTGGTCAGGCTGGTCTCGAACTCCCGACCTTGTGATCCACCCGCCTCGGCCTCCTTTAAAGTGCTGGCATATTACAGGCGTGAGCCACCACAACCGGCCGAAAACTGGCAGTTTCTTAAAAAAGTGAAACATACATCTATGTTATAACCCAGCACTTCTACTCCTGTTTACTCAAAAGAAATAACATATGTCCACAGAAAAGACTTGTATTAATGTAAGAATTTTCACCAGCCTGGCCAACGTGGCAAAATCTTGTCTCTACTAAAAATACAAAAAAAAATTAGCTGGACATGGTGGTGTGTACCTGCAGTCCCAGCTACTTGGGAGGCTGAGGTGTGATGACTACCTCAGCCTGGGAAGGTTGAGACTTCTGTGACAACGATCATTCCACTGCATTCCAGCCGAGATGACAGAGTGACACCCTCTCAAAAAAAAAAAAAAAAAGGAAAAATAGACTGTACATTCTGTGTTAAAAAGAAGAGGGAAGGCCGGGCGTGGTGGCTCGCACCTGTAATCCCAGCATTTTGGGAGGCCGAGGCAGGCAGATCACGAGGTCAGGAGATCGAGACCATCCTGGCTAACACGGTGAAACCCCGTCTCTACTAAAAAAATAGAAAAAATTAGCCGGGCGTGGTGGCGGGCGCCTGTGGTCCCAGCTACTCTGGAGGCTGAGGCAGGAGAATGGCATGAACCTGGGAGGCGGAGCTTGCAGTGAGCCGAGATCGCGCCACTGCACTCCAGCCTGAGTGACAGAGCGAGACTCCGTCTCAAAAAAAAAAAAAGAGGGAAATACACTATAGGTATTAAAACATCACTATGTACCCCATAAATATATACAATTATGTGTTATGTGTACACTTTTTAAAAGAGAAAAATTTTTAAAAGCTTTTTTTTTGGTTTTTTTTTTTCCATTTTAAAGAATAAGGCTGTGCCAGGCGCAGTGGCTCACCCCTGTAATCCCAGCAATTTGGGAGGCCGAGGCGGGCGGATCATGAGGTAAGGAGATCGAGACCATCCTGGCTAACACAGTGAAACCCCGTCTCTACTAAAAATAGAAAAAAATTAGCTGGGTGTGGTGGCGGGCACCTGTAGTCCCAGGTACTCAGGAGGCTGAGGCAGGAGAATGGCGTGAATCCAGGAGGCGGAGCTTGCAGTGAGCCAAGATCGCACCACTGCACTCCAGCCTGGGCGACAGAGCGAGACTCTATCTCAAAAAAAAAAGGCCGGGCGCAGTGGCTCACGCTTGTAATCCCAGCACTTTGGAAGGCCAAGGCGGGCGGCCGATCACGAGGTTAGGAGATCGAGACCACAGTGAAACCCCTTCTCTACTAAAAATACAAAAAATTAGCCGGGCGTGGTGGCAGGTACCTGCAGTCCCAGCTACTCGGAGAGGCTGAGGCAGGAGAATGGCATGAACCTGGGAGGCGGAGCTTGCAGTGAGCCGAGATCACGCCGCTGCACTCCAGCCTAGGCTACAGAGCGAGACTCTGTCTCAAAAAAGAAAAAAAAAAAAAAAAAAAGAAGGCTGCTTGCTGTATGTGGATATAACAGGATTTCCAATATAGGAGGAGTATCCCTAAACCAAAAATCGTGAAATTGAAATCCTGGGCCAGGCAAAGTGGCTCACGCCTGTAGTCCCAGTACTTTGGGAGGCTGAGGTGGGAGGATCGCTTAAGTCCAGGAGTTCAGGATCAGCCTGGGCAATAGAGCAAGGCCCTGTCTCCACAAAAAATAAAAAATTAGCCAGGCATGGTGGCAGGCACCTGTAGTCTCAGCTACTCAGGAGCCTGGCAGGTCAAGGCTGTGGTGAGCTGTGACTGTGCCACTGCACTCAACCTAGGTGACACAGAATGAGACTGTCTCAAAAAAAAAAAAAAAAAAGGCTGATCCAGGTGCAGCAGCTTTTACAACTAATTGATCACAACCAGTTACAGATTTGTATGTACGTGTACGAGAGAGAGTCTCACTGTCATCCAGGCTGGAGTGCAGTAGCATGATCTCGGTTCACTGCAACCCCTGCCTCAGCCTCCTGAGTAGCTGCGATTACAGGCGCTTGCCACCATGCCCGGCTAATTTTTGTATTTTTAGTACAGACAGGGTTTAACCATGTTGGCCAGCCTGGTCTCAAACTCCGGACCTCAGGTGATCCACCCACCTCAGCCTCCCAAAGTGCTGGGATTACAGGTGTGAGGCGCCGTGCCCACCTACAAATGTTTGTGTTCCTTTTCCACTCCCAGTGCTTCACTTGACTAGCCAAAAAATAAAAATAAAAAAAGCACTCCAATCCAAAACTTGTTGAGCATCTACATGATGCTCAAAGGACATGCTCACTGGAGCATTTCAGATTCCTTATTGGGGAAGCTCAACTGGTAACTCTGAGAAAATTTGAAATCCAAAACATCTCTAGTCCCAGGCATTTTATTTTATTTATTATTTATTTATTTTGAGACAAAGTCTCGCTCCGTCGCCCAGGCTGGAGTGCAGTGGCATGATCTTGGCTCACTACAATCTCCACCTTCTGGGTTCAAGTGATTCTCCTGCCTCAGCCTCCTGAGTAGCTGGAATTACAGCCACGTGCCACCATGCCCGGCTAATTTTTGTATTTTTAGTAGAGACAGGGTTTCACCATGTTGGCCACGGTGGTCTCAAACTCCGGACCCCAGGTGATCCGCCCACCTCGGCCTCCAAAAGTGCTGAGATTACAGGCATGAGCCACCGCGCCCGGCCTCCCAGTCAGCTTTTCTAAATAAAATTGTATTGGAACATAAACAAGAACACACAAATGCCTGATACATAATCAGTTATCGTTACAATTCCAAAATGTATTCTTTTAATTTTCTTTGTTCTTCCTCTATTCTTCTAGGGAATCTATTAAAATTTTTTAAAAATATTTTTAAAAGTTAGCCTTTCCCTTAACAAAAAAAAAAAAAAAGGGAGAGGCTTTTGAGTCACACTACCTGGGGTACAAATCTTGCCTCTATCATCTACTTGCTGTTTATTTCCATTTCCTCATCTGTGAAATGGAAAACAACACAGGCGTACTTTGTCTAACGTGCTTCCCTTCATTGTGCTTCGCAGGTAATGTGCTTTCTACAAATTAAAGGCTGGTAGCAACCTTGCGTCAAGCACGTCGAGGGGTGCCATTTTTCCAACAGCATGTGCTTACTTCGTGTCTCTGTGTTGCATTCTGGTAATTCTCACAATATTTCAAACTCTTTCATTATTATTTTATCTGTTATGGTGACCTGTTATCGGTGATGTTTGATGTTACTATTTTAATTGTTTTGGGAAACTACAAACCGTGCCCATATAGGATAGCAAACTTAATAAACGCTGCGTAAGTTCTGACCGGCCATTTCCCTGAGTCTCTCCCCCTCTCCTCAGGGCTCCCTACTCCCTGAGACACAACAGTAATAACGTAATAACGTTAGGTCAATTAATCCTGTAGGAAAGGAAGAGTCACATGTCTCTCATTTCGATCAAAAGCTAGAAATGCTTAAGCTTAGTGAAGAAGGCATGTCAAAAGCCGACAGGCCAAAAGCTAGCCCTCCTGCACCAGTTTGCCAAGTTGTGAATGCCAAAGAAAGGTTCTTGAGGGAAATTAAAACTGCTACTCCAGTGAAGACATAAATAATAATAAAGCAAAGCAGCTTTATTGCTGACACGGAGAAGGCTGCTTTCTGTTTGGAGGCAGGTCTTACTCTGTTGCCCAGGCTGGAATGTAGTGGCACCATCACAGCTCACTGCAGCTCTGACGTCCCAGATTCAAGCCATCCTCCTACCTCAGCCTCCCCAGTAGCTGGGACTATAGGCATGCACCACCACATTCAGCTAAACTTTTATTTTGTAGCGATGAGGTTTCACTGTATTACTCAGGTTGGTCTCAAACTCCCGAGCTCAAGCGATCCTCCCCACTCAGCCTCCCAAAGTGCTGGGATTAGAGGTGTGCGCAACCGTGCCTAGCCTGCAGAAAGTTACGTTGTTGTTGTTTTGTGTGTTTTTTTTTTTTGTTTTTGTTTTTGTTTTGAGACAGAGTCTCGCTCTGTCACCAGGCTGGAGTGCAGTGGCGTGATCTTGGCTCACTGCAACTTCCACCTCCTTGGTTCAAGCAATTCTTGTGCTTCAGCCTCCCGAGTAGCTGGGACTACAGGCACGCACCACCATACCCAGCAAATTTTTGTATTTTTAGTAGAGATGGGGTTTCACCATGTTGGCCAGGATGGTCTCCTCCTGACCTCGTGATCCACCTGCCTCAGCCTCACAAAGTGCTGGGATTACAGGGGTCAGACACCGCACCCAATGCCTGCAGAAAGTTTTAATGGTTTGGAGAGAAGACGAAACCAGACTTAAATAGTCTACAGTAAGGCCCTCACTCTTTTCAGTTCTACAAAGGATGACAGAGATGACGAAGCTGCAGAAGAAAAACTGGAAGCTAGCGGAGGTTGTTTCATGAGGTTTAAGAAGCCACCTCCATAACATACTAAAGTGCAAGGTGAAACAGCAAATGCCGGCCGGGCGCGATGGCTCTTGCCTGTAATCCCAGCACTTTGGGAGGCCGAGGCGGAAGGATCACTTGAGGTCAGGAGTTCAAGACCAGCCTGGCCAACATGGTGAAACCCCGTCTCTACTAAAAAATACAAAAATTAGCTGGGTGTGGCCGGGTGCGGTGGCTCACGCCTGTAATCCCAGCACTTTGGGAGGCCGAGGCAGGCGGATCATGAGGTCAGGAGATGGAGACCATCCTGGCTAACACGATGAAACCCCGTCTCTACTAAAAAATACAAAAAAATTAGCTGGGCATGGTGGTGTGCACCTGTAGTCCCAGCTGCTGGGGAGGCTGAGGCAGGAGAATGGCATGAACCTGGGAGGCAGAGCTTGCAGTGAGCCGAGATCGCGCCACTGCACTCCAGACTGGGTGACAGAGCAAGACTCCGTTTCAAAAAAAAAAATTAGCTGGGTATGGCGGCGGCTACCTGTAATCCCAGCTACTCAAGAGGCTGAGGCAGGAGAATCACTTGAACACGGGAACCAGAGGTTGCGGTGAGCTGAGATGGCACCACTGCACTCCAGCCTGGGTGACAGAGGGAGACTCCATTTCAAAACAAAAAACAAAAAACAAAAACAAAACAGCAAATGCTGATATAGAAGTTGTCGCTAGATCTGGAAGATCCAGCTAGGACAATTGATGAAGGAGGCTATGGCAAACAACAGATTTTTCAATACAGATGAAACAGTCTTCTATTGGAAGAAGGTGCCATCTAGGATTTTCATAGCTAGACAGGGTAAGTCAACGCCTGGCTTCAAAGCTTGAGTGCACAGGCTGACTCGCTAATGCAGCTGGTGACTTTTAAATTGAATGCTCATTTATCATTCTGAAAATCCTAGGACCCTTAAGAATTATGCTAAATCAGGCCGAGCGCGGTGGCTCACTCCTGTAATCCCAGCACTTTGGGAGGCCAAGGCGGGCGGATCACTTGAGGTCAGGAGTTTGAGACCAGCCTGGCCAACATGGTGAAACACCATCTCTACTAAAAATACAAAATTAGCTGGGCGCAATGGCACATGCCTGTAATCCCAGCCACTAGGGAGGCTGAGGCAGGAGAATCACTTGAACCTGGGAGGCTTAGGTTGCGGTGAGCCAAGATTGCGCCATTGCACTCCAGCCTGGGCAACAAGAGTGAAACTCTGTCTCAAAAAAAAAAAAAAAAAAAAAAAAAAAAAAACACTGTTGAGACCTACTGCTCAGAAAAAAAAGATTCCTTTCAAAATATTACTGCTCATTGACCATGCATCTAGTCACCCAAGAGCTCTGATTAAGATGTACAAGGAGACTAATGTTGTCATGCCTGCTAACATACTCCATACTGCAGCCCATGGATCAAGGAGTAATTTTTTTTTTTTTTTTGAGACGGAGTCTTGCTCTGTCGCCCAGGCTGGAGTGCAGTGGGGCAATCTCGGCTCACTGCAAGTTGCGCCTCCTGGGTTCATGCCATTCTCTTGCCTCAGCCTCCCAAGTAGCTGAGACTACAGGCGCCCACCACCACACCCGGCTAATTTTTTGAATTTTTAGTAGAGACGGGGTTTCACCGTGTTAGCCAGGATGGTCTCGATCTCCTGACCTCGTGATCTGCCTGTCTCGGCCTCCCAAAGTGCTGGGATTACAGGCGTGAGCCACCGCGCCCAGCCTAATTTTCTTATTATTTCAGAAATACATTTCAGGCCGGTCGCAGTGGTTCATGCCTGTAATCCCAGCAACTTTGGGAGGCCAAGGCAGGCAGATCACCTGAAGTCAGGAGTTCGAGACCAGCCTGGCCAACATGGTGAAATCCCATCTTTATAGAAAATGCAAAAATTAGCCAGGCATGGTGGTGGGCGCCTGTAATCCCCGCTACTCAGGAGGCTGAGGCAGGAGAATCGCTTGAACTCGGGAGGCAGAGGTTGCAGTGAGCCAAGATTGCACCACTGCACTCCAGCCAGGGCAACAAGAGGGAAACTTCGTCTCAAAAAATAAGTAACAGAACTAGAAGTAGAGCCTGAAGATGTGACTGAATTGCTGCAATCTCAGGATAAAACAGATAAGGAGCTGCTTTTAATGAATGAGCAAATAAAATGGTTTCTTTTTTTTTCTTTTTGAGACAGAGTCTTGCTCTGTTGCCTAGGCTGGAGTGCAGTGGCACAATCTTGGCTCAGTGCAACCTCCACCACCTGGGTTCAAGGCATTCTCCTGCCTCAGGCTCCCGAATAGCTGGGATTACAAGCATGCACCACCACGCCTGGCTAATTTTTGTATTTTTAGTAGAGACGGAGTTTCACCATGTTGTTCAGGCTGGTCTCGAACTCCTGACCTCAGGTGATCCACCCGCCTCGGCCTCCCAAACTGATTACAGGCGTGGGCCACCACACCCAGCTGCTTTTTTCTGTTTTTTTTTTTTTTAAGATGGAGTTTCACTCTTGTTGCCCAGAATGGAATGCAATGTTGTGATCTTGGCTCACTGCAACCTCCGCTTCCCGGGTTCAAGCAATTCTCCTGCCTCAGCTGGGATTACAGGCGCATGCCACCACGCCTGGCTAATTTTTTGTATTTTTAGTAAAGACGGGGTTTCACCATGTTGGCCAGGCTGGTCTCGAATTCCTGACCTCAGGTGATCCACCTGCCTCAGCCTCCCAAACTGCTGGGATTACAGGCATGAGCCACTATGCCTGGCCACATTCTGCTTTTGTGGGTGTGCTTTTATTTATTTTTGGCAGAGATGGGGCCTCACTATGTTGCTCAGGCTGGTCTAGAACTCCTGGCCTCAAGTGATCCTCCCGCCTCAGCCTCCCAAAGTGCTGGGATTATAGGCACGAGTCACCACGTCCAGCCCGTTTTTTTTTTTTTTTTTTTTTGAGACAGGGTCTCACGCTGTCGCCCAGGCTGGAGTGCAATGGAGTGATCACAGCTCACTGCAGCCTTGACCTCCCCAGGCTCAGGTGATCCTGCCACCTCAGTGTCCGAGCAGCTGGGACTATAGGCGCACACCACCATGCCCAACTTTTTTTTTTTTTTTTTTTTTTGAGAGGAAGTCTCACTCTTGTCGCCCAGGCTAGAGTGCAATGGCACAATCTCGGCACACTGCAACCTCCACCTCCCAGGTTCAAGCGATTCTCCTGCCCCAGCCTCCTGAGTAGCTGGGATTACAGGCGCCCACCACCATGCCTGGCTAGTTTTTTTTGTATTTTCAGTAGAGATGGAGTTTCACTATGTTGGCCAAGCTGGTCTCGAACTCCTGACCTCAGGTGATCCGCCCGCCTCAGCATCCCAAAGTGCTGGGATTACAGGCGTGAGCCACTGCGCCCGGCCCTGCTTTTTGTTTTTGTAGAGATAGGGTTTTGTCATGTCCCCAGGCTGCCCTGGCCTTAAGTGATGCTCCCACCTCAGCCTCCCAAAGTGCTGGGATTACAGGCGTGAACCACCGCACCCAGCCCATGTGCTTTTAAATAAATAGCCATCCCCAAGGCTTTATACCTTGCCCCCATGATGACAGTTGTATACCTGCGGCTTGGCCTCTCCTCTGGGTTCCAGACCCTCCTGTAAGATACCTTCTCCCTAGTGACCCTCGGACTTCTCAGACTTCCCCTACTTTCAGCCAAGAGAAAGCCTTGCTTTCTACTTCCAAACTGTAGTAACACCCCCAGCCCTGACACCACCCTAATTCAGCTTCCCTATTTCAATAAACAGTGCTACTATCCACCCATTTGTTCCATCAGAAAGCCTAGAAGGGTTGATGGGGCTGGGAGGATAAAAGCAGCCCAGAAATTACCCTGAGTCCATTCATTCTCTCACACCTCTCTTCTCATCTACCAACAAGTCCCAACAGCTCTACCTCCAAAATATCTCCCTAAACCCACCACCAAGTTCTAAACCATTACAATCACTACACCCAGCTCCCAACACTTCATCTCACCCCCACCTGCTGTCCACGTGCCAATGTCCATATGATCATGGCACTCTCCAACTCAATCTCCAGGCCAGGTTTCTCCTACAACTCAGACTGAAGGTCCAACTCCCTACTAACACCTGCAAGGAACGGCTTAATGAGAAAACCAACTTTCCAGCCCAGGCTCCTGCCTCTCTCTCCCTTACCATAAGCACATCAGTCTTATCTAGGTTCCTGGAGGATATCACACCCAAAATTTCCCACTTCAGGGCCTTTGCATGTGCTGTCCTCTCAGCATGGGAGACTCTGTCCCCCAATTTGTCTCAAAGCTAGCTGCCTCTCACATTCCAAAGATTAACTGAAGTGAGTTAGAAAAGTCAAAGGGGAGAGATATATACACCTATTGTGTACCCACAACATTTTAAAGTAAAAAATAAAAACAAAGGGAAGATAAACCAGAAAAAGGGACATCAAAAAGAGGTGAAGAGCCTCTTTCAGTGAACAGTGAACAGTGTCGGCAACTGCAGGGGCAAGGAGAAGCCAAGAGCAGGGCAGAGAGAGGCCATGAGGGAAGGGTGGATGAAAGAACAAGACACAGGAGAAGGGTCTAGAACAAAATCAGTGGGTACAGTGACAAAGAGGGGGCTGCAGTGAAAGGCAGGGACTAAATGGAAGTGACAGACTTGGGGGAGCTGGTGCTGACAGGTCAGGGAATGAGCAGCAAATTGGGAGGAGTCAGTAACAAGAGAGTGGACAAAGCAGGTAGGGAAGCTGCGAGTACACAGAGTGGCAGGTCGGGGGACAGTACGGTGCATGGGGGAAGGTGACAGGCTGAAGGAAGAGATGATGGGGATGGAAGCAACAGGGCAGTGCGGGGTAAGGTGAGGTTAGATGACTGGTGATATCTCAAGCCGTGATGGGGAGCGCGACAGGAAAAGACGAGTAGTGTTGGAAAGGGTTAGGAAATAATGGAAAGGGGAATCAGTGATTGGACAAGAGGGGTGATGACAGCGGGCACTGAAAGTTCTCCCACTGACAGGCAGGAGAGAAGCAGTGGGGAGACACTGACAGGTGGGGTCACTAACAGCAGGGCAGGGTACTAATGGGTCCCTAACAGATAAGGGATGAAGGAGGTAGCATGAAAGGGGACAGGAACTGACAACAGGGGAGAACTGATGGGGAGGATCTGACAGGCACTAACACAGAGGCCGATAGCAAAGAGCGGAAGGGCCACAACAGGCAGGATGAGGGAGACACTTATGAGGGAAACTTACTGACAGTGGGGCTCACTGACAGAGGCACTGGCACTGATGGGGGGCACTGACAGAGAAGATCAATGACAGGTGGGGACATTGCTGACAGAAGGGGTCACAGAGCGCTTGGACTGACAAGGAAGGGCACTGGCAGGGGAGGGATTATGCGGTCAGTGACTGACGGGTACGGGTGGGGGTGCAGGCACTGATGGGAAGTGGGGACATGACAGAAAGAAAATAATTGACTGGGGGGGCACTGGCTGACGGGGGACAGGGATGCGGGACTCTGACTGGGGGACACTGATGGGGAGCAGAGTGGACTGACGGTGGGGGAGCACTGACCAACAGTGGAGGCACTGACCAGTGCGCGGACTGACAGATGCGGAGGCACTGACCGACAGGAGGAGCATGACTTGCAAGGGGCACTGACTGACGGTGGGGGGCACTGATGGGTGGGGTGGGGACTGATGGGTGAGGTGCAATGACTAGCTAGCAGGGGACACTGACTGGTGCAGGAAGCACTGACTGGTGTAGGGTGGGGGAACAGAAGGAGGGCACTGACTGGGGGGGCACTGACTGACTGGGAGGGAACTGACTGGAGGGGGCCCTGACTTGGGAGGAAACTGACTTGGGGGGCACTTACTGGAGGGGAACTGACTGGAGTGGGCACTGACTGGGGGCACTGATTTGGGGGGCACTGACTGGAGGGGGCACTGACGGGGGAACTGATTGCGGGGGGAACTGACTGGGGGGGCACTGACTGAGGGGAACTGACTGGGGGACACTGAAGGGGGCACTGACTGGGGGGAACTGACTAGGGGATGCACTGACTGGGGAGAACTTACTGGAGGGGCACTGACTGGAGGGGACAGTGACTGACTTGGGGGGGGCACTGACTGGGGGGCACTGACTGACTGGGGGAACTGACTGGAGGGGGAACTGACTGACTTGGGGGGCACTGACTGGGGGGCAACTGACTGGGGGAACTGACTGGAGGGGGCACTGACTGGGTGGGTCACTGACTGGAGGGTTCACTGACTGGGGGGAACTGACTAGAGGATGCACTGACTGGGGGGAACTGACTGGAGGGGGGCACTGACTGGGGGGGAACTGACTGGAGGGGGCACTGACTGGGTGGGTCACTGACTGGAGGGTTCACTGACTGGGGGGAACTGACTAGAGGATGCACTGACTGGGGGGAACTGACTGGAGGGGGGCACTGACTGGGGGGGAACTGACTGGAGGGGGCACTGACTTGGGGGGCACTGACTGGGGGGAAACTGACTGGAGGGGGCACTGACTGGGGGGGGGAACTGACCGGGGGGGGGGAACTGACTGGAGGGGGCACTGACTAGGGGGGCACTGATGGGGGGAACTGACTGGAGGGGGCACTGACTGGAGGGAAACTGACTGGGGGGAAACTGACTGGGGGGGAACTGACTGGAGGGGGCACTGACTGGGGGGAAACTGACTGGAGGGGGCACTGACTGGAGGGGGCACTGACTGGGGGGCACTGACTGGAGGGAAACTGACTGGGGGAAAACTGACTGGGGGGAACTGACTGGAGGGGGCACTGACTGGGGGGAAACTGACTGGAGGGGGCACTGACTGGAGGGGGCACTGACTGGGGGGCACTGACTGGAGGGAAACTGACTGGGGGGAAACTGACTGGGGGGAACTGACTGGAGGGGGCACTGACTGGGGGAACTGACTAGAGGGTGTACTGACTGGGGGGGGGAACTGACTGGAGGGGGCACTGACTGGGGGGGGAACTGACTGGAGGGGGCACTGACTGGGGGAAACTGACTGGAGGAGGCACTGACTGGGGGGGAACTGACTGGAGGGGGCACTGACTGGGGGAACTGACTGGAGGGGGCACTGACTTGGGGGGGAACTGACTGGAGGGGGCACTGACTGGGGGGAATTGACTGGAGGGGGCACTGACTGGGGGGCACTGACTGGGGGGAAACTGACTGGGGGGGCACTGACTGGGGGGAACTGACTGGAGGGGGCACTGACTGGGGGAAACTGACTGGAGGAGGCACTGACTGGGGGAAACTGACTGGAGGAGGCACTGACTGGGGGAAACTGACTGGAGGAGGCACTGACTGGGGGGAAACTGACTAGAGGGGGCACTGACTGGGGGGGAACTGACTAGAGGGGGCACTGACTGGGGGGGAACTGACTAGAGGGGGCACTGACTGGGGGGGAACTGACTAGAGGGGGCACTGACTGGGGGGGAACTGACTAGAGGGGGCACTGACTGGGGGGGGAACTGACTGGAGGGGGCACTGACTGGGGGAAACTGACTGGAGGAGGCACTGACTGGGGGAAACTGACTGGAGGAGGCACTGACTGGGGGGGAACTGACTGGAGGGGGCACTGACTAGGGGGAATTGACTGGAGGGGGCACTGACTGGGGGGCACTGACTGGGGGGAAACTGACTGGGGGGGCACTGACTGGGGGGAACTGACTGGAGGGGGCACTGACTGGGGGAAACTGACTGGAGGAGGCACTGACTGGGGGGAATTGACTGGAGGGGGCACTGACTGGGGGGAATTGACTGGAGGGGGCACTGACTGGGGGGCACTGACTGGGGGGAAACTGACTGGGGGGGCACTGACTGGGGGGGAACTGACTGGAGGGGGCACTGACTGGGGGAACTGACTGAAGGGGGCACTGACTGGGGGGGGAACTGACTGGAGGGGGCACTGACTGGGGGGAATTGACTGGAGGGGGCACTGACTGGGGGGCACTGACTGGGGGGCACTGACTGGGGGGAAACTGACTGGGGGGGCACTGACTGGGGGGAACTGACTGGAGGGGGCACTGACTGGGGGAAACTGACTGGAGGAGGCACTGACTGGGGGAAACTGACTGGAGGAGGCACTGACTGGGGGAAACTGACTGGAGGAGGCACTGACTGGGGGGAAACTGACTAGAGGGGGCACTGACTGGGGGGGAACTGACTAGAGGGGGCACTGACTGGGGGGGAACTGACTAGAGGGGGCACTGACTGGGGGGGGAACTGACTGGAGGGGGCACTGACTGGGGGAAACTGACTGGAGGAGGCACTGACTGGGGGAAACTGACTGGAGGAGGCACTGACTGGGGGGGAACTGACTGGAGGGGGCACTGACTGGGGGGAAACTGACTGGAGGGGGCACTGACTGGGGGGGAACTGACTGGAGGGGGCACTGACTGGGGGGCACTGACTGGGGGGAAACTGACTGGGGGGAAACTGACTGGGGGGGAACTGACTGGGGGGGAACTGACTGGAGGGGGCACTGACTGGGGGAACTGACTAGAGGGTGCACTAACTGGGGGGGAACTGACTGGAGGGGGCACTGACTGACTTGGGGGGGGCACTGACTCCGGGGGCACCGACTGGGGGGAACTGACTGGAGGGGGAACTGACTGACTGGGGGATAACTATCTGGAGGGGGCACTGACTGACTCGGGGAGAAGTGACTTGGGGGGCACTGGCAGACTGGGGGCCGGGTCTGAGCGGCGGGCGGCCGCACTCACCTGCCCTGCGGGCCGGGCGTCGCGGCAGCTCTTCGGAGGCCCGTGTGGAGGCCCGAGCGGAGGCCAGGGCGCTGGTGGAGGCAAAGCCCGGGCGGCCTCGGGCGGGCCGCACACACATGGGCCCGGCCGAGGGCGCAGCGCCTACGGACACCGGCACGGCCGGCCGGCGGCTCGAGACCGACTCGGGGCCGCGGGCGGCACTCCGATCGCTCCAAAATGGCGGCGGCGGCGCACGGGCACGCGCTCCGGGGGCGGGGTCTCCGCTTGGGGCGCGCACGCTCGCGGCCGGGGGCGGGGCCGCGCGGGTGGGCGGGGCCGGGACCTGGGCCGGCTCTCCGGGCCCCCTGGAGTGGGGCACTCGGTGAAACCCGCGTGGGAGCACGAGGGCTTGGGTGTGCTGACTGCTGCCTTGGAGTGGGTGGGGTAAGAGTGCGTCTTTCCCCTTTTACGTTTCCCTTTGAGGTATTGGCTAAAGTTTTGTGCAAGCATAGTTAATTTTGTTGTAGCCACAAAACAATCCTCGCGTGGCCCGACGCAGCATTTGAGAGACACACACCTGGGGCAGGGGTTTCCCCCGTGGCCCAGGAAAGGGCCTGTTCTCCCGGGCCTCCCTCCTGCCACAGGCCCCTCCCAGAGGCCGCGGGGCGTGGACGCCCCGAGCAGCAGGAGCGGGCTCAGCCCCGGGCGCCAGGCCTGGCCCCTCCCCGTCCCGCGTCCTGCCTGGACCCGGAGTGCCTGAGCCGCCTCCAGACAGTTTTCTCCAGGTGCGCTACGGGTTCTTGCACGGCGTTTTGCAAATTAAGTATGTGCCTATTTAACAAGTGCTGGAATTGTTTAATTCCATCAAAATAATTTCAAAAATGATTACTATTATTTCAGATGTTAGAGCGAGCCGTGGGTAAATGTTGGGAAAACATGGAGCACTTAAGGGATCTCTAAACGTTTTTTCCAGTTGTCAGTGTATTGCCCAGGATTCACCGATGCTCTCTGCGAAAGCGTATCTGGGCGGCTCAAATATTCGGTATTTCTCTTTTGCCAGCTGGCGCTGTTAGGCTTTGTCGGTAGAGGGCGCCAGAGACGTTGCAGGAGAAAAGGGCTTGGCCCTGCGGCTGGCGGCCCCGGGCTTCCCCGACGCCTGTCCCCTGCCCTGGTCAGCAGCACCCTCCTCGCCGGTTTTATAGCAGATGCCTCTGGCGAGCCTTTCCCCAGCAAAAGCTTTTCCCCTAGCATCCTAAGGGGCAGATTTCTGGCAGGTTCCGTTGAGGGAACTTCCAGGAAGTGGGGGTGAAAAAGCCTCAGCCTCACAACCTAGAGAAGAGACACCCTGCGTTCAGCAGGCTATGCCCTTCTCCTGCCCTCACCATGGTCTCCTTTGCAGGAGCGGGAGGTGCTGCTGAGTTGAGCTACGGAATGGGGACTGGGGCCAGGGGCACCAGATGCAGGAGATGCTCCTGCTGCCGTGAGCACGTGCAACTCTGCCTGATCTTGATACCCCTCCTGTGCTCAGCCAGTGCAACTGGGGTGAGCAGGAGCCCCTCTCCTCCTCTTTTTTTTTTTTGAGACGGAGTCTCGCTCTGTCGCCCAGGCTGGAGTGCAGTGGCGCGATCTCGGCTCACTGCAAGCTCCGCCTCCTGGGTTCACGCCATTCTCCTGCCTCAGCCTCCCGAGTAGCTGGGACTACAGGCGCCCGCCACCGCGCCCGGCTAATTTTTGTATTTTTAGTAGAGACGGGGTTTCACTGTGTTAGCCAGGATGGTCTTGATCTCCTGACCTCGTGATCCGCCCGCCTCGGCCTCCCAGAGTGCTGGGATTACAGGCCTGAGCCGCCGCGCCCGGCCAGCCCTCTCCTCCTCTCTCACCCACACTGGATTCATCACTGCAACATGTGGTAGCTCCACTACCAACATTCTGGTTCAAAACCAGTTTCTCTCTCCTGACTCCTGAGACCTACAGGGGCCCCCTGCTTCTATCCTGGAGTACTTGCTGTAGGTCAGCTTGCTGTAATCAGCAAAGCACCCAGAGGGGTCCAGTTAAAACAGATCCGATTGCCTGGGCACGGTGGCTCACACCTGTAATCCCAGCACTTCAGGAGGCCTAGGCAGGAGGATCGCTGGAGCCCAGGAGTTTGAGAACAGCCTCGGCAACAAGTGGGGCCCCTGTCTCTACAAAAAATTAAAAAACTAGCCAGGTGTGGTGATGAGCCTGTGGTCCCAGCTACTTGGCCGACTGAGGCGGGAGGATTGCCTGAGCCCAGGTAGTTGAGGCTTCAATGAGCTATGATGTTGCCACTTCATTCCAGCCCGGGTAACAGAACAAGACCATGTCTCAAAAAAATAAAGGGACAGGCGCGGTGGCTCACACCTGTAATCCCAGCACTTTGGGAAGCCGAGGCGGGTGGATCATTTGAAGTCAGGAGATCGAGACCAGCCTGGCCAACATGGTGAAACCCGGTCTCTACTAAACATATAAAAAATTAACCAGGCGCGGTGGCGGGCGCCTGCAGTCCCAGCTACTCGGGAGGCTGAGGCAGGAGAATCACTTGAACCCGGGAGGTGAAGGTTGCAGCGAGCCAAGATCACGTCACTGCACTCCAGCCTGGGCGACAGAGCGAGTCATTTATTTCATTTAATGAAATGAAATGAAATAGGTCACATCACATCTTCCCTACCCCTAGGAGCTCTTGCCTCACAGGCTGAACGACAAAGTCCCTGCTGTTGCCCACAGGGCCCTACATGACCTGAGCTCACCTCTCCTACTCCCCTTGCTCATGGCTCCCATCCCGATGACCTCCCGCCGTTGGCTGCTGCTGTCCCTGCATCCCCGCAGGGCCTTCCTTGGTCATTGCTGTGCTTAGGAGTGGCCTCTGGGACCTTGACTGCACTGTGCCCTTCCCTGTGGGGGTTTCCCTGGTCACTGTTTCAACTCACAATCATACGCACACACCACACACCACACACACACACCACACACCACATACCACACACACTACATACCACACACACGCGACACACACACCACATACCCCCCACACACACCACACACACACCACACCCTACACACACCACACACACCCGAGACACACACCACATACCACACACACACCACATACCACACACACCACACACACCACACACACCCTACACACACACCACACACACCACATACCATACACACCACATACCACACACTCCATACCACACACACACCACATACACACCCTACACACACCACACACACCCGAGACACACACCACATACCACACACATACCACATACCACACACACCACACACACCCTCCACACACACCACACACACCACATACCATACACACCACATACCACACACTCCATACCACACACACACCACATACACACCCTACACACACACCACACGCCCTACACACACCACACACTGTACACACCACACACTGTACACACACCACATACCACACATACTACATACCACACACACCACACACACATCACACACCACACACCACACCCTAAACACACACCACACACCCTACACACACACTACATACCACACACACGCCACATAACACACACTACATACCACACACACCACACAACACACACACACTACATAACACACACACCACACACCCCACACACACACCACATACCACACACACCACACACCCCACACACACACCACACCACACACACACTACATACCACACACACACCACACACCACACACACTACATACCCCACACACCACACACACATACCCCACACACACCACACACACACCACATACCACACACACCACACACCACCACATACTATATACCACACACACAACACACACCCTACACACACCACACACTACACACCAATCACACCACACACAACACACACTCGAAACATACACCACACACCCTACACACACACCACATAACACACACTACATACCACACACACCGCACACACCATACCACACACACCACACACACACTACATACCACACACACCACACACACACCACACACACACCACACACCACATACCACACACACCACACACACAACACACACCCTATACACACCACACACTACACACACACCAATCACACACCACACACAACACACACCGTAAACACACACCACACACCCTACACACACACCACATACCACACACACACTACATACCACACGCAAGCCACACACACCACATACCACACACTACATACCACACACACCACACACACTACACCCACAACACACACCACATACCACACACAACACACACCCTACACACACCACACAATCACACAACACACACAACACACACCGTAAACACACCACACACCCTACACACACACCACATACAACACACACTACATACCACACGCACACCACACACACCACATACCACACACACACCACAAACCACACACACTACATAACACACACTACATACCACACTACATACCACACACACCACACACCACATACCACATACACCACACCACATAACACACTACATACCACACACACACACCACACACACACACCACACACCACATACCACACATACTACATACCACACACACACCACACACCCTACACACCCACCACACCCTACACACCCACACACACCACATACCACACACACTACCACACACACCACACATACCCCACATAACACACACACTACATACCACACACATCACACACCACACACCACACACACACCACACACCCTACACACACACACACCAGACACCGTACATACACACCACACACACCACATACCACACACACTACCTACCACACATACCACATAACACACACACTACACACCACACACACACCACACACCCTACACACACCACACACACCACATACTACACACACACCACATACCACACACACTACATACCACAGACACCACACACCATATACCACACATACTACATACCACACACACCACACACCACAAACACACACCACACCAAACACACACACTACATACCACACACACCACACACCCTACACACACACCGCACACACACACTACACACACCACATACCACATACACTACATAACACACACATAACACACACTACATACCACACACCACACACTCTACACACACCACACACCCTACACACACATACCACACACACCACATACCACAGACACTATATACCATACACACACCACACACCATATACCACACACACTACATATACCACACACACACCACACACCACACACACACCACACACTACACACCACAAACACACCACACACTTCACACGCACCACACATAGACACAAACACACCACACACACACACCAACACACCACACACACCCCCGACACACACTATACCCACACAGCACACACACACCTCACACATCGCACACACATACCACACACACTACATACACATGCACGCACATGCACACACACCACATACCACACACCACACACACTACACATCACACACACCACACACACCACACACATCACACCACACATACACAAACACACCACACATACCCCCCACACACACTATACCCACACAACATACACACCCTACACAGCACACACACCCACACACACCACACACATCACACACACATGCACACACCCCACACACCACACACACTACACCACACAGACCACACACACCACACACCACACATACACCACACACAGACACACCAACACACCACACACACCCCACACACACACTGTACCCAGATAGCACACATGCCCCACACAGCACACACACACCCACACACACACCATACACATCGTGCACACTCCACATACCACACACACTACATACCACACAGTACACATATACCACACCGCACACACACCACACCACATATGGCACACACACACACACCACACACACCACACACACACTATACCCACACAGCACACATACCGCACACAGCACACACACCCCCAACACACCACACATCGCACACACACTACACAGACACACAGACCCCACACACACCACACATCGCACACACTATACACACACGCACACACCCCACACACCGCACACACACCACACATCGCAGACAAACACTACACACACTACATACCACACACACCACACACGTACCGCACACACACACCCCACACACACCACACATCGCACACACACACTACACACACACACCCCCCACACAGCACACACACACCCACACACCACACATCGCAGACACACACACCACACACACATGCAGGCGCACACACACACCCCCACATACCACACACCACACATGTACCACACACACTGCACACACACCACACACACACACCAATACACCACACACATACCCCACACACACTATACCCACACAGCACACACGCACACACCCCACACACACCACACATCGCACACACACACTGTACACACAGACACACCACACACACACACACACACACACTCTCTTCATCACCACCTTCCCTGCTTGGTTTTTCCTCCTTCAAAATTGTATCACTAGTTATGGTTCAATAAAGGGACAGAGACCACACAATGATTTCAACAGGGAAAGTTTGATATAAAAATATTATCAACAAGAGGGGATTAATTATAAAGTAATGAAGTTAAGTTTGTGTTCAAGAAAGGACAGTCTAGCCTGGGCAACACAGCGAGAGCCTGTCTCTACAAAAATTTTTAAAATTAGCTGGGCATGGTGGTGCACGCCTGTAGTCCCAGCTACTCTGGAGGCTGAGGTGGGAAGATTGCCTGAGCCCTGGAGGTCGGGGCTGCAGTGAACTGTGACCACGCCACTGTACTGCAACCTGAGTGACAGAGCAAGACCCTGTCTCTAAATTAATTAATTAAAATAAAGAAGGAACAGGCCAGGTGTGGTGGCTTACACCTATAATCCCAGCAATTTGGGAGGCTGAGGCAAGAGGATCACTTGAGGCCAGGAGTTTGAGACCAGCCAGGACAATACGGTGAGACCCAGTCTCTAAAAAAAAATTTTTCTCTACTAAAAACACAAAAATTAGCTGGGCATGGTGATGCACGACTGTAGTCCCAGCTACTTGGGAGGCTGAGGCAGGAGAATCACTTGAACCCGCGAGTGGAGGGTGCAGTGAGCTGAGATCGCGCCTTCGCACTCCAGCCTGGGCAACAAGAGCGAAACTCCATCTCAAAATAAAATAAAATAAAATAATGACCCTGCTGATAAAAGTTGGAGAAGACCTAAATAAGTTGACAGACATGTCATATTTTTGGTTAAAATTGGTTTAAAAATTCAGGCTGGACGCGGTGACTCACACCTGTAATCCCAGCACTTTGGGAAGCCGAGGTGGGTGGATCATGAGGTCAGGAGATCGAGACCATCCTGGCTAACATGGTGAAACCGCGTCTCTACTAAAAATACAAAAACAAAATTAGCCGGGCATGGTGGCAGGCGTCTGTAATCCCAGCTACTCAGGAGGCTGAGGTGGGAGAATGGCGTGAACCCAGGAGGCAGAGCTTGCAGTGAACCAAGATTGTGTCACTGCACTCCAGCCTGGACGATAGAGCAAGACTCTGTCTCAAAAAGAAAAAAAACATTCAACATTGTGGCTGGGTGCAGTGGCTCACGCCTGTAATCTCAGCACTTTGGGAGGCCAAGGCAGGCGGATCACGAGGTCAGGAGCTCGAGACCAGCCCGGCCCACATGGTGAAACCTCATCTCTACTAAAAATACAAAAAAATTAGTCGGGCGTGGTGGCAGGTGCCTGTAGTCCCAGATACTGGGGAGGCTGAGGCAGGAGAACGGCGTGAACTCAGGAGGTGGAGTTTGCAGTGAGCCAAGATTGCGCCACTGCTCTCAAGCCTGGGTGACAGAGCGAGACTCCATCTCAAAAAAAAAAAAAAATTAGTTGGGTGTGGTGGTGCGCACCTGTAGTCTCACCTACTCGGGAGGCTGAGGCAGGAGAATCACCTGAACCCAGGAGGTGGAAGTTGCAGTGTGCCGAGATTGGACCACTGCACTCCAGCCTGGCGACAGAGTGAGACTTCGTCTCAAAAACAAAACAAAACAAAACAAAACAAAAAACAAGGGCCAGATGCGGTGGCTGTCACCTGTAATCCCAGCACTTTGGGAGGCCGAGGCGGGCAGATCACAAGGTCAGTTTGAGACCAGTCTGGCCAATATGGTGAAACCCCGTCACTACTAAAAATACAAAAATTATGGCTGGGCGCGGTGGCTCACACCTGTAATCCCAGCACTTTGGGAGGCCAAGGCAGGTGGATCACCAGGTGAGGAGATCAAAACCACCCTGGCTAACACGGTGAAAACCCATCTCTACTAAAAAAAAAAAAAAAAAAAAAAAAAATTAGCCGGGTGTTGTGGCGGGCACCTGTAGTCCCAGCTACTCAGGAGGCTGATGCAGCAGAATCGCTTGAACCTGGGAGGCGGAGGTTGTGGTGAGCCGAGATTGCGCCACTGCACTCCAGCCTGGGCGACAGAGCGAGACCCTGTCTCAAAAATAAAAACAACTCAACATTGTTAAGATAGCAATTCTCCCCCAAATTGATCTGTGGATCCAATGTAATCTCTGGCAAAATCTCAGCAGGTGTTTTTTATTTGTTTGTTTGTTTTTTGACACAGAGTCTCACTCTGTTGCCCAGGCTGGAGTGCAGTTGGTGCGATCTTGCCTCCTGGGTTCAAGCGATTCTCCTGCCTCAGTCTCCTAAGTAGCTGGGACTACAGGCACGCGACACCACACCCAGCTAATTTTTTGCATTTTTAGTAGAGACAGAGTTTCACCATGTTTGCCAGGCTGGTCTTGAACTCCTGAGCTCAAGTGAGCCACCCACCTTGGCCTCCCAAAGTGCTAGGATTATAGGCGTGAGCCACCGCACCTGGCTTCAGCAGGTGTTTTTGTTGGTGGTGGAAATTGACAAGCTAATACTGAAATCTGTATAGATATGCAAATGATCAAAATTGTGGGCGGCAAGCCACCCAGGTGCCAAGGCAAGAGACCAAAGAAACAAGCTGTTCCAGTATAATAAAGGAAACATATACGACGAGAAGCTATACTAGAAATAGATTATATATATGATTATATATGAATATTACTAATTATTAGCTTATAGCATTACTCTTTAATCCAATATTATAATAATCTTTGTTCTACAAGTATAACCTAGGAAAAACCAGGCCATACAGAGATAGGAGCTGAAGGGACACGGTGAGAAGTGACCAGAAGACAAGAGGGTGAGCCTCTGTCACGCCCGGACAGGGCCTCTAGAGGACTCCTTGGTCTAGCGGTAACGCCAGAGCCTGGGAAGGCACCTGTTACTCAGCGGACCAGGAAAAGGAGTTAGAGAAGACTCTGCTCCACCACCTCTTGTGGAAGGCCTGACATCAGTCAGGCCCGCCCGCAGCCATCCGGAGGCCTAAACGTCTCTGTGATGCTGTGCTTCAGCGGTCACGCTCCTAGTCCACTTTCATGTTCCGCCCTGTACACCTGGCTCCGCCTTCTAGATAGCAGTAGCAAAGTTAGTGAAAGTATTAAAGTATTTGATCTCTCCAAGAAATACATAAAAGAAATAATGACGTTACCTGTCCTCTCTCTCTCTCCACCTTGGCTACCAAATAGGGAAGGGCCCCCTGGCCCATGGACACGTGACTCGCGTGACCTTACCTATCATTGGAGACAACCCACACTCCTTACCCTGCCCTCTTGCCTTGTAAACAATAAATAACGGTGCTGCCAGGCATTCAGGGCCACTACCGGTCTCCATGTCTTGGTGGTAGTGGTCCCCAGGGCCCAGCTGTCTTTTCTTCTATCTCTTTGTCTTGCGTCTTTATTTCTACGATCTCTCGTCTCCACACACAAAAAGAAAAACCAACAGGCCCTGTAGGGCTGGACCCTACACAAAATAGTCAAAACAATTTTGAAAAAGAGCAAAGCTGGGGCCAGGCGCGGTGGCTCATGACTGTAATCCCAGCACTTTGGGAGGCCGAGGTGGGCGGATCACGAGGTCAGGAGATCGAGACCATCCTGGCTAACACGGTGAAACCTGTTTCTACTAAAAACAAAAATTAGCCGGGCGTGGTGGCAGGCGCCTGTAGTCCCAGGTACTCAGGAGGCTGAGGCAGGAGAATGGCGTGAACCCGGGAGGCGGAGCTTGCAGTGAGCCAAGATTGTGCCACTGCACTCTAGCCTGGGCGACAGAGCGAGACTCCGTCTCAAAAAAAAAAAAAAAGAAAAAGAACAAAGCTGGAGGACTTACACTACGTGATCTCAAAACTTACTACAAAGCTAGAATAATGAAGACAGGACAGAATTAGTATAAGGAAAAGCATATAGATCAAGGGAACAGAATAGAGAATTAAAAAAAACCCTCACAATTATCATCGATTGATTTTTTTAACAGAAGTGCTAAGTTTATTTATTTATTTATTTAGAGATGAGGTCTCACTCTGTTACCCAGGCTGGAGTGCACTGGTGCGATCACAGCTCACTACAGTCTCCACCTCCTGGGCTTAGGTGATCCTCCTGCTTCAGCCTCCCAAGTAGCTGAACCACCACACCTCGCTCCTAAGTCAATTTTATGGGAAAACAATATATTTTCAACAAATGGTATTGGAAAAACTGATTATCTATATAAAAAAAGAATTTAGGACTGGTTGTGGTGGCTCAGGCCTGTAATCCCAGCCCATGGGGAGGCAGAGGCGGGTGGATCACGACGTCAAGAGATCAAGACCATCCTGGCCAACATGGTGAAACCCCGTCTCTACTAAAAATACAAAAATTAGCTGGGCGTGGTGGTGCGTGCCTGTAGTACCCACTACTTGGGAGGCTAAGGCAGGAGAATCGCTTGAACCCAAGAGGTGGAGGCTGCAGTGAGCCAAGATCACGCCATTGCACTTCAGCCTGGTGACAGAGCGAGACTCCATCTCAAAAAAAAAAAAAAAAGGATTTAAACCTTATCTCCTTATCTCATACCATACACAAAAATTAATTCAAAGTGAATCACAGACCTAAATATAAGAGCTAAAAATCTTCTAGAAGAGGCTAGGCGCAGTGGCTCACGCCTGTAATCCCAGCACTTTGGGAGGCTGAGACAGGCGGATCACGAGGTCAGGAGATCAAGACCATCCTGGCTAACACAGTGAAACCCCGCTTCTACTAAAAATACAAAAAATTAACCAGGTGTGGTGGTGGGCACCTGTACTCCCAGCTACTCAGGAGGCTGAGGCAGAAGAATGGGGGGGTGAACCTGGGAGGCGGAGCTTGCAGTGAGCCAAGATTGCACCACTGCACTCCAGTCTGGGCAACAGAGCAAGACTCCATCTCAAAAAAAAAAAAAATCTTCTAGAAGAAACATAAAAAGTATTATTTGACTTAGGACCTTAGGTTAAGACATTTCTTAGATATGACACCAAAACCATAATCCATGAAAGAAAATGGTACATTAGATTTCATCAGAATTATAATATTTGATCTTCAAAAGATGCCATTAAGAAACATAAAAGATACCTGGGTGTGGTGGCATGCACCTGTAATCCCAGCACTTTGGGAGGCTGAGGTAGGAAGATTGCTTGAGCCCAGGAGTTCAAGACCAGCCTGGGCAACATGGCAAAACCCTGTCTCTCCAAAATAAATAAAATAAAATAAAATAGGGCCGGATGCAATGGCTCACGCCTGTAATCCCAGCACTTTGAGAGGCCAAGGCGGGTGGATCACAAGGTCAGGAGTTCAAGACCAGCCTGGCCAATATGGTGAAACCCCGTCTCTACTAAAAATACAAAATTATCCAGGAATGGTAGCATGCATCTGTAATCCCAGCTACTCGGGAGGCTGAGGCAGGAGAATTGCTTGAACTCGGGAGGCAGAGGTTGCAGTGAGCTGAGATCACATAATTGCATTCCATCCAGTCTAGGTGACATAAGCGAGACTCTGTCTCAAAAAAAGAAGTTAAAAAAAATAGGCAAAAAAGCTGCATAAACATTTTTTTAAAGAAGCTAACACAAATGACTTAGGAGCACATAAGATGCTCAACACCATTAATCATCAGGGAAATGCCAAACTCGCCCACAAGAAAGTACCACTGCAGACCCCCTCGAACGGCTGGAACAATAATACTAAGCGTTGGGGAGGATGTGGAGAACTGGAACCTTTATACATTCCTAGTGGAAATGTAAAACTGTTCGGAAAAGTTTGATAATTTCTCCAACATTTGAATATAAACTTACCATACAGCCCAATACTTTCACTCCTACATATCTATGCCAAAAAAATGGAAACGTGTGTCCACACCGAGACTTGTACACAAATGTCACAGCAGCATGAGTCATAATAAGCAAACACTGGAAATAATCCAAATGTCCTTCAAATGGTAAATGGACACGAAAACATCATATAAAATACTATTCACGAAAGGAATGAACTACTGGTACATGCAACAACATGCATGACCTCAAAAACATAACGTGAGGCACAAGAAACCAGGCAGAATAAACTAGATCGTCCATGCAGTAGTTTCCGGTTGCTGCTGACACAGGTCCCCACACACGTCATGGCTTACAACCACACGCATTTATTACCTTACAGTCCTGGAGCTCACAAATCTGAGATGAGTCTTATGGGACGAAAATCCAGATGTTGGCTTCCTCTGGGAAGCTCCAGGGAAAATCTATGTCCTTGCCTTTTCCAGCTTGTCCTGCATCCCTTGGTTTAGTGTCTTCCTCCATCTTCAAAGCCAGCAACTGACCATCTTCCAGGTTCTTTTTCTCAGATCCCAGCACCACATTGACTTCTCTGACTCTAAGCCTCCTCTCTTTCTTTTTTTCTTTTTTCTTTTCTTTTTTTTTTTTTTTTTTTTTTGAGACGGAGTCTTGCTCTGTTGCCCAAGGCTGGAGTGCAGTGGCGCGATCTCGGCTCACTGCAAGCTCCGCCTCCTGGGCTCACGCCATTCTCCTGTCTCAGCCTCCAGAGTAGCTGGGATAAGGGTGCCTGCCACCACGCCCGGCTTTTTTTTTTTTTTTTTGGTATTTTTAGTAGAGACAGGGTTTCACTGTGTTAGCCAGGATGGTCTCAATCTCTCCTGACCTCATGATCCGCCCGCCTTGGCCTCCCAAAGTGCTGGGACTACAGGCATGAGCCACCGCGCCCGGCTCTCTCTCTGTTTTTTTTTCGTTTCTTTTCTTTTTTTTGAGACAGAGCCTCAGTATGTCGCCCAGGCTGGAGTGCAATGGCGCAACCTCAGCTCACTGCAACCTCTGCCTCCTGGGTTCAAGCGATTCTCGTACCTCAGCCTCCCGAGTAGCTGGGATTACAAGTGCCCGCTACCACGCCTGGCTAATTTCTGTATTTTTAGTAGAGACGGTGTTTCACTGTGTTAGCCAGGATGGTCTCGATCTCCTTATCTCATGATCTGCCCGCCTCGACCTCCCAAAGTGCTGGGATTACAGGCGTGAGCCACCATACCCGGCCAACTACTTTTAATTATGTACAAATTAAGGTGCAAGTTATTCAGAAAGTTTTAGAAAAAGGTCGTTAACTTTGGGGTGGTTATCATGGGAAGCGGCAGTAACTTGTGGGTGTTGCCATGGCAATGGTAAACAGAGATGGCACTGGTGGGCATGTCTCATGGAGCGGTGCTTTTGCCTCTTCCCAGTTTCAGCCAGCTTTTTTTTTTTTTTTTTTTTTTTGAGACAGAGTCTCCCTCTGTCGCCCAGGCTGGAGTGCAGTGGTGCGATCTCAGCTCATTGCAACCTCCGCCTCCTGGGTTCAAGTGATTCTCCTGCCTCAGCCTCCCGAGTAGCTGAGACTACAGGCACCAGCCACCACACCCGGCTAATTTTCTGTACTTTTAGTAGAGATGAGGTTTCACCGTGTTAGCCAGGATGGTCTCGATCTGCTGATCTGCTCGCCTTTTCGGCCTCCCAAAGTGTTAGGATTACAGGCGTGAGCCACCGCGCCCGGCCTTCAGCCAGTCTTTAATCTGGTCTGGAATAAAGTTCTGCCTCCTACCTCAAAATCAGAGTACATCTTACAATGATGGCATGCAATAACCACAGGGGAAAAAAATGCTCAAGACCATTAGTAATCAGGGAAATGCAAATCAAAACCACAAGAATACCCAGGCACGGTGGCACATGCCTGTAGTTACAGCTACTTGGGAGGCCAATGAAGGAGGATCCCTTGAGCCCAGGAGTTCCAGGCTGCAGTGAGCTATGATGACATCACTGAACTTCAGCCTGGGTGATAGGATGAGATCTCTTCTCTATAAAATAAACAAAATTTTAAAAATCACAAGATACCACTACCCACTCATTGGCTGGCTACAATGAAGACGCTTGGCAACACCAAATGTTGGGAAGGATGTGGAGCAAAGGAAACATAAACTGTTGGTAGGAATGTTTCCATTTTCTTTTTTTATCTTTTTTTGAGACAAAGTCTCGCTCTGTCACACAGGCTGGAGTGCAGTGGCTTGATCTCGGCTCACTGCAACCTCCACCTCCCAGGTTCAAGCGATCTCATGCCTTAGCCTCCTGAGTAGCTAGGATCACAGGTGACCGCCACCATGCCTGGCTAATTTTTGTATTTTTTAGTAGAGACAGGTTTTCACCATGTCGGCCAGGTTGGTCTCAAACTCCTGACCTCAGGTGATCCACTAGCCTCAGCCTCCCAAAGTGCTGGGATTACAGGCATGAGCCACCTCGCCTGGCCTGGTAGGAATGTTTTTAAATGTATGGCTGCTTTGGGGAAAGCTAAACATATACCCAGGTTATGCCTCAGCAATTTGGTTTCTATGCACGCCCAAGAGAAATGAAAATGAGCCCAGGCAGCACGAGACCCCATCTCCACAAAAACGAACAAAAAATAAAAATAAAAAAATAATGGGGTATGGCGGCGTGTGCCTGTAGCCTCAGCTACCTAGGAGACTGAGTGGCAGGATAGCTTGAGCCAGGAGATCGAGGCTGCAGTGAGCTGCAATGGGCCACTGCACTCCATCCTGGGAGAGAGTGAGACCTTTCCTCTAAAAATAAAAATAAAAGCTATACAGTCGGGCCTGGCATAGTGGCTCACGCCTGTAATCTCAACACTTTGGGAGGCCGAGGCGGGCAGATCACCTGAGCTCAGGAGTTCGAGACCAGCCTGGCCAAAATGGTGAAACCGTTTCTACCAAAAATACAGAAATTAGCCTGGCGTGGTGGTGCACGCCTGTAATTCCAGCTACTCGGGAGGCTGAGGCAGGAGAATCGCTCGAACCCAGTAGGCAGAGGTTGCAGTGAGCCAAGACCATGCCATTGCACTCCTGCCTGGGCAACAAGAGCAACATTCTGTCTCAAAAAAAACAACAGAAACAAACAAACAAAAAACAATACGGCCATGTGCTACTCAACGGTGAAGCTATGTCCTGAGAAATGTGTCATTAGGCGATTTTGTTATGTGACAAACCTAGATGGGACAGCCTACCCCACACCTAGGCCAGATGATCCGAACAACACGTGGTAATCTTTTATTTTTTTATTTTTGAGATGGAGTCTCACTCTGTCGCCCAGGCTGGAGTGCAATGGCGACATCTCAGCTCACTGCAAGCTTCGCCTCCGGGGTTCAAACGATTCTCCTGCCTCAGCCTCCCCAATAGCTGGGGTTACGGCGCTCGCCAGCCACCACGCCCGGCTAATTTTTGTATTTTCAGTAGAGACAGGGTTTCACCAGGTTGGTCTCGATTTCCTGGATTCGTGATCCGCCACCCCACCTCGGCCTCCCAAAGCGGTGAGATTACAGGCGTGAGCCACCGCGTCTGGCCAACACGTGGTAATCTGAAGGGACCACCACAGTATATGCGGCCCGCCTTCCACGGAAACGTCATGAGGCCCACGACTCAAAGGCGTGCCTCATTAAGTTACCGACAGCCCCAAACTCGCCCTTCCACGCCGGGCCTCAAGGTGCTCTGTGGACCACAGCGGGGCCCGGGGCCCTCGCGAGGGAGGGAAGAGTTCGCTCCAGGTCCCCGCGATTCCCCCGGAAAGTGAAACTGCAGAGGTGTTGCGTGGACACCCGCGGTCAGACACGACCCCAGGCCGCGCGGGCCCCAGAGGAAGCGAGCGCGAGTCCGCGGTGGTGGCTGGGCGCTCAGTGAGGACGCCATTCCGCCACGAAAACGCCCGCGACGCCGCTGGCCCCTGCGCGGTGGGGCGAGGTAGGCTGGCCGGACCTGCGAAGCCCGACGAGCCCGGCGCCGGCTGGCTGCAGCTTGCTCTGCCTCCCTGGCCTGGCCCCGAGGCTCCCGCGAGCCGGGATCCGCGAACACCGGGGCCGAACCGACTCTCTCGGGCCTCAGACGGCGTGGACCCTGGAAGGCCCCAGTTCGGCCGCTTCCCCGGAAGTCCCCCAGTGGGCTCCGGCCGCTCTGGCCCGCGCGCGTCCGGCTCGCTGGTGCCCTGGGCGGCGCCCGGCCGCTGGCGCTTCTCGGGCGCTAGGGGGCGCGCGGCCGCGCGGGAGCCGCACTGGGCCGCGGCGGCCGCTCGACTGTTCTGAGGAGCGGCCCGGACGCGCGCCGCCCCCGCCCGCGTTTCCCCGGCAACCCGCGGCCGCCGCCATGGACGCGCTGTTGGGCACAGGGCCTCGCCGGGCTCGCGGCTGCCTGGGCGCGGCTGGACCCACGTCTTCAGGTCGCGCGGCGCGGACCCCGGCGGCGCCCTGGGCGCGCTTCTCCGCCTGGCTGGAGTGTGTGTGCGTGGTCACCTTCGACCTGGAGCTGGGCCAGGCGCTGGAGGTGAGCGGGCGCGAGCGCGGGCGCGGGCGGGTGGGCAGGGCTGCGCCTCTCGGGGCCAGTCCCGCCTCGCTTGGGGCCCTCGGCCGCCCCGCACTCTCCCTGGCCTTCGGCCGCCGCCTCCTGGAGGGGCCTCTTCTCCGGGCTCCAGAAGCGCTCCCCAGGCCGAGGAGGGAAGGCGAGCTGCTCGGAGTCGGATCTTGTCTTCACATTGGGATGGAGCATTTTGCATAACCTAAGTGGTACTCTTTCGATTTTTCCCAGTAAATGTCTCACATCTCCCCCCTCCATTCCCCACCGGAGCAGTGACACCTTCATCCCCTCAGTGGCTCCCGCCAGAGTCCCGGGCTTACCCTCCGCTCCGCATCCCATCTCTGGGCATAGGCGAGGCTGACGGCTCCTTCTGCAACAAAGGTCTCGGATCCGTTCCTTTGCTGCCATCACTGATGTCATCCCCACCCCAGCTGCACCCCAGAGTTCAACCTTTGTGGCTCTCCTGCTTAAAACCCTGCAGCGCCTCCTTGTTCACCTAGCATCAGATCCAGACCCCATGGGCCCCGTCCCTCCACCTGCGTCTTGTGGTGTTCTTGCTCGTGGGGGTCTGTTCATCGGCTGTGCCCATGGGCTTTCGATGTGGTCTTTCTGCTGCCTGCAGGCCTCCACTCACCTACCCACACAGGCAGCCTCCTTTCCTCCAGGGAGGCCCCGCAGGATGATCTTCTCTGTGTCCTGTGTAACACACACCAGGGAGCTGACCAGCACAGGGGAGGCCCACCTGCAGATGGAGGGAGGCTTCCCCGCGCTGGCGCAAGGAACCTCGTGAGGGGTAGTGAGCTCTCTATTACCGCAGGTGTCCAAGATCAGGCCAAATCATCATCATCAGGAAAGCCAGGCAGCGCGTCTCTGTGGTTGGGAGATGCTTTCTAAGGCCCTGCTGAACTCCAAGAGGCCATGAGAAGCATATAGTCTTCTAAACAGAAAAGCATTAACTCTAGCACTCTCTGGAGCCCCTCCCACCACACACGGTCCCCAGCAGGTGCACAGCCTCAAACAGCATCACTGGGTGGGGGCTGAGTACCAAGAAGTGTGGTGACCTGCCCAGGGTTGAAAACCTTTCTTAGTTCAATACTGTTGCCCAGATTGTTCCCCACAAAATCACAAAAGAAGTTAAGAGGTTCCTGGCCGGACGCGGTGACTCATGCCTGTAATCCCAGCACTTTGAGAGGCCGAGGCAGGCAGATCACAAGGTCAGCAGTTTGAGACCATCCTGGCCAACATGGTGAAACCACATCTCCACTAAAAATACAGAAATTAGCCGGGCGAGGTGGCACACTCCTGTAGTCCTAGCTACTCGGGAGACTGAGGAGGAGAATGGCTTGAACCCGGGAGGGGGAGGTTGCAGTGAGCAGAGATTGCACCATTGCGCTCCAGCTTGGGCGACAAAGTGAGACTCCATCTCAAAAAAAAAAAAAAAAAAAAAGGAGGTTCCTCTGTTCCTTAAGACATTCTCGTGTTATTTTCTAAAACCCATTCGGAAAGTTATTTCTGAGCTGTTGAAGGCTGTGTGTGCTTGGACTCCTGAGCTTTTGCTGGGGATGCTCAGCTCGGACTAGGGGCATGGTCAGCTGGCAGAGTGTTGGGGACCCAGGTCCATGAGCGAAACCCTCCATAGCAATGATCTGGGCACCTGCAGATCACTGAGTCTGTGCAGAAACCTGGCAGTGGATCCACCGGGGCCTGAGCACATGACTCTTGCCTTTCCTCCCTCACCTGGAAGTCACAGGGAAGATCGAGGTCGTTTTAGTCACTTACAGACTTAGGGAGCACCCACTGTGCAACTCAGTCACAGCTCAGCCCAGCTAAGCACTGCAAAGCCCCAGGACTGTGCTTGGTTCTGCGATATGGAAGGAAGACTCTAGTTGGGATGCATGCAGCTCAGAGGAAGGAATGGGCTTAGGTAAATAAGTCTTGGATGCTGAGAAGAGACAGGGGAGGGGGTCCTGTTTCAGGTAACCCCTCTCCCAAAATGCCAACATAAGCAAAAGGCAAGGAGCTGGTGATTCAGTTACTCATTCAGTAAATCACTTTGAAGGCTGGGCATGGTGGCTCACGCCTGTAATCCTAGCACTTTGGGAGGCCGAGGCGGACAGATCACCTGAGTTCAGGAGTTTGAGACCAGCCTGACCAACACAGAGAAACCCTGTCTCTACTAAAAATACAAAATTAGCCGGGCGTGGTGGCGCACGCCTGTAATCCCAGCTACTCAGGAAGCTGAGGCAGGCAAATCGCTTGAACCCAGGAGGCGGAGGTTGTGGTGAGCCGAGATCGCGCCATGGCACTCCAGCCTGGGCAACAAGAGTGAAACTCTGTCTCAAAAAACAAAACCGTAGATCACATTGAGCAGCTATCACCAGCCCAGCCCCACAATACTGGTGCCCAGCATGTAAGTGAGTAGACAAGGCTCTTGCCCTTTAGGAGTTCACACTATGTGCCAGTGATATGGAGAGTAAGTGGTTCAGAGTCCATAGTGCTCACAGGACTCCCCCTTAGCCCTCACAGGATACCCCCGCAACTGTACGCATGGGAGCATCATGGAAATGAGTGCAGTGCAGCCTGCTTGAGAGATGAGGGGTCCAGCTTGAGAGGGGCCAGCAGGGCTGTGGGGTGACAAGGGATCTGGCTTGTGAGGGGCTGGGCAGGACTGTGGGGTGACTGGAGTGTACAGGTCAGCTTAGGAAAGGGCCTGGCTCCGCCTTCTCAGCTCTTGAAAACTCACCTCTTGGGCTGGGCGCAGTGGTCCTGCCTATAATCCAGCCCTTTAGGAGGCCGAGGCAGGAGGATCACTTGAGGCCAGGTGTTCCAGACTAGCCTAGGAAACATAGTGAGACCCTGTCTCTACCAAAATTAAAAATAAATTAGCCAGGTGTGGTGGCATGCACCTGTAGTTATAGCTACTCAGGAGGCTGAGGCTGGAGGATTGCTTGAGCCCAGGAATTCGAGGCTGTAGTGAGCCATGATCACCACTGCACTCCAGCCTAGGTTACAGCAAGAACCTGTCTCAAAACAAAATTAAAAAAAAAAAAAAAAAAAAAAGGCTAGGCGTGCTGGCTGATGCCTGTAATCCTAGCACTTTGGAAGCCCACAGTGGGAGGAGCACTTGAGCCCAGGAGTTCTAGACCAGCTTGGTCAATATAGCAAAACCCACATCTCTACAAAAAATACAAAATGAGGCCGGGCACAGTGTTTCATGCCTATAATCTTAGCACTTTGGGAGGCTGAGGCAGGCGGATTGCATGAGCTCAGAAGTTTGAGACCAGCCTGGGCAACATGGTGAAACCCTGTCTCTACTAAAAATACAAAAAATTAGCTGGGCATTGTATGCCTGTAATCCCAGCTACTCTGGAGGCTGAGTTAGGAGAATTGCTTGAACCCGGGAGGTGGAGGTTGCAGTGAGCTGAGATCGTGCCACTGCACTCCAGCCTGGGTGACAGAGCTGGAGTGCAGCTCTCAAAAAGGAAAAAAAAAAAAAAAAAGAGCCAGGCATGGTGGCACAAACCTGTAGTCTCAGCTACTTGGGAGGCTGAGGTGGGAGAACTGCTTGAGTCCAGGAGTTGGAGGTTGACCCTGTCTGTTAAAAAACAAAAAACAAGCCGGGCGTGGTGGCTCACACCTGTAATCCCAGCACTTTAGGAGGCTGAGGCGGGCTGATCACGAGGTCAGGAGATCAAGACCATTCTGGCTAACACAGTGAAACCCCGTCTCTACTAAAAAAAAAAAAAAAAAAAAAAAAAAAAGCATTAGCCGGGCATGGCGGTGGGCACCTGTAGTCCCAGCTACTTGGGAGGCTGAGTCAGGAGAATGGTGTGAACCCAGGAGGCGGAGTTGGCAGTGAGCCAAGATTGTGCCACTGCACTCCAGCCTGAGCAACAGGGCAAGACTCTGTCTCAAGAAAAAAAAAAAAATAAGGCTGGGCACGGTGGCTCATGCCTGTATCCCAACATTTTGGGAAGCCAAGGCAGGCAGATCACCTGAGGTCAGGAGTTTGAGACCACCAGCCTAGCCAACATGGTGAAACCCCATCTCTACTAAAAATACAAAAAATTAGCCAGGCATTGTGGCACGCCTGTAATCCCAGCTATCTGGAGGCTGAGGCAAGAGAATCGCTTGAACCTGGGAGGCAAAGGTTGCAGTGAGCGGAGATCACGCCACTGCACTCCAGGCTGGGTGACAGAGTGAGACTCTGTCTCAGAACAAACAAAAAAAGACAAAAATTTTTTTTCTAATGGAAAATTTACCTCTCAACATCCCAGCTCCCTCAGAGGTCTCTGGAGTGAACTCTGGTCAGTTAGAATACCACTTTCACTCTGGCAGCCATGCCCTCCCAGGCAGCAGTGCCCATACTCTGCAGTCTTAGGACACTTTTGTAGTTTTAAAAATTATTGGCCGGGCACGGTGGCTCACGCCTGTAATCCCAGCACTTTGGCAGGCCGAGGCAGGTGGATCACAAGGTCAGGAGATCAAGACCATCCTGGCTAACACGGTGAAACCCCATCTCTACTAAAAATACAAAAAATTAGCTGGGCATGGTGGCGGGCGCCTGTAGTCCCAGCTACTCAGGAGGCTGAGGCAGGAGAATGTCGTGAACCCGGGAGGCGGAGCTTGCAGTGAGCTGAGATCGCGCCACTGTACTCCAGCCTGGGCAACAGAGTTAGACTCCATCTCAAAAAAAAAAAAAATTATTGAGGACCCCAAAGAGTTTTTTTTTTTTAATATTGGTTATATCTATCAATGTTTACCAGGAGTTAAAACCAAGGAAATTAGCTGGGCGTGGTAGCACAGGCTTGTAGTTCTAGCTGCTTGGAAGGCTGAGTCCAGGAGTTTGAGACCAGCTTGGGCAGCATAGCAAGACCCAATCTCTACACAGCAGTGTAAAAATCAGCCATGTGTGGGGGCGCACGCCTGTAGCACAACAGTGTAAAAATTGGCCATGTGTGGGGGCGCACGCCTGTAGTCCCAGCTACTCAGGAGGCTGAGGTGGAAGGTTTGCTTGAGCCCAGGAGGTCGAGGCTGCAATGAGCTGTGTTCGCACCACTGCACTCCAGCCTGGGTGACAGTGAGACCTTGTCTTAAAAAACATTTTTGAGAGTTAGAAGGGCTGGGCGCCGTGGCTCACACCTGTAATCCTAGCACTTTGGGAGGCCAAGGCGGGTGGATCACGAGGTTAGAAGTTCGAGACCAGCCTGGCCAATATGGTGAAGCCCTGTCTCTACTAAAAAATAGAAAAATGTTAGCCGGGCGTGGTGGCGTGCACCCTTAGTCCCAGCTACTCAGGAGGCTGAGGCAGGAGAATCGCTTGAACCCAGGAGATGGCGTTTGCAGTGAGCTGAGATCACGTCAGTGCACTCCAGCCTGGTGACAGAGCAAGACCCCGTCTCAAAAAATAAATAAATAAAAAATAAAAAGTCCGACCAAATGGAAAACAGCTGGATTCTCATCAGCACTGCATTCAGCCCTCTAGGACAGGACACACCGCGGCTTCTGGGAGCCATGCTGTACCTGAGGGTGAAGATGAGAGAGGAGGCTCTCACACAGGAGAAGGGCTGTGACCCCCGGGATCCCAGGGTGGCCCGGCCATACCTTGGGAACCGCTCCCTGCATGTGCCTTCTCCAAACCAAGCTCCCACCCCCAGTCTTCCTCCGGGTGACTGGTGACCAGGAGCAGGGACCTGTGCAGGGCTCAGGCAAGACCCTCATGGAACCCCGAGCAGGGCACAGCCTGACCTGGGAGGCCTCCTTGCCCTGAAGATCAGCTCCATTTGTCCCCTTAACCTTGGCGTGGCCAACCCTGGGTGGCCTGACCCCTGGCTTTGTACTCAACTTCAGGCTGTACCTGGGCCCCAGGGACACTCTCAAAAAGGATGAGCCTGAGAATGTGGCTTTCCCTGGTCAGACATGCTGAGGGCCCCCTGGGCATGGGCACGGAGCTCAGAGGCCACAGGCTCCTGTGACTGGCAGACCAGGTGCAGAGTCCTGACCCCAGGCAGAAGGTACCCGCCTTTTCTCAGTTCTCCTCAGTGCAGACACATGAAGGCTCAGGCTGAGTGGCCCTATATCTCCAGCCCCTCATGGAGCTATCCTGAGGCACCCCTGTGGGTCCAGCCTACTCCCAGCTTCCACCCTCGTCCTCCTCCTGACCACTCCTTGGTGCCTGTTTAGCTCCCCTCCACCCACCTGTTCTAGTAAACCTCAGAGACCTCTTCACACATTCCACGAACACTGTATTTGGGGAGGGTCTGTTCTGTGCCAGGTGCTGGGAGGCAGAAGTAACCAGGACAGGGTCCTTAGAGAGACTTACTCTGCATTGGAAGAGGCAAAGCAGGACCATGGTAGCAAGCCCAGAGCAAACAGAAGAGCAGGGCTATTTTCACAGAGCAAGCTGGGCGTGGCTCACGCCTGCACTCCCAGCACTTCAGGAGGCTCAGGCGGGAGGATCGCTTGAGCCTAGAAGTTCGAGGCTGCAGTGAGCTGTGATTGTGCCATTGCGCTCCAGCCTGGGTGAGGGAACGAGACCCTGTCTCTCAGAAACAAAATGGCAGATGCTTTCATCCAGGGCCCGGCTCCTCACTGTCTGGGGGCTCAGGGCACACCTTGGAAGAAGCCTTGTTATAGCCTAAACCCAACTCAGTGGAGAAGCTGGGCAGATGGGATGAGGAGGGGACAGTGTGCAGAGGCCCTCCTGGCAGGCTTCAGGCAGCCCAGGAGACATTGCAGGGCCCACTGGGAATGGGGGCTCTGGGAGCTCCCTAGAGGGAAAGTGGTCCATGTGTGCGTGGACCTACTGGGCTGGGCTCCCAGGCTCACCTGCCCCACCTGCCGCCTCTGTCAGCGCACACCTGTCTTCCAAGTCATTCAGCGCCTGCTTAGCATCATGCTCTCCTCCACTGTCCACTCCTGGGGGTGCAGGCCTTGTCCGGCTGGGCGCTACAGGTGGGGCACAGGCCCTGGCAGGGGGAGGGTGGGTGAAGACTGCTGAGCAGGACGGGGAGAGGGCCTGACAGCAAGCTGCCATCATGGGGCAGGGGTGCTTCTGGGCCTGCATCTGAGCAAAGGCTGGGGGAGCAGCACGACCGGGGCCCTCTGGCTTGGCGGGTGGTGAGGGAGCTGGAGGACCAGCCAGGCGGGGCCCCGTGACCATCCCAGGTGAGGGGCCCTCTGGCTTGGCGGGTGGTGAGGGAGATGGAGGGCCGGCCAGGTGGAGCCCCGTGACCATCCCGGGTGAGGGGGCCTCTGGGTCCCTGAAGCACTACCCTTCTGATGCTGTGAACAGATGTCCGGGTGGGTAGGGGCAGGGGGGCCCAACTGCAGTCTGGGCAAGAGGTGGTTGGGTGGCTGTGAGGACCAGGGGTGTGAGAAAGGGGTCAGGAAGCTCACCCAATTGTGCTGGCCTCTTACTGAGAGGGGCCTGGGGAGGTGGGAGTAGAGAAGCCTCTGGCCGGCAGGGGAGTTGCCCGGGGCCTGGTGCCTGGAGGTCAGAGATAGGAGCGGGTCAGCAAGGAGCCAGACATCACAGCCAGAGAAGGTGGTGTGGGGAGGATGCAGCATGCTGTTGGAACACAGAGAATATGGTGTGGGGAGGATGCAGCGTGCTGTTGGAACAGGGAGCAGGGGGCGAGCCAGCACCTTGGGCACTGACCTGCGCCCCACAGACAGATGCTGCAGCTGCTGGGACGGTCACAGTCCAGCAGATGCTGTCGAGGGGTGTCGCCTCCTCGGACAGATGGTGTCACCAAGCACTCTGTCTTCCTCTGCAGCTGGTGTATCCGAACGACTTCCGGCTCACAGACAAGGAGGTGAGTCCCGGCCCTCTTGGGAATGGACAGGACCCAGGAGTGGGTCGGCCCTCACCGGGGTTTTATATGTTTCAGAAAAGCAGCATCTGCTACCTGTCTTTTCCCGACTCGCACTCAGGTAGGCAACCCCACCTTTCCTGGGGCTGGACATGAAGCCAGCTGGGCATCCCTGTAGCCTGGGCCAGGGGCATCATGGCTGCCTCGGCTGCCCCGGTGCCCAGAGTGCCACAGGGGTGAGCAGCACCAGCCCCATGCCCACTCCGTGGAGGCACCCAGAGCCCCGCGTTGCAGCAGGTCAGGCCGGTCCCCAGATTCACGTAGAAAGGGTGTCTCTTTGCAGAGGGACCAACAGTCAGTCTCCTACACCCCACACAGTGGCCGCCAGGGGCTGGGCCTCCCTCCCGCTCCTGCCCCAGGGTATAGACATCTGGGTGGCCATTTTCTGGTGCCTGGTTTTCTATCTCAAGCAGGTCAAGCCAATCTCCCAGAGAAGTTGAAGGTGCTTTTCTATGCGAATATATTCTAAGACTTGTAGGTGCAGGGTGTACAGAAGTCAGAATAGGAGCCCATTGGGAAACACAGACCCCTTGGGCTGGGCATTCTTTCTGGGGCTTTTTTTATTTAAACGGAGTCTCACTCCGTCACCCAGGCTGGAGTGCAATGGCACCATCTCAGCTCACTGCAACCTCCGCCCCCTAAGTTCAAGTGATTCTCCTGCCTCAGCCTCCTGAGTAGTTGGGATTGCAGGTGTGTGCCACCATGCCTGGCTAATTTTTGTATTTTTAGTAGAAACGGGGTTTCACTGTGTTAGCCAGGCTGGTTTCTGGGGTATATTTACCAGCAGAGGCCAGGCTCGCAGGGCCCTTGCTCCCCGGTCACCAGCTCCAGGGCCTGCAGAAGAGGCTCCCGGCCTTGACCCGTGTGGTGGGGCTGCCCCTTCTTAGGCTGCCTTGGAGACACTCAGTTCAGCTTCCGCATGCGCCAGTGTGGAGGGCAGAGGAGCCCCTGGCATGCCGACGACAGGCACTACAACAGCAGGGCCCCTGTGGCACTGCAGGTGAGCACTGGGCTGCGTCTCTGGCCTGCTTCTCCCCTGCTCCCCAAGGGTCCTGCCAGGGTCAGGCTGGTAGGAGAAGCCCCTTCAGAGTGCCTGGGCCCTGTGTGGCAGGAGAGGAGCTGGCCAGGCCCCACTGGCCCTGCAGTCCCAGGCACCAGCCCCAACTGAGGATGGGCCAGCTCTTCCAGGGTCTCCCCAGGGTCCCTGGGACTTTTCCTTGGCACCACACATCTGTGGCTGGGCACCTGCATAGTTGAACAGGGGCCCTCCCAGGGCCCCCAGCCCCCCGAGCCCCTCTCCACTACACCAGCGGACTCCCTGCTGTATCAGCAGGGGTGTTGCCCACCTTCTGAGCCCAGGACCTCCTGGCCTCCACCTTGGTGGCCAGAGTGCACGGACAGCAGCTCCAGGAGCCTCCTGGTTCTCCAGCCTTCCATCTGCAGCAGTCCCTGCATGCTCCTTGCCACTCCCAGCCCTGGGGCTGGCCAGGTGGTCCGGGTGGGGCGTGGCTGGCTAACACCATGCTCCTTGCAGAGGGAGCCGGCACACTACTTCGGCTACGTGTACTTCAGGCAGGTGAAGGACAGCTCTGTGAAGAGGGGCTACTTCCAGAAGGTGCGCTGCTTGGCCACTCTGGGCTGGCACCTCAAGAGCGGCAGGAGCTGGCAGGCAGCAGGAGGGGCTGTGGGCGGGCAAGGGGCCTGAGCCTCCAGCAGTGCCCACCCCTCCTGCAGCCCCACCTGGGCTGTGTCCAGCTCTCCTTGCCGCCCCCCCACCCTGTCCTCGCCGCCCCCCACCCTGTCCTCGCCACCCCCCCACCCTGTCCTCGCCGCCCCCCCCCACCCTGTCCTCGCGGCCCCCCGCCCTGTCCTCGCCGCCCCCCCCCCGTCCTCGCCGCCCCCCCCCACCCTGTCCTCGGGGCCCCCCGCCCTGTCCTCGCCGCCCCCCCACCCTGTCCTCGCCGCCCCCCCGCCCTGTCCTCGCCCCCCCCCCGCCCTGTCCTTGCCTGGCATGGGACCCAAGGCCCTTCTGTCCTGGTCCAGGACACTGCTGCCCCTCACTGATGGCTGGAGGGTCATCACACTGTCAGTGTCAGGGCAACCCAGCCTGGAAGCCATAGGCAGAGAGTAAAAGCTGCTCAGCCCCTGGGGAGGTCGTTCTAGAAATTCTGGCCACCGTGCGTTTCCCTCCGAAGGCCCTAGGGTCCAGCCCCACCGGCCGCCACCCAGGGAGTTCAGTGTTGGGTTTTCTCCTGTCTAATAATTCTGGGGTCCAAGTCAGGCGTTCCTGGGGCAGCTGTCCTGTGAAGTTGGTGGGACGTGCTACCCTGGGCCAGCTCCAGGTGAGCGTGGCTTCGGTGGTCCCCGTGGGCTCCTGAGTGGCGAGGGTGAGGCCTGGCACTGGGCCTCTAACTGGCCCCGTGGCCCTGCAGTCTTTGGTGCTGGTGTCCCGCTTGCCCTTTGTCCGGCTGTTCCAAGCGCTGCTAAGCCTCATCGCCCCCGAGTACTTTGACAAGCTGGCGCCCTGCCTGGAAGCAGGTGAGTGGCCATCAGTCGTGGCCATCGTGGTCTCATCATCCCAGCTGTGGCCCCTGGTGGGCTCGGCAGCAGCTTCTCCTTGGGGAGGGTCCTGATGCGGGCTACTGCATCCGCAGTGTGCAGTGAGATCGACCAGTGGCCGGCGCCTGCACCTGGGCAGACCCTGAACCTACCTGTCATGGGCGTTGTTGTCCAGGTGAGAGCCAGCTGGCTGGGGAGTAGGCTCTGCAGGTGTGTGGGGATGCCCTACTCCCTCTGGCAGCTGCTCCCTCCTTCTCCCAGGTGCGCATCCCATCCAGGGTGGACAAGTCCGAGTCCAGTCCTCCGAAGCAGTTTGACCAAGAGGTGGGAGCTGAGGCGGAGGTGGAGCTGAAACAGCTGGGCTTCACCCGATTGAGTCCTGCTCCTGGGCCGGGTGGTCCCACACCTGCTTCCTTGGTTCACCCTGCGGGGTTGTCAAACCCAGGCAAAGCCACAGGCTGTGTGTTGGTGTAGGGCTGGGTGCTCTCCACCTTCCCCTGTGCTGTGAGGCAGGGGCTGCTTGGGGCCCAAGGGGTGCCAGCCTCCCCTTGGCCCTGACCTTCACTCTCCTCCTCTCAGAACCTGCTGCCAGCCCCAGTGGTTCTTGCTAGCGTCCACGAGCTGGACCTGTTCAGGTGAGCCCCCTAGGGTTCTGCACACTGCTTTTGAGGAGCTCACTGTGTGTGCACGTGCATGTACGTGCATGTGTGCATCTGTGTGTGAGTATGTGTGTGCGTGTGTGTCTGCGTGAGTGCACGTGTGCACGTGTGTGTGTGTATGGCCAGCGCCATGTGGGGACTGCCCAAGGGAGGCAGCGCTCATCCTGAGTACCCCTTGGGACAGTTCTGGAAGGAAGGAGGGAGAATTGTCTAGAAGAGGAAGCAGGTGCCCACATGTCTGCAGCCAGTGGAAATAGGCACAGTGGGCAGGAGGTTCTGAAAGACAGGTGTCAAGGAGAGGCTGTCAGGAGAGATTCACTGCCTGAGGCCGCCTTCTCTGCCTCTGGACAAGTCTGCAAGGGAGCCTGGGCTTTGAGACCATCCTGCTCTGTGCTGGGCCCGGCAGGAGCCAGGGCTGCACTTGGGATGGGCACAGGGTGACGGGAGGGGTCTGGGCGGGTACCCCCCAGCCCAGGTCAGCAGACCCTGCCCCGGCTTTGGGGCCACTTCGGGATGGCTGGTCCCTCACAGGTGGGTCCAGGTTGAGTCCCCCATTCCCAGGGCCAGGCCCAGCACAGGTGGATTGTCACAGCTTGGGGTCGTCATGATTACCCGAGACACATCTTCAGATAGATCTGTCTTCACCCTGGAGCAGCGTGCTGTGTTCACCAGTGCCTGGGCCAGCCTGGGTGAACGGTGGGAGAGCGGGGCCAGAGCCAGGAGTCTCAGCCCCTGCCTGACCTCCCCGACCTTCCTGCCCGGCCCCAGGTGCTTCCGGCCTGTGCTGACTCATATGCAGACACTGTGGGAGCTCATGCTCCTCGGGGAGCCCCTGCTAGTCCTGGCACCCTCGCCCGACGTGTCCTCGGAGATGGTGCTGGCCTTGACCAGGTATCGCCTTGGCCCGGTCCCGGCTGGGGAAGCTGGACCATCGCGGCTGTGCCTGGGCTGCCCCTGCCTCACCTGCTCCCTGCTGCCTCTGCCCACAGCTGCCTGCAGCCCCTCAGGTTCTGCTGCGACTTCCGTCCCTACTTCACCATCCATGACAGCGAGTTCAAGGAGTTCACCACACGCACGCAGGCCCCGTAAGTGCCGCCTCTGCCCCGCCTCTTGCCCTTGCTCCGCCCTGCCTCTCGCCCTTCCTGCACCTCCCTGGACCTCTGTCTCTGCCTCTTCTCTCTCTCTGTCTGTCTAGACCAAACGTGGTCCTGGGAGTCACAAACCCTTTCTTTATCAAAACACTCCAGCACTGGCCCCACATCCTCCGAGTCGGGGAGCCCAAGATGTCAGGTCAGGCTCCCGGTGAGGTGCAGGGGGTGCTGCTCAGAAGCCTCGTTGAGTGTGGGGCCGCCTCAGAGCCCGTGGGGATGGCCAGAGCTGCGGGCACTGAGGCCTGGCCACCGGGCGTGTCTCGTAGGAGACCTGCCTAAGCAAGTCAAGCTGAAAAAGCCTTCAAGGTTGAAGACCCTGGACACCAAGCCAGGTCTGTGCTCCCCTCGACCTGGAGCCCCTCCACCGTGGAGAGGCCTGTCTTGTACCTGGCGGGTCTCTCGGGTGGGGCAGCCAGGCCCCCAGACCCCTGATCCTCTTCCAGGACTCAGCAGCAGAGCTCAGAACCCTTGGGGAGGGGTCGCTCTCTTCTCTTCAGTGGGTCTCGGTGTCTGGGGGGTGGGTGGGTGAGATTTTCAGGTGCAGCCAAGGGCATGGGGCTGCAGGCAGATGAGACCCCCACCCTGGCTCCTCTGTGGGGCTGCAGGAGTGTGGGAGGGAGGCCCTTGAAGGGTGGGGCGCCAGCTGTGCCCTCCCGCCAGGCCTCTACACCGCTTACACGGCCCACCTCCACCGCGACAAGGCGCTGCTCAAACGGCTGCTCAAGGTATATGGTTTGTGGGGCAGGGGCTGGGGACGCAGGGAGCCTGGTGTGGTGTGAAGCGCAGCAAGGGCCTGGCCCTCTCTCCCCTGCAGGGCGTGCAGAAGAAGCGGCCGTCAGATGTGCAGAGCGCCCTGCTGCGGCGGCACCTCCTGGAGCTCACCCAGAGCTTCATCATCCCCCTGGTGAGGCCCGGGGCTGGGGGACATGGGACTGGGGGGCACGGGGCTGGGGGGATGGGGTTGGGGGGGACGGGGCTGCGGGGGATGGGGCTGGGGGGCATGGGTCCCCGGGCTCACTCCCCTCCCTTCCCCACCCAGGAGCACTACATGGCCAGCCTCATGCCCCTGCAGAAGAGCATCACGCCCTGGAAGGTGGGGGTCCTGTGGGGGTTTTGTGGGGTCCATGGAGGGCGGGTTCCCTTCCTCACCCGGAGGAGGGAAGGTCTGGAGCAGGAGGCTGTGGCTGGGCAGGAGCCACAGGCCTCAAGGCCATCATGTTTGTGAAACTGGGGGCCACAGGGCAGGTGGCTGGCAGGACCCTTGGAGGGGCTCAGGGCCTGCTCCCTGGGAAAGGCTGTCCTGGGATCTGTGCCAGGCAGGGTGGGGGCTGGGGGTCTTCAGAAGTGGTGAGGAGTGTGTCTGGGAAGCGTACCGGGTGCAGGCCTGTGAGGCCGAGTTCCCACGTGCTGGCTCACCCATCCCCTCTCAGACTCCCCCCCAGATCCAGCCCTTCAGCCAGGATGACTTCCTGCGTAGCCTGGAGCATGCTGGGCCCCAGCTCACCTGCATCCTCAAGGGCGACTGGCTGGGTCTCTACAGGTGCGTGGACTGCAGGTGCAGGCAGCTTGAGCCCTCCTTGGTCCACAGGGTCAGCCCCATGGCCCCCCGCCTGTCAATCCCCAGGGTCATCCCCATGGCCCCCCGCCTGTCAATCCCCAGGGTCAGCCCCATGGCCCCCCGCCTGTCAATCCCCAGGGTCAGCCCCATGGCCCCCCGCCTGTCAATCCCCAGGGTCAGCCCCATGGCCCCCCGCCTGTCAATCCCCAGGGTCAGCCCCATGGCCCCCCGCCTGTCAATCCCCAGGGTCAGCCCCATGGCCCCCCGCCTGTCAATCCCCAGGGTCAGCCCCATGGCCCCCGCCTGTCAATCCCCAGGGTCAGCCCCATGGCCCCCCGCCTGTTAATCCCCACAGGCGGTTTTTCAAGTCCCCCCATTTTGATGGCTGGTACCGGCAGCGGCACAAGGAGATGGCCCTGAAGCTGGAGGCCCTGCACCTGGAGGCTATCTGTGAGGCGGTGAGAGAGGCTGGGGGTTGGGGAGGGCCAGAACATGGTGGGGGTGGGCACAGGCCCAGGGCAGTGAGGGGCCTTGCTGACAGTAGACCCCGTCTTGCCCTGCAGAACATCGAGACCTGGATGAAAGACAAGTCCGAGGTGGAGGTCGTGGACCTGGTCCTGAAACTTCGTGAGAAGCTGGTAAGATGCCTCCCAGCCTTGTCCCAGCGCCACCAGCCTGGCACGGAGCTGCGCCTGCCCTGACCATGGCTGCCCCTCCAGGTGCGGGCTCAGGGCCACCAGCTCCCTGTGAAGGAGGCTACGCTGCAGCGGGCACAGCTGTACATCGAGACGGTCATCGGCTCCCTGCCCAAAGACCTGCAGGCTGTCTTGTGCCCTCCCTAGAACAAAGCCAAGGGCCACGGTCCCAGGGCCCTAGGTCTGCCTGAGCCTCCCACTCCCCAGTGGTGGCGGCACTGGGCCAAGCACACGCTCCCCTTCCTTGGCCCCCCGCCCAGACTGCAGGCTCCCCTTCCTGCACCACCATTGTCTCAGCAGTAAAGGCGACATTTGGAACCACAGCATGGCCTTGACCATAGGGGTTCCTCGCAGGCAGAGCCTTGCCTCCTCCTGGGTCCCACCTGGCCTCTGCAGACCTTAGGCTGGGACGGGGGCGGGGACAGGCTGGGAGCCCTTGCTGATGTGGGTGCGTCTACCGTCTGCCCCTCCCGGTGCCCATCTGTTGGCCCCCGACCCCCCTGCGCTGTGTGTGATGCTTCCCTCAGCCCAACAGGCTGCCCAGGACAGGAGGGACCCTCTCCTGACACAGCCCCCGTCTTGTCTGGGGATGGGAGGCTATTTTGCATATAGTCATCAACTTGAGAAAGGGAGAGACCACTTTGCAGTGTGAAGAGCTCTGCTCACCACCCCTGGTGCTCCTCTGGACACCCACCTGCTTGGGGCTGTGGTTTGTTGGGAGGTAGGGGTTGGGCAGGGGGCTGTGTGCAGCCCAGCACCTCTGCTAGGAGAGCTGGCTCAGCCTGGCTCTCGGAGAGCCACAGCACCTTCCTGGCTCCCAGTCCTGGAGCCCCCACCAGGCACCAGCTCCGTGCGTCCCTTCTGGGAGGTGGACAGGGCTCCTGTTGTCCAAGTGTGTCCGTCCATCCCCCACATGCAGCCCAAGGGGCTCTGGACTTCGGCCTGACCCTGCCTCTGGCTGGAGCCTGCATGTCTCCCTTTCCTTGGTAAGGGGTGAACGTCCCTAAGAGCCACCTCTGGGTTGTATGCTCCCCCCGTGACACCTGCAGGCACTGAGGCCGGTGAGGTACGGTGTTGACCCTGCACAGCACACAGTGACGGTACTGTCAGGGCTCCGGACAGCCAAGCCCTGCTCAGCATCACGCACTGTGTGCCCGGGAGCAGGTCCCCTGACCACTCAGACCCTCAGACTCCTCATCTGAGCGAGCCAGCCATGCAGATGCCCGACAGGGTGCTGGGAGGGCCACTCATGGAGACTGGGCTTTGTACCCTGTGAGGCCGGGCGGGTGCTGGCCAGGGGACACAGGGCTGGGGGAGGGACTTTTTCTTTTTTTTTCTTTTTGAAATGGAGTCTCGCTCTGTTGCCCAGGCTGGAGTGCAGTGGCATGATCTCGGCTCACTGCAAGCTCTGCCTCCCGGGTTCACGCCATTCTCCTGCCTCAGCCTCCCGAGTAGCTGGGACTACAGGCACCCACCACTGCGCTTGGTTAATTTTTTGTATTTGTAGTAGAGACAGGGTTTCACCATGTTAGCCAGGATGGTCTCGATCTCCTGACCTCGTAATCCGCCCGCCTCGGCCTCCCAACGTGCTAGGATTACAGGCATGAGCCACCGCGCCCGGCCGGGACTTTTCTTTTTCTTCTGAGGCCCCCATTCAGTCCGAGGAATGTAGCCTTCATTCAGCGCAACGTACTGTTTGTGTTCTCATTGGTGCTCTCAGACCTCCAGCCAGGTGGTGGAGAGCGAGCACTGCCAGCCACTTCAGTGCAGGATGTGACTGAGCCACAAGGACAGCGGGGTCAGGTGTCCGGGCGCCAGGTAGTTCTCAGAACTTGGTACATGTCAACTTGTCCAGCCCAACTGCAGCCCAGGACAGCCTGTCCCTGTTCCCATTCTACAGACAAGACGCGGAGGCAGCCGGGAGGGTGACCAAGGGGAGCTGTTAAGCCCCAGATGTCTGGTGCAGGGTCCAAGGATGTGACCACATGAAACAGAACACATAGAGGCCGAGGTGGCAAACCTGTTCTGTGGCAGGGACAAGCCGGGGACCCGAGGGTGAGAAAGGTCCTGGCCCCAAATGCAGCTTGGGCCTCCTGACTGTAGCACAGGGGGACCAGCCTCCCCACTGAGGGCTTGGTCTCTAGAGGGTCTGCAGAGATGCTGGCACCTCTTGTGTGGGCAGCTTGAATGCTGACCTCCATAAGATGGGGCCTGGGGGGCCAGTACAGGCCCTGCCATCAGCTGCCCTCCACCAGGGCCCTCTGCAAAAGCCTTATGCTGGTGACCAGCCCCCTGAGGACCACCACTTCAAGGTGTCGGGGCAGCTTGGGAAGACAACCCACCTCTCTCACAACTGTGACCCCACTTTGGGGAGCGCACCCCAAGGACCGTGGCAGCATGTGCTTCCCCACAGCACAGTCTCGCCTCACTTGGCTTTCTGAGGGCTGCCGCACAGCACAGAGGGCTGCAGACCCACATGGCTGCAGGGGAGGGGCTTCAGGCTGGTCTCTGAGGAGCCCCCAGGGACCCTGGCCACTGTGTATCCAGAAATGCACAAGCAGATTTCCCTGGAGGGCTCTGGTGAGGCCACATAGTGGCGTGTGAAGGGGGAACTTGAGGGGGGAACCGGGCTGGGTGGCCAGCATTGCCCTGGGCAGAAGCTAAGGCTAAGGTGGGGGGTAGTGTCCCAGCCCCTCTTCCTCAGGGCCTGTCCCCACCTGTGCAGAAGAGGCCTGGGGTGGAATGTGGCCTGGGGTGGATGGGTGGGGGCTGGGCGTGGAGACCTGCCAGCTCCATCTGTCCGGATGCCTCTTGTGGCCCCCCCAGTGTCAGGGCCGCTCTGAGTTGGCTGAGCCTCTGTCCAGGGCTAGGCCATGGCCCTCCCCGCCCCACGCACTCCAGGCCAGGGGCAGTCAGTGAAGAGGCAGGAAGGTCCAGACAGCTCTACCCCTGGCCAGAGTGCCAGCCCCCGCAGGCAAGAGGGCTTGCTGGGCAGAACTTAGTTGGCGAGGGTGAGGACTGCTGTGGTCACAGGCCTCCCGAAGGACAGGGACCACAGAACCTAGAGGGTGGGAAGGGCTGGGAGCAGGTCTGGAGTGGGGCTCGGGGCTGAGGGTGCACACAGGGGGCCTGCTCAGGGACAGGAAGGACAGCTGCTCACCCTCAAGCTTCCTGCTGGCTATTTAAAGACTCCCTTTTAGTCTAGAACAGTGGCCTTCCCACAGTTTTGGTATTAAAATGTCCTTTTGTGACTGGACCTTGTCTTTTCCTTTTTTGATAAAAAGTTGGCAACCTTGTCAGAACCTGGTAATTTTGGGGTCCTCTGCAGTGAAGGGTAGGGTTGCCGTGATGTGGATTGTGGTTCAAGGCCCAAGGGAAGATTTTGGACAGGAACAAGGCCTGGCTGCTTGAGGGTGGGAGAAGGCAGAGACTGAAAGAACTAAGTCAGGCTGGGGGAGTTTGTCAGGATGTGGCGGGGCGGATCCCGGGTGGGGGAAGCAGAGGAGGAGGGGATGCCTGGCTGGGGACAGGAGGAAGCTGACCAGCTGCAAGGACGGGGCAGGTCTGGGTGGAAGGCGGGCCCCAGGGAGGGGTGACCCAGGGTGGGGGCAAGAGCTTGGGGAATGCTTCTGTCTCCTGCTCAGCACATCCAGTTCCGGGAGGGCAGTGGAGGCGTGCTCCAAGGTCTGGCCCTGCAGACGGTTCACCACCTCTTCTCAAGCCCAGGGGACACTAGGAGCACTGAGGCCAGGACTTGGGACCTGGGATGCCAGAAGTGGGGCCAGCTCTGTCCCAGAAACCAGAACCCCCAGAAAGAGGTCTCGGCCCGCCCACCTCCTGGCCCTGAAGGACCAGGTGGGGTCCCGGGTGCAGCATCCCAAGGTGCTGCTGGAGGCCAGGGATGTGCTGGGAGGCCATCTCCAGGTCCCAGTTTACCCTGGGAGGTTGAGGGCCTGAGACCCCTGGGAAAGGGCCAAAGCCCAGCAGCCCCCACCCCTGAAGGCCGCAGGGGAGCGACTGGTATGCTTCCAGTCTGGGAGTGAGAGTCTGGTGCCCACACATCTCAAGACTGGCAGGGACCCTCACGTTCCTCTGGCCAGGCGAGAGTGCACTCATAATGCCCTCCCCTGGTACCAAGCCATGGCCTCCCCTCAGACCTGCGGGGTTCCTGTGGGGGTGCTCAGGCCATGGGGCCTCTGTGGGCGCTCGTGCTTCCTGGACGGCGGCATGGTGGGCAGGGTGCTGCCCTGGCTGAACCTGGGTCTGAACTGGGGTGCCTGAACCTACCAGACAATGCTGTGGCCGCTGGGCAGGGGAGAAGTGGGGGGCGCGGGGAGCGCAGGCCCAGCCCCTCCCCTCCCGTCCCCTCCCCTCCTCTCCGGTTCTCTTCTGCCCTCTCCTCCCCGCTCCTGCTCCCCCTCCCCTCCCCCTCCCCCTCTTCCCCCTCCCCCTCTCCCCCTCCCCCTCTTCCCCCTCCCCCTCTCCCCCCTCCCCCTCTCCCCCCTCCCCCTCCCCCTCCTTCTCCCCCTCCGCTTTCCCTCTCCCTCTCCCCCCTTCTCCTGTTCTCCCCGCCCTCCCCTCCTCTCCCTCGTCGGGGGCGGGGCCGGCAGCTCCCGCGCGCTCCGGCCCCTCCTCGGCCACACAAAGGCCCCGTCTCCATGGCAGCAGCGCGGGCCAGAGCGCAGCGCCGAGCGCGGCCCGGGCGCCATCGAGCCTTGGCGGCGGACGTGCAGGTACCGAGCTCGGGGGACTGGGCTGCGGGGGACGTCTCGCTGGGCGTGGGGGGGGCTTCGCCGTCAGCGCCGCTCCGCCCGGGCCTGCCGCGCTGGGGCCCGGGGACCTGCGGCGGCTGCGGCTCCGCGGAGGGCTCCCGGGGCCTGGGCCCCGTCCGTCGGTCCATCCGGCGAGGCCCGGGCCGCTGCCGCCCCACTCCCTTCCCGGTGTTGACTCGGGGGACGGGCCCGGCGGCGGGGGCTGCGCGTCCCTCCGGAGCCGCGTCGGATCCCTCCTCCGCGCCTGCCTCTCACTCTTCAGCCGCCGAGCTCCGTGCGCCGAGCGGAGATGGTCTCGCGGTGCGGGCGCTCCGGGCCGGCCCCAGGCTCAGCGGCACAGGAGCCTGGATTTGCCCGAGCTCCCGGGGGCCGTCCCCGCACCCCCTGGGGCCTGCTTGGCGCGGGGGGACCAGGGCGGAGAGCACCCGCACCTGGCGAGACCCCACTGCCTGGGCCTCCTCGCGGTTCCCAGAGTGGCGTCTGGGTGGACACCCCGAGACACAGAAAGTCTCAGAAGCGGGGGCGCGAGCCCTGCCTGTCCCCTGCTGACCCTGCCCCTCCGCACCCTGCTCCTGCAGGAAGCCCCTGCCCTGCCAGCGCCCCTGGTCGGGCTATTCGGCAGATCTGGGGAGCCCGCCTCCCCCTGTCATCTGGGGGTCTCAGAGCCCGGACGCCCTGGGGCTTCCTGCCAGGCCCTTGATTTCTCTTCCCGAAGCTCCCTGGGAAAGGAAGAAAGGGGTCCGTCTGCCCACTGTGGGCTGTGGCAGAGTCAGGACAGGGGGTGAGGGTGAGGGTGAGGGTGAGGGTGAGGGTGAGGGTGAGGGTGAGGGTGGGCCCCAAACCCGGCAGATCCCGGCGGCCTGGAGGGCTCCCTGTGCCCCACCTTCCCTGGACCCCCCCGCCCTCCCCACTTAATGTCTGACTTCGGCCCTTGCTTGGAGGTTCGGCGCAGCCTGTGAGGCTTTAAAGTTGAGCTTCCTCAGGAGCCCTTTGCGGGTGGGAGAGCGAGGCTGCCGGGAAGTGGGGGCTCTCAGCCTGCCCCATGCCCAGATGACCCTGGCACGGAACAGCTGAACAGCTGGTGGGAGGAGCCCTCCCTTTCCTGTCCAGAGGTGAGGGTCTCCCGGAGGGCAGGGCCAGCAGGCATAGGTTTGTGGCGAGTCAGCTTTTTGCATGTTGCATAGAAATCCCCAGAGCCGACTGAGAAGCAAGCAGGTGGGCCTGGCACATCTGAGTCCTCCCACGGTACCTATGGGGGGCCCACCTCTGTCCCGGGGGGTCTGGGAGGCCTGAGGTCTGGCCAGGGGTTCCTTGCCCCAGTAGAGGAGGGAAGTTACTGAGAAAAACAAGGGTTTGGAATGTGAGTCCCCCTCCCCCACCGGCTGCCTGCCAAGAAAGAATTATTTTGGATCATCCAGCCGTGTCCAGTCACCCGAAGCGGGAGGCTGCAGCGTGGGAGAAGGATCCACTTCCGGGACGTGGGTTGAGGGCCCCAGGAGGAGGACGGGCAAGTCCGGGCAGCTCTGCCACTTTCTACTGCAGCTGCCCAGACTGGGCGGGGAGAAGATGCGTCACCTTTGGGTTGGAGAAAGCCCCAAGGTTGGCCCCAGCAGGCCCTGCTGAGCCTGCAGTGGGCCCAAGCCCCTCTGGGGGAGACCATGGAACAGGAGGAGCTCTGGGCCCACCCAGGGACCCCCTCGCCCCACCCAGGGACCCCCTCGCCCCGAGAAGTCTCAATGGTGGTCTGAAGAGCCTCTGAGGTACCCTCCAGGCCCAAGTTCAGGGACACACCCTGTGCCAGTGACCTGTGCGTGCCAGGGAGGAGCAGGCAGGAGCGAGGCTAGGCTGCTAGGGAGGGCACTGGGGTTTCCCTCAGGGGGCCCTCCTGCCCCAACGGACTCCCTATTCAGCTCCTGACTAACGGACCAGCCTCCCTCCAAGCCCCTCCGACAGCCAGTCCTTGCCTACGACCCCCTCTGGATATGGCGCCTGTGAGCCCATCCTGCAGGTGGGGAGACTGAGGCCAGAGATAGGTCTATGTGAGGAGTCATCTGCGATGCTGTGTGGCCAGGGCTGTGGCTACCTGGCGCTCTGGGTCCATGCTGTGTGTGCGCCCGGGGTGTGTGCCCGGCGGCCTGCATGGGGACCACATCGGGGAGGAGGAGCCGGCAGCTGGCCCCAAGTGCAGAAAGCCCAGAGCCTTGGACCCGGCCCAGGGAAGTGGAGCAGAAGAGATTGGATTGGAAGGTGGTGGGGAGGGCCCATATGGCACAGTCCTCCTCCCATCCCAGGACGTCGTCCGTGCTCACCGTGTCCTGCCCCCTGCCTCACCCTGTGCCAGCCACAGCTGATGGTCCCCCTGGGACGCGGGCGTGGGCAGGGGTGCACTGGCTGGGAGAGGCTGTGTCTTCCGGCCCCTCATATTGTGCCTTCTCTGAGCTAGGCAGGCACTTGGATGCCAGGCCTCTGCCACGAGGGCTGCCTTCCCCTGAGCTGGGAGTTCTCACTCAGCTCATGCCTCCGTCCCTCTGGCTGCAGCCTGGCCGCCCTCCTTGGAAGTTGGCGGGGAACCTCTTGTGCCCAGAGCCTGCCTTGGACACGGTTTGGGGATGAGGTGGTGAGCTGCTCAGAATTCACCCAGTGGCCAGCAAGTGGCCCCCCAGCCTTGACCTCCCTTCTCTGAGGCAGATCCAGGTTCTCTGGGGGTGGGAGATTCAGTAGGGCTGGGACTGGCCACAGCCCCTCCCTCCCTCAGGGGTAGTGGCTGTTTGTGTTTGGGGTGGGGCTGTGGGTGGGGTGGGGCTGGGTCTCTGACTAATTACACGATGGGGAGGGTGGGTCAGAGCCTTGGCTGGTGGGGGGTGCTCAGGCTCTGGGGCCCCGGGGAGGCAGCTGCCCTAGCTTCCCTCTTTCTGGTCGAGGTTCCTCCACCTTCTTCCTTTCCGTGGTTTCACATCCCTTGACACAGGGCCTGCTTCTTCCCATACCCCTGGATTGTAAGGACCCCTGCCTTTCTCTGCCTACCAGGGAAGGACCCTGCACTGTTCTGGGCTCCCCCAGCCACAGGTGTGGCCTCAAGCCAGGCCCTGACACAGTGGCCCTCCTGGCTCAGAAGCCTTCTCTCTGAAGACCAAGCGTGTGAAGGGATTGGCTGGGCCCCTCCCGTCTGGCCCTGAACACTGGCACCCCGCACCCCCCCAGTGGATCCACCCTGCCCTGTGAGATTCATGAACCTGTGACAGTGACTGGCCCCAGGCCCAGTGGTGCCGGGGATGGTGGGACAGGCTGCCCCTGGTGGTACTGCAGGTTTGCCCCACCCCCGGGGATGTCTGTCTGGGGAGGAGCCTGGGGCTGGCCTGGCTGTGGAGCTGGGGGTTCTGTTTCGCACAGTCCCGCCTCTGCAGCCCAGATCCTGGAGCCCTTCACACCCAGAGGCCAGCCCACACCGTGGCCCGCTATGGTTGGTGGCCTTCCCTGGGGGTAGCCCCTAAGGCCACACCTGAGCTGCCTCATGTCCCAGGCTAGGTGAGGGAGGAGACTGCCCTGGGCTGGGATCAGGGCGCCTGGGGGCAGGTCCAGCTCTCTTCCTCAGCCCCCTAAGGTCTCCTGGCTTCTGAAAGCCAATAGTTCCTCATTCCAGTGCCAGCTGAGTCCCGGCCCAGGCCTGGGGCAGGAGAGGGAGGTGCTGCCCCAGTTCAGCCACCAGCTCTGCCAGCAGGGTCCCAGCAGCAGCAGCATCAGAGGCAGGGACTGGGCTCCTGGGGGTAGGGCCCCGGCCCCTCTGGCACAGCTGGTCAGCAGCTTCCATGGGGGGCCCTGTGTGGAGACACAGTGTCCAGCACCGATTTCTGGGCCTGATGCTGCCCCAGCTGAGTCCCGCAGCAAGCGCAAGAGAGAGAAGTGCTTGGTGTCCACCTCTGAGAAGGCCTCCTGTGTGAACACGGCCCCCTGAGGGGCCAGGCAAGGGCGTCTGCTCCTGTGGCTGGGACGGTTCCTGCCCACGAGCCTTGTGTAGGGCTGCGGCTCTCTTCCCAGGTGACCTTCTGTTGTGGTCTGGGGCCCCCGAGCCAGCATGCCACCTGCTCAGAGACAGATTGGGCCCCCTGTCAGATTGGCGTCTGGGGGCACTGTCTGCTCCTTCCAGGCAGCTTTGAGGACTTCTCAGAGGAGGAACCCCCCTGCCCTGCTGGTCCAAAGTGGGGTGCTGAAGGCCGAGGCAGTTTCCAGGGGGCTATGCCTCAGGCTGCGTGGGTGGCTGTGGTAGGAGCGTGCTCTGTGATTGTCACTGCATTTGCCTGGGGTCCATGCTCTGTCCTCAGCTGGGGTCTGGCTTTGAACCTAGGTGAGTTCTGGGGCTCTGAGGACAGGCCAGAAGCAGGAGTGTGGGGGGGTCTCTCCTGGGGGAAGCAAGGGAGGCCTGGGCCTGTGTGACTCAGACGTGGTAGGGTGGCATGGGAGCCACAGCTTGGGGGGATGGCGGGGGGCTTGAGGGTAATCCAAGTATTTCAGGGACCCAGCCATGGAGAGTGGGGTTTGAGGACCAGCAGGAGGTGAGGACTCTGTGGATCCCAGCCCTGTCAGGTGTGTTTTCAGAGCTGGGGCCTGCTTTGGAGGAGATGGAGGGCACAGAACACTGCTGAGCCCAGGCCCTGTGCCCAGCCTTGCTCCAGCCTTACCGGCTTGACACCAGGGCCTCCCTCCCACCAGCGAGGGGGAGAAGCTATTTTAAGTGGAGCCAGCAGTTGACAGGGGCAAGGGGCAGGTGGTGGGAGGGAGGTGCTCCAGCATGGCCCCCCCCACTCCCTCTCAGCCTCAGAGATTGGCCAGGGGAGCTGAGGGGCTTGGCCTCCCCACTCCTATGTTGGCACCGAGCCTGATCTGGTGACCACCCTGAGGGACTTCAGGAGAAAAGGATGTTAGGGAGGAGGGCGTGAAGGTGGGGCGCCCCAGGCAGGCCGCCCAGGCCCAGCAAAGCTCGCTGGAGGGTCCCCCAGTTCCACATCTAGACCTGGGGCCCAGTGGCTCTCGACCAGGCCCTGTGGGGTTTGAAGTCCTCAGCTCCACCATGAGCAGAGCAAGCCTCCGCGTGGAGCAAGGGGCTGGACCTGGCCTCCAGGGGCACCCACCTCCCCACACAGCTCCAGCCACGGGCATCACCTCCCACTCACTGTCCTGCCCCCACTCTGAGATGGGCATTTCCTCACTGGGAAATCCCTGTCCCTCTGGCCTCCCAAAGCCCTGAGTGTTTGCCCCTGTGGGGCCCAGCCCACACCCTGGGCTGCCTCACCCTTGGCCTGGACCCAGGTCCTGCCCAACACCCTGTGCCTCACCAGCCCCCAGCTCATCCTGGGCAGACGCAGCCCCTCTCCCCTGCTGAGACGGCCCTGCCCCCACCCCACTTCCCCATGCCACACATGGCCCCTCCCTCGGGGCTCCAGGCAGCGCTGGGTTCTGAGAGCCCCACTGCCCCTCTTAGCCCAAGTGCCCCGGCCTGAGGCTTCTCTCCCAGGCTCTTTGTACTGGGGACGAGTTCTGGGTGTTGGGGTGAGACCCTGTTGGCAGGGCTTTTCCGGCAGCACCCAGCCATGTGTGTCTGCACATGTGTGGTCATGTGTGCAAGTGGTGTCTGGCACACAGGCTTGGCGCGGTGCCCCAAGCTAATTGTGGGGTTCAGCGGTGATGGGCGAGGCGGGGCTGGGGTGACCGCTGAGGCGCTGACAGGCTGACGGGGAGATTACAGGCCTTGCTTACTGCTCACTGGCTGGGGCCTCACCCGTCCACCCCCCAACGCCCACCCCGGGGGTGAGAAGGGGGCTGTGGGCGGGGGCTGGTCTTGAGCCAGCTGCATCCAGGCAGGACCTGGTCTCTGAGCAGCCGGCTGCTGCGGGGTTGAGCTGGAAAGGGGGAGATGCGTGGGGGCCACTCAGAGGAGAGCCTGCAGGTGGGGCTGGGCACCGGCGGGCCGGGAGGCCTCCTTTCAGGAGAGACTCCAAGTGACTGAGCCCCAGAATCCCACGAGAGTCCCTCCGTGGCCGCCTGCTGTCTGACCGCATGTCCTGTCCTGATGAGTTGGTGGTTCCTGCTGTAGCCATCGGCCTCGTGTGCCCCGAGCGCCTGGCGGTGCCCACCCCTCCCACAGGAGGTCCTCAGGAAGCACGGAGACATCGGTAGGTTCATTGCGCTGCCCAGCTTTCTGACCCGAAGGACCACGGTGTAGCAAGAGGGGGCTGCAGCTGTGCCCAGGTTGGACAGGATGGGGTCTGGGACCCCGAAAGGGGTGGTTGAGGAGAGAGGTGGTTCTGCAGGCCTGGTGCGTGTGGGGACAGGGCGCCGTAGCCAACTGGATCCCACCTTCTGTCTGAGGGCTGGGGAGGACCATCCTCCAGATGCGCCAGTGGGCCGTGGCCAGAGAGGAGGCTGAGGAGGGCCTCACAACTGTGTGTAGGATGGGAGGGCAGCCTGGGGCCCCAGTCTAGGGACGCACCATATACAGGGGCTGCACTTGGTGCAGAGGCGGAGAGGGGGCTGGGGCAGGCCCCTTGGGCATGGCCAGGTGAGCTCAGGGGGTGCCTGAGGGCCAGGGCTAGATACAGAGGCCCTGGGTACCAGGTGGCCTGGGTGTGTCAGGAGGTGTGGACCAGTGGGGGCTGTGACTAACTCGGCTGGAGCAAGTGACAGGAGGAGCTGGGGCTTCATGGGGCACCCCCAGGATCCTGGGCTGGTGACCCCATCACTGCCACCAGCCAGGGTGACTTTTCCTGCTGGGACCCAGAGCCCAGACTGCAGGGGAGGCTGGCCCTAAGTAGGAACCCCACCCTGAAACCAGGCTGGCGGGGAAGGGGTGCGACGGCCTCCACCTGGGAGGGGTCCTCAGCCGAGAGTCCAGCGGGGACCGCTGTAGACGCTGAAGCGAGGCTCAGGCCTCCACATCAGTCTGTCCCTGGAGCCCCGCCCCGCCCCGCCCCGCCCCAGCTCCTAGGTCGGGTTGTGCCGGGAGCGTTCGGCCTTTGCCTCGGGTGAGTCTGGCCTTGACCCTGGGTCCGGAGTCCTGCGGGAGGCTGCTCCGGGCAGGGTCGTGCATGATTGGCAGCTGGGCCGGGAGGGGCCGAGCCCTGAGACCGACCGGGGGCACGGGCGGAGCCACCATCGGCGGGGCGGAGCTGCTCCCCGCGCCCCTTCCACGGCTCGGAGGACTTAGGTAATGGCCGGCTGTGCGATCCGATGTGCCCGACGCCAGGTGAGCGCCCCGCGGGGACGACGTCTCCTGCGCTCGTGTGACTGTCGCCGCCGCCGTCATTGTTACTCGGGTCAGACTCCCACCCGCCCGCGCGTCCTGGGCCCCCGGCCTGGTGAGGTTTGTCCCAGAGGCGGCCACGTGCTCCCTCCAGGTGCGCGAGGCCGAGGGGCGGACGGGGCGCCGGAGTCCCCGGGAGGGCGCGGGCGGTGGCCGTGGAGCTTGGGCTCGCGGGGGGCAGTGGGCGGCGCCGAGGAGGCGCGGGCCTAGTCCCTGCGCTTCCTGGCCCCGGGCGCGCTTTGCCCCTGGCTCCCGGGCAACCGTTCTGCGCCCTCCGGGGAGTCTGGCGGTGCCGGCGCCGGGGGAGGGGCTGTGCCACCTGGGTCGGCCTGCGAGGAATAGTCCAGGGCGCTCCACACAGGCCGGGTGCCCGCCTTTGGCTCTGGCCGGGTACCGGGCTCGCAGACCCACCCAGGAGACACCGCCCCCCGCCTCCCGGGCTGAACTCTGACCCGGGTCACCGGTGGGTGGGGCTGGGTGGCGGGGCCGCCGGTCTCGCCCTCGCCGGGTCTCCCGCGCGCTCTCCACCCAGTCCCTCCCCGCGCCTACCCACGGGCGCGGCGCTGCGGGAAGGGGCGGCCGGGGTCCTTGCCGACCCCCCAGCCCCACGCCCCGCGGCACCCCCCTCGCGCTTGTTTTGAAAACAGCGGAGGCTGGGATTCGCCGGCGCGTCTGTTTTGTTTCCTCTGATGTGTTTAGCGCTCTGGGATAATTGCAGATTTGCGTGTGTCGCTAGCTTTGGCCCGGCCCCCTGGCTGCTGGCTGCGGGGCCTCCGGGGCCTCCGTGGCTTTTCTGTGACGCCTGTCGCCCCGTTCCGGGACAGCCACTCTCAGACGCGCCTTGGCCTGTGCTTGGGGCAGCCTATCGCTCACTTGGTCCGAGGCTGCTTCCCCCGCCCCCGCACCGGGCCCCCCCCCCACCCCACGCAGGGCCTGTGTCCACCCCAATCCTTTGAGCCCTGGAGGGCCGCACAGCCCTAGGACCTCTGCCTTCTCCACCGCCCATGTCCTAGGTGCTCATGCCACCCCCTCCTGCCCTCCCAGGCCTAGGCCCGAGCTCTCCTCGTTCTTCATGGCGGCTGCTGCCTGGATCCCCATCTTGGCCCCTGCCGGGCCGCTGCCCATGCACCTCCTCTGGCCCCTGCCCTCTCTGGTTCCCGTGCCAGAGCCCACAGCCTGGCCTGGCCAAGAGCAGCCCCCAAGCTGGGCCTGCCCTCCCACTGGGCCTGACTGCTTTGTGCTGGTTTGATTTTAGCATTAAGAATGGTCAGTCTGGCTGGGTGTGGTGGCTCACGCCTGTAATTCCAGCACTTTGGGAGGCCAAGGCGGGTGGATTGCCTGAGCTCAGGAGTTCGAAACCGGTCTGGGCAACACGGTGAAGCCCCATCTCTACTGAAATACAGAAAATTAGCTGGGCATAGTGGCGTGCACCTGTAGTCCCAGCTACTGGAGAGGCTGAGGCAGGATAATTGCTTCAACCTGGGAGGCAGGGGTTGCAGTGAGCCAAGATCATGCCCCTACACTCCAGCCTGGGTGACAGAGTGAGACCTGTCTCAGAAAAAAGAAAAGAATGGCCCAGTCTGTTTGCTTGAAAATACTGAAAGGCAGAGAACTCCCAATTTTAGTCCCCACTGGAACCACCCCGCAGTGCAGCCAAGACTTGGGGCGGTCTCAGAACCAAGGCTGGCAGGAGTTTGGGGGCCTGGCAGCCCCCACTCTTGGCCTCATCTGGAGTAGGGCTCTGTCCTTCCCCCTTACATGCCTCTTGTTTACCTTTACCCAGTGGGAGGGGCGGGGGCCAGACTCAGCCCGTGCAAGGGGCCTGGGGGCTGCTGGTCAGAAAAAAAAAACAAAAGGGACCTCAGGAGAGGGCCACAGGTGCCCAGCCAGCAAGCAGCTCCTGCTGCCTCCCAGGCTGTCTAGGTTGTAGAGGGGAGGCCCAGCATCCCTGTGCTGCCCTTGGCCTACATCGGAGTTCTGGTTGGGGGAGGAGACCCTTCTGCTCTGTTGGCCTGGGGGTGACCTGCGGGGACAGGTCTTCTGGGCTCGCGCCCCTGCATGTCACCACCCCTTCCCGGCTCACTGAGTTTGGACCGGCAGGTGCCCAGTGACCAGATCCAGTGTTTGGACTTGTTGGGGCAGGGCGGCGGGGCAGCCGGGGCCTGTCGGGGAAGACCATAGACCACAGAGCAAGGCCAGTCCCTCAGGGGCTGGGTTAGGGAGGGTGTCTCGGGGTCTAAAGGATGGGCAGGGGCTTTCCAGGGAGCACAGTGAACATGGACGTGGGAATGTCGTGAGGCAGCGTTCTCTGAGTGGGCACAGCTGTAAAGATTTCCACACCCACTCAACCTCAAGGCAGCCCTCTGAGGTGGGCGCCATAATGACCCCCAGGTTACATATGGGGAAACTGAGGCACAGAGCAGCTTTCTGAATGGCCCACATGAGCCAGCTAGAACGTGACAGAGCTGGGGTGTGAACTCACTGGTCTGGCTCTGGACTTCAGGCCTCGAGGTCCCTGGGTGCAGCAGCGTCAGGTGTGACCACAGCCACCTAAGGAAGAAACTCCTTTTTCTGGGGTAGCTAAGCGGGAATCTTGTGAGCAGGAGATGGAGCCTGGCTCAGTGTTGAGGGCAAGATGGATGGAGGTGGGAGAAGCCAGAGGCCGGGCAGAGGAGGTAGACTTGGGCCAGGAAGGGCCCCAGACTGAGGGTGGAGGGATCATGGTGTTATTCTCTGGGAGGGGAAATCCATGGCCGTTCTCCACGGTGAGGGCCAGGGAAGAGGACGGCAGAAAGCCTCCTCCAGGAGAGTGGAGTATGGGTCTTGCCTCTGGCTTCCTGAGTGGATCGATCACTCAGGGGAGGTTGTTCGAGGGCGTGCGGGATGGGCGGGACAGAAGCCAGCCTCCCCTGACCTTGGCTGCCCCCGCCCACGCCTGGGGCCTGGGCCCGTGGAGGCTGGAGCCTGGGGGTGTGCTGCAGGGAGTGGGCATGGGGCACACAGGCCGGTGTGGCGTCCCTTCAAGATGGCAGGTCTGGGGGTACCGTGCCACCGCCATGGCTGCCACCTCCGTCGGGAGCTGCAGTCTCCAGTCCCCGCGGGTCCCAGCTTTCTCAGGAGACCCGGTGCTGCCCTGTGCTTTGGCTCCTGAGTTTGCCAGAGGAGCAGCCTTTTGCCCTTTTCACAAAGGTGCTGTTGAGTCTCAGGTCGAAAGGATGCCCTCTGCCCCCCGAAACCTCATCCTCTCCCCAGCCCTTTGGCCGGGTTAACCCTTACCTGTGCAGCAGGGTAGCACAGTCCATGCACAGCTGTGGAGCTCACCTCCCTTCCCGCCGCCCCCCTGCTGGTGTCACTGCATGTCCAACCCCGGGTCCCGCTGCACAGGGCACATGAGGATCCCGGTGGGGTGGGAGGAGAGTGGGGCCTGGCCCTGCGGGAGGAGGTGCTTTGCTGGCACACAACCTGGCCAGGCTGCAGTGGACTCTGGGGCCTGAGCAGGATTCAGTAGCTGAACCTTGGTTGTAGGGGTGGCTATTGAGGGCCTGGAGAGTCACATCTTGAGGCAGAGTGGAGCCTACCTTCTTTTCTTTCTTTCTTTTCTTTTCCTTTTTTTTTTTTTTTTTTTTTTTGAGACAGAGTCTTGCTCTTTCCCCAGGCTGGAGTGCAATGGTGTGATCTCAGCTCTCTGCAGCCTCAGGTGATCCGCCCGCCTCAGCCTCCCAAAGTGCTGGGATTACAGGCGTGAGCCACCGTGCCTGGCTCAGCTTCTTATTTAGACAAGCAATATGTAAATATAATCTTAAACTTGTGTTTTGCTTTAATCTTAGAGTCAGGGTCTCGCTCTGTTGCCCACAATCATAGTTCACTGCAGCCTAGACCTCCTGGGCTCAAGCTACTCTGCCTTAGCCTCCTCAGTACCCGGGACTTCAGGCTGTACCACCACACGCGGCCAGTTCACGGTCTAGTTCAAGTTCCTTGAACTTTTTTATTGTGTGTGTGTGTGTGTGTGTGTGTGTGTGTGTGTGTATTTTTTGAGACAGTCTCACTCTGGCCTGGGCTGGACTGCCGTGGCCTCCTCCTTGCTCCCAAAGTTCACCACTATTTTCTTTTCTTTTTTTGAGACGGAGTCTCACTCTGTTGCCCAGGCTGGAGTGCAGTGGCGCGATCTCGGCTCACTGCAACCTCCACCTCCCAGGTTCAAGCGATTATCTTGCCTCGGCCTCCTGAGTAGTTGGGATTACAGGCGCGCACCACTACGCCCGGCTAATTTTTGTACTTTTAGTAGAGATGGGGTTTCACCATGTTGGTCAGGCTGGTCTCGAACTCCTGACCTCGTGATCCGCCCACTTCAGCCTCCCAAAGTGCTGGGATTACAGGTGTGAGCCACCGCACCCAGCCTTAGCCGGCCACTATTTTGATTTTGGTTTGACGGCTTCTGGAGCCTCTCAGAGATGGATGGGGCCAAATACTGCACCCAGGCTTCCCCATCAGAATCAGCACAGACGCACCTGCATCTACCATGTAGTCTTCCACAGTATCCTCTGGTGGGATGCTGGGTGGCTGCCAAATTTTCACTAAAGCCAACCATGCGGAGAAGCACCCTGGGTCTGTGCCTCCCTGTGGGTATAGTCGGTGTTTATCCAGAACTAGAAGATACAATAGCAAGGGAAGATACAATAGCAAGCATTGCTGAATGCTACAGTGTAACACTCTGAGGCTTTTTGTGAATGAATTCATTTAGTCCTTGTAAACCTCTGGGGGTAGCTCACCATTCTGTCTCCATTCCACAGATGGAGAATGAGGCACAGAGAAGTTAAGTAACTTGCCCAACGTCACACAGCTAGTAAGTGAAATTTCAGGGTCATGGGTGTGCGTATTTTTCAGAAAGCAACTTTTTTTTTTTTTTTTTTTTTGAGACGAAGTCAGGCTGGAGTGTAGTGGTGCGATCTCCGCTCACTGCAAGTTCCATCGGCCGGGTTCATGCCATTCTCCTGCCTCAGCCTCCCGAGTAGCTGGGACTACAGCTGCCCGCCACCAGGCCCATCTAATTTTTTTGTATTTTTAGTAGAGACGGGGTTTCACTGTGTTCACCAGGATGGTCTTGATCTCCTGACCTCGTGATCCTCCCGCCTCGGCCTCCCAAAGTGCTGGGATTACAGGCGGGAGCCACCGCACCCGGCCTCAGAAAGCAACTTTTATTTTAAGCAAAGTAATAGCCATACCTAGTTTAAACAGGCAGAAAGCCCCTGACAGAGGGGAGTGCCAGGAGCCCTGGAGGTGTCTGAGGAAGGGGCTGTGCAGGGGCCAGAGGGAAGCCAAAGGCCAGATGGGGTCCTGTGGGATGTTTCTTCCCCCAAGCCCCACCAGCATGGGACAGAGGTGGGGGGCTCCACAGCAGACCGGGCTCCTCTTGTGACCGGCGTCTCTCCTTTGCCTCCTAGAGAATCTCGATGCTGGCCTGGAGCAGAAACTGAGCTGGACCACTGGAGCCTCGGTGAGGGGTCTGTACCCCACCTGGGAAAGGCAGTGGGTGGCTGGGGCTATGTGGACAGGGAGGCCGGAGGTATCTAGAACTGCCATGTGGTGTCTGCAAGGCTCTGTCCAGCCAGGTTTCAACCGTACCTGTCACTCTGCCACCCTTCCCATGGCCTGGCCTGGATGGAAGTGGGGAGCTTCCCTGCCCATGGAGCCGCTGTGAGGCTCCCATGGTTCTCTGAGGCCAAGCTGTTGCTCAGGCCAAGCTTTTGCTCAGGTGGAGTGGTCTGCAGTGAGACTGTGGCACCGGGTTCTGGGACATCAGGGCTGGGAATTGGAGCGTTGGGGGTGTGGTGGGGGGGTGCCTGTGCAGACGCTTTGTGGGCAGCAGCAGCTGGAGTTGCTGTGGCCTGGTCTGGATGGAAGTGGGGAGCTTCCCTGCCCAGCAGCAGCCGGAGTTGCTGTGGCCTCTTGAAAGTGCCCCTCCGAGCTTCAGCCAGGAGGAAGGCACCAGAGGGCCCGAGGAAATCCCCGCCAGCCCCGTAAGTGGGGGTCCCAGGAGGGCTTCAAAACAGGAAGTGCCTGCTGCCCGCCCTCCCTCCTGTTCCAGGAACACAGGCAGCAGGAAGCGTAGCTGGCTGTGCCTGGCGCCTCCTGCGCCGCCGGAGCTTTGCTGCTGGTCCGGTGGGTTGCCCTTTGCTCCTGGGCCTGGGCAGGCAGGTCACCTGAGGCCTTGTTTGTCCAGGAACCAGAAGGCAGCTGCCACCTGTAGGGTGTCACCCCAGCCGCGCCTGCCACCCTGAAAAGCCTGGGCCTGTAGGACCCTGGGAGTCAGGCTTTCCCTGGTGGCACACGGTGGTGTTTATTGAGCACTTAGGGTGTGCCAGCCCCCGGCAGGGACAGGAGAGCCTTCTTCCTGTACCGGGGCCCCTACAGCCCTGGCGGGTGGGTGAGTGTCTTCCCTGGGTGGAAGCTGGGGGACGGCTGAGGGGTGGCTTGTGGGGGCCCAGAGCCATTGCTTTTCCTGGGGCTAGGGGCGCCGCAGGGTTCCCCAGGCTGCCCCACCACGGTCCGGGCCAGATCCGAGGGGACCGTGGGCCCCGCCCCCGCGCTGCCCCCGCATTCCCCTCCCAGCTGCGGGCGCATTCCATTCATTCCCGGGAGCTGCGCCTGGCTGAGGCTGCCTCTGCCACTGCCACCGAGCTGGGCCGGGTGAGCGAGCTGGGCCGGGTGAGCGGGGCTGGGAGGGGAGGGCAGCAGGCCTGGGCGCAGGGCCGAGGGGCCTGGACGTTGCCTGCCCCCGCTGGCGCCACTGGGTGCACTTAGAAGGCGGGGGCCTGCGGGACCTGCCCCCGGGTGGCTGTGGGTAGGGGAGGGGCGCGGCGGGGGTTGGGGAGCCTTCGGGCAGGCGCTGCTCCTCCCTGGTAGGGCCATGGGCTGTGGCTGTAGCCTACGGGCCTCTCCTGGAGGCCTGGGACTCCTGTGCCCTCCTCTCCTCTCCCCTGGACAGGCCACTGAGCCACAGCGGGGGACCCTGGCTGAGCTGGGCATAGAACCCCCTCCACCAGGATCATGCCCAGAGGTTCCCGTGGGCTTGTAGAATCTTCCTGTCTCTCACTAAAGCCAGCATCTTTTCCTGGCTGATCACCCCTATCCTGGTGAAGCCTGGGGTCCCATGGCCCTACCCAGCCTCTCTGCCACCAGTCGGCCAGGAACTCCCTAGCCTGTGGGTGGTCACCTCTCCCAGCGGCTGCTGTGCTCGTGGGCACCTGGGGGGCTCCAGGGGTTGGGCAGCAGCTGAGCACTGAACCCCCAGTGCAGGGAGGGAGTTCTGTGCCGGGCAGGAGCTGCCTGTCTAATGGGTGCACTCCCAGGGAGCAGGAAGGCCAGTGCAGCGCTGTCTCACTCATGCGGGCCCTGGGGTGGCTCAGATGTTGTCGGTCGGTTGCGTCTTGGTTACACCTCAAGAGATTTCAGGAAGCGTGCGGGCAATCAGAACGGGGGGTTGCCACGGGCAGGTGGAGGGCGGCTGTGCCAGTAAATGCAGCTTCACCCAAAGCCGAGGCTCGGGAGAAACACTTCCCCTGGCTACGGAGCAGCAGAGCGGGCTCCCCTGCCCTCCTGGGAGGACAGAGGCCAGGGGGTTTGGGGGGTTGTCAAAAGGGTGGAGAAACACAGTGGTCAGAGGCCAAGCTGCTCCCACTGCATGTCAGAATCCCAGCCCCACCCATGCCCGCGGTGTGGCCTTGGGTAAATTCTGCTCCGTGCCTCAGTTTCTTCACCTGAGAAATGGGTCACAGGCTGTCGTGGTCAGCCTGGCCGTCAGAGACACAGGGATGTGGAAACATTTGCATTTTGTGGCTTGTTCTTTGTACACTTAAAACTTTTTTTTTTTTTTTTTTTTTTTGAGACAGAGTCTCGCTCTGTCACCCAGGCTGGAGTGCAGTGGTGCAATCTTGGCTCGCTGCAACCTCCGCCTCCCAGGTTCACGCGATTCTCCTGCCTCAGCCTCTGGAGTAGCTGAGACTACAGGCGGGTGCCAGCACGCTTGGCTAATTTTTTTGTGTTTTTAGTAGAGACGGGGTTTCACCATGTTGGCCAGGCTGGTCTCAAACTCCTGACCTCGTGATCCGCCCGCCTCGGCCTCCCAAGGTGCTGGGATTACAGGCGTGAGCCACCGGGCCTGGCAAAACTTTCAAATATGTGGTGAGAAAGCGGATTGCGTTTCGAGGGGATGAGACATATGCAGGGAGGTGACACTTGTGGTGGCCTGAGAGGATGTGGCAGTCCCTCTGGAGGCACGGGGTGGGCCTGCACAGGGAGGTGGGGGAGGCCAGGGCCTCCATCCCTCGTAACCCTCTGCCATCGAGTCTGGACCCCCTTGGCACCTGCCATGGCAGGGCTGCCCTGGACACCTGGGAGCCCCCCGTACTGGTGCACTCAGGGAAGATGATGGTGGGCCCAGGAGTGGGGGTGGTTGTGAGCATGAGGAGGGGGCACTGGCAGGGGAGGCTGATGTAGGGATCACTGGCCAGGATGGAGCAGGGTCCCTAGCGTGAGAGGGACGGACCACCCTGAGGAAGAGCTCAGAGGCAGAAGGGCCCTGTCTCTGCCACTTGTGTCTGAGCCCCCAAGATGCAGTTGAGTCTGGTAGGGAGGGAAAGAGAGAGGACCACGCATGTCCTGGGTCCACCTGTGGGGCCTTGGATCTTCCTCCTATTGGGAGACCCTCAGCTCAGCCTGGTCCTCAGCAGCTCACCCATCACACCACACATCCCCCTCATCCACCCGGACCCAGGCACAGACCCCACACCGAGACGTGCTCAGTTACACACACGCATGTGGACACAGCCTGTCCAGGCTGCAGATGTGGGGGCCTCTGCCTCTGAGACCTGGTGGATTTGGAGTTGCTCATGGCTCCCCAGGTCCCCTTGTTGCCTCCGCTGTGCGCACATCAGAGGCTGTGCCCTGGGCGTGACATGGGCCGAGCGAGGAGCTGTGGGTGATTGCTGGCTTCCACTGTTTCACCAGGGCAGGGGGCCTGGAGGTGGTCAGGGAGGCTCAGGCCGCCTGGGGGCTCTGGCGGGCAGTTGTAAACAGCATGTGCACTTGCTGGGCTATGCACAGGGCACCCCTCGCTCTCACCTGAGCCTCTGGTTTCCCGTGTCCTTCACCTCTGCCCCATGGGTGAGCCACCTGTTCCAACGTCCAGGGGTCTGTCTGTCAGCCTGAGCCTGTGCGCTGGGGCCGGTGCGTCCCGACCACCTGGAGCTCCTTGGGGTCACAGGTCAGGGGGCATGAATGTGAGCACTTGAGAGCCTTTCTGGGGGCGTCAACTCCTTGCCTCGGGGATAGGCCTGCCGGTGTTTTCAGCACCTCCGGGAGGGATCCTGTAGCAGGCGATGGCAGTGCCTTGGCCCCAGTGGTCAGTCAGGGTGGACTTGAGGAGGGCTGAGAAGTGGTCTCCGGCGAGACCTCGAGGATGGCGGGGGTGTGAAGCAGGAAGGGGCGGAGCTCCAGGTTCCTCAGTTCGTGGAGTGGCGTGACCCTCTCTCCCATGTTCTGACGTTTGGGGCAGGGACTGGAGAGGGATTTGATCGGGGGTCCTCTGGGTCGGGGCTCCCCTGACCCTTCTCTCTTCCCACAGGGTGCGGGGGGCAATGGCACTGCAGCTCTGGGCCCTGACCCTGCTGGGCCTGCTGGGCGCAGGTGCCAGCCTGAGGCCCCGCAAGCTGGACTTCTTCCGCAGCGAGAAAGAGCTGAACCACCTGGCTGTGGATGAGGCCTCAGGCGTGGTGTACCTGGGGGCGGTGAATGCCCTCTACCAGCTGGATGCGAAGCTGCAGCTGGAGCAGCAGGTGGCCACGGGCCCGGCCCTGGACAACAAGAAGTGCACGCCGCCCATCGAGGCCAGCCAGTGCCATGAGGCTGAGATGACTGACAATGTCAACCAGCTGCTGCTGCTCGACCCTCCCAGGAAGCGCCTGGTGGAGTGCGGCAGCCTCTTCAAGGGCATCTGCGCTCTGCGCGCCCTGAGCAACATCTCCCTCCGCCTGTTCTACGAGGACGGCAGCGGGGAGAAGTCTTTCGTGGCCAGCAATGATGAGGGCGTGGCCACAGTGGGGCTGGTGAGCTCCACGGGTCCTGGTGGTGACCGCGTGCTGTTTGTGGGCAAAGGCAATGGGCCACACGACAACGGCATCATCGTGAGCACTCGGCTGTTGGACCGGACTGACAGCAGGGAGGCCTTTGAAGCCTACACGGACCACGCCACCTACAAGGCCGGCTACCTGTCCACCAACACACAGCAGTTCGTGGCGGCCTTCGAGGACGGCCCCTACGTCTTCTTTGTCTTCAACCAGCAGGACAAGCACCCGGCCCGGAACCGCACGCTGCTGGCACGCATGTGCAGAGAAGACCCCAACTACTACTCCTACCTGGAGATGGACCTGCAGTGCCGGGACCCCGACATCCACGCCGCTGCCTTTGGCACCTGCCTGGCCGCCTCCGTGGCTGCGCCTGGCTCTGGCAGGGTGCTATATGCTGTCTTCAGCAGAGACAGCCGGAGCAGTGGGGGGCCCGGTGCGGGCCTCTGCCTGTTCCCGCTGGACAAGGTGCACGCCAAGATGGAGGCCAACCGCAACGCCTGTTACACAGGCACCCGGGAGGCCCGTGACATCTTCTACAAGCCCTTCCACGGCGATATCCAGTGCGGCGGCCACGCGCCGGTATGGGCCTCAGTGTGTTCTCGCAGGGCCCGGACTGCAGGCGTCCGTTCGTGGGTTTGCGTGTCCCAGCCTGCTGGGGAGGGTGCACGTGAGCAGTGTGGCCGTGGCTCTCGCCAGCCTGGGCGCTTGCGTGGGTGGGTGCCGCATCTCTCAATGCCATTCACGCTGGCGCCAGTCCCAGGCCTGTGTCGGGCACTGGGGAACACAACAGTGAGCACGGTGGGGCTCCCTGCCATGTGGGTTCTGTTCTCGGGGACGTGTGTAGGACGTGTGCCGGAGGGAAGGGAAGGGCCTGTCCCGAGTCTTGGAGCGCGAGTGGAGAGGGCCCTTCAGGACAGGGGGTCTGCCTGCCATTGACACGCTGTGGTCCGCAGGGCTCCAGCAAGAGCTTCCCATGTGGCTCGGAGCACCTGCCCTACCCGCTGGGCAGCCGCGACGGGCTCAGAGGCACAGCCGTGCTGCAGCGTGGAGGCCTGAACCTCACGGCCGTGACGGTCGCCGCCGAGAACAACCACACTGTTGCTTTTCTGGGCACCTCTGATGGCCGGATCCTCAAGGTTTGGCCCAGGCTGGGGCGGGGAGGCTCTGGAGGGCCCGTCTGTGCACAAGGCCCGTACCCTCACCGGCCTGCCCTCGCGCACACAGGTGTACCTCACCCCAGATGGCACCTCCTCAGAGTACGACTCTATCCTTGTGGAGATAAACAAGAGAGTCAAGCGCGACCTGGTACTGTCTGGAGACCTGGGCAGCCTGTACGCCATGACCCAGGACAAGGTGAGCCAGACGCAGCCCCGGAGAGCACTCTAGGCCAAGTGTGCCCGGTCATTGCATCCCAGGCCCTTAGGACAGGCCTGGGGGCCAGAGGAGGATGGGGTGCTGCAGAGCTGGGCCCTTCTCCTTGGTCTGGATGAGGGGTGGCTGGGTGGGTCCCGGGCAGTGCCTCCATCCTGTGTCTCTCTAGCACTGCCCCGTCTCTGCCGCTCCTTCTGTTTGTCCTTTGTGGTCTCAACCATGTCTCTCCCTCTGGCCCCGCCTCTGCCCTGTCCTGATGGAAGGGACCTGGGTTGGTGTCTGAGGCGTGTTGCTGAGGGTGGATGGGAAGACGGGGTCCCTGCACAGCCCATGTGAGCTCAGTCAGTGGAGAACATGGGCCTGGGCCCCAAGCTTGTGGGGGGTTAGTGCCAGAGACCCTCAGGCCAGCCCTAGGAGCACCCCTCGGAGGGAGCCAGTGTAGAGGACAGGAGCTGCCCCGGGAGACACCATAGCCAAGACCTCCAGGCTTCCCTGGGCTCCCATCGGGATCCTGGGCCAGGCATGGCCACCCAGAGCCAGAACTGTTTAATATCAAGCCTGAGGTGTCTGAGGCTCCCGAGGCCCCGGGACAGAGCTGGGTCAAGCTGGCGGTCTGGGGACATCTGGGGTCTGCGGAAGGCCCGTGCGGCCTCTGCTGTGGTCCCACTCACGGCCCCGCTGCCCTAGGTGTTCCGGCTGCCGGTGCAGGAGTGCCTGAGCTACCCGACCTGCACCCAGTGCCGCGACTCCCAGGACCCCTACTGCGGCTGGTGCGTCGTCGAGGGACGGTGAGTGCCTGGGGTGGCTCGGGGACACGGCCTGCCTCTGGGATCCCGGAAGGTCGTGGCCTGGGTCGGGGGGCACATCGCACTGTCCTGTCCCGGGAGAACAAGACTCCACCCTGGGCTGAGGCCGCCCCCTGCGCCTGCAGATGCACCCGGAAGGCCGAGTGTCCGCGGGCCGAGGAGGCCAGCCACTGGCTGTGGAGCCGAAGCAAGTCCTGCGTGGCCGTCACCAGCGCCCAGCCACAGAACATGAGCCGGCGGGCCCAGGGGGAGGTGCGTGGTGGGTCTGGGGTGGGGGTCCTGGGCCCCAGGCCGGGCCAGGTGGGGGCTCCCCCATGCTGGGAGCTGTTGGGACAGGCAGGGGAGGGCTCCACATCTCCCCCGCCTGGGCTCTGGGCACCGAGCCTTAGGGATGGAGCCCGCCCTCCATTGGTCCCCTGGACCCCTATGACCTGGGCGGGCAGGGGTGGGGCTTGTCCATATCCAGGGTGGACTCAGGCCCTGTCCCAGGAGTTGCTGGGGTGACCACAGAGAGGCCTGTATTGGAAGACGTGGAGTCGGGTTCTGGAGGCTCCACTGGGACGTGCGCCCACACACGCAGGGAGGTCGGGTCACCGGCAGGTGGGCTGACAGGACTCGGGGTTCCCAGTGTGAGCGGCACGGCCCCTCCCTCAGGTGCAGCTGACCGTCAGCCCCCTCCCTGCCCTGAGCGAGGAGGACGAGTTGCTGTGCCTTTTTGGGGAGTCGCCGCCACACCCCGCCCGCGTGGAGGGCGAGGCCGTCATCTGCAACTCCCCAAGCAGCATCCCCGTCACACCGCCAGGCCAGGGTGAGGCCCCTTCCCGAGCCCCCGGGTGGCCCTTCTCGGTCGCACGGGGCCCTGTGCACACGGGCTCTCGCCTCTGCTGGCCCCTGGGTGCAGGCTCTGCACAGGCACACTCCGCGGCTGCTCCGGGGGCCCAGCCTGAATGAAGCCTGTGGTGGGGTTGCTGTGCCTGTTGGGGAGGTTCTGGCTTCTTGGGCTGTCCGCAGCCACGCCCCCCAGGCCTGTAGCAAAGGTGACTTGTCTTCAGCCTGCTCCCTCATCACGTCCGGAGCGGCATGTGGGTGCCAGGCGCCAGGCCCCGTCGTCTCGGCAGACGCCCCTCACCCCTTCCTGCCATGTCCAGCTTCAGAGAGCAGGGCCGTTCCCAGAGGCTGCAGGGCCTCGCATGTGGGCCAGGGCAGGCGTCGCGCCCATGTCCCCTGAGTTTTGGGGGCAGTGGGGCCACGCAGTGACGTGGGCAGGGACCTGGCAGGTCCCACTCAGACTCCAAGGAGCCGCTGCCCTCAGTGCCTGCGGGAACAGAGGGTATGAAAGCAACCTGGACCCGGGGGAGAAAGGCAAGCCCGGTGCTGCGCCCGACACCCGAACCAAGATCTGATAGCAGGTGGCAGGTCCAGCCCAGCGTGAACGGGCGTCCTGGCAGCCCCACCCGAGATCTGATAGCAGGTGGCAGGCCCCGCCCAACATGAATGCGGGGCGTCCTGGCAGGGCCCCCTGAAGACCAGGGGTCTCCACCTTGGCCCCAGGAGTCAGCCCCAGGGGAGGCCCAGCCTGGCCCTCGGCCCTGCGGCCGCCACCTTGACACCTCCCCCTCTGCTGTCTGCAGACCACGTGGCCGTGACCATCCAGCTCCTCCTTAGACGAGGCAACATCTTCCTCACGTCCTACCAGTACCCCTTCTACGACTGCCGCCAGGCCATGAGCCTGGAGGAGAACCTGCCGTGAGTGTCTTGTGCCCATCGACCCCACCCTGCCCGTCCACCCCAGCCCTGCTCACGATCCCCTCTGGATGCAGGTGCATCTCCTGCGTGAGCAACCGCTGGACCTGCCAGTGGGACCTGCGCTACCACGAGTGCCGGGAGGCTTCGCCCAACCCTGAGGACGGCATCGTCCGTGCCCACATGGTGAGGGGCCTCGGGGCCTCAGGGGACTGTTCAGGGCATGGCTGCTCCGCTGTGCCCAGGCAGCACCTGACCAGCCTTACTCTCCCAGGAGGACAGCTGTCCCCAGTTCCTGGGACCCAGCCCCCTGGTGATCCCCATGAACCACGAGACAGATGTGAACTTCCAGGGCAAGAACCTGGACACCGTGAAGGTGCGGAGGGAGGGGTGCCGGCTGGTGACAGGCAGGCTCAGGTGCGGAGGGAGGGGTGCCGGCCGGTGACAGGCAGGCTCAGGTACGGAGGGAGGGGTGCCGGCCGGTGACAGGCAGGCTCAGGTGCGGAGGGAGGGGTGCCGGCTGTGACAGGCAGGCTCAGGTGCGGAGGGAGGGGTGCCGGCCGGTGACAGGCAGGCTCAGGTGCGGAGGGAGGGGTGCCGGCTGTGACAGGCAGGCTCAGGTGCGGAGGGAGGGGTGCCGGCCGGTGACAGGCAGGCTCAGGTGCGGAGGGAGGGGTGCCGGCCGGTGACAGGCAGGCTCAGGTACGGAGGGAGGGGGTGCCGGTTGGTGACAGGCAGGCTCAGGTGCGGAGGGAGGGGGTGCCGGCCGGTGACAGGCAGGCTCAGGTGCGGAGGGAGGGGTGCCGGCCGGTGACAGGCAGGCTCAGGTGCGGAGGGAGGGGTGCCGGCCGGTGACAGGCAGGCTCAGGTGCGGAGGGAGGGGGTGCCGGTTGGTGACAGGCAGGCTCAGGTGCGGAGGGAGGGGTGCCGGCCGGTGACAGGCAGGCTCAGGTGCGGAGGGAGGGGGTGCCGGTTGGTGACAGGCAGGCTAAGGTACGGAGGGAGGGGTGCCGGCCAGTGCTGATGGGTGTGTGGGAAGCCTGAGCTCCACCCGTGCCCCCCGACTCGGGGCCCCCACATGAGGTAGAGGGCACAGGATTTATCGGGGACAGAGGCCAGGAGGCAGCACTCGGGGGCCTTTGGATGGGCCTGAAGAGAGGCAGTGGAGGAGGCAGGCGTGTGGAGATTGAGGGGCCAGTGCCACCTCCTGAGGAGGGAGCTGTGGGGGCCACGATGTCAGGTGGGCCGGGCGATGTTCTCAGGTGTGGATGAGTGGTGGAGGTGGCCGTGGGAAACCCACAGAGGACGTTCAGAGGCTTCTGCAGACACAGGTGTTTGGGCTCAGGAGTGGCCGAGGGGTCAGCTGGCATGGTAATCTGAGGGGCGGGCATGTGTGGGGTGAGGAGAGGGCTCCCACACTGTAGGCACAGAGGAGGGGCTGCAGGGGTTCTGGGAGGAGGGCCAGGGTGCCACAGCCGCCTGTCCAGGGTCCTGACGGCATGGTCTGCAGGGTTCCTCCCTGCACGTGGGCAGTGACTTGCTCAAGTTCATGGAGCCGGTGACCATGCAGGAATCTGGGACCTTCGCCTTTCGGACCCCAAAGGTACGGCTCCAGGGCAGGCCGGCTCGGCTGCTGGACCCCAGGGCCCCGGGTGGGGTGGGGGGTCACCTTCAGGACTGTGAGGGGAGGGGCAGCAGGGAGACCCCAGGGACCAGAGCCCAGCCAGGGGCTCGCCATGCCCTGTGCTGCTGGGGAAGCCCCCTCTGCCCTCTGCCTCCCTGGGGACAGAGTGGCACAGAGCAGCGTCCATGGGGTTCCCGAACTTCCGACACCTGAAGGCCTCCCCTGCTGCCCTTGGCTGGGAAGGGACCCGGTGGCCACAGGGAGGCTGCCCTTGTGACCCCCGCCCCACGCCCCTCTGTGGGGGCAGGAAGTGCAGTGTGCCCCTGCGTGTCCCCCAGCTGTCCCACGATGCCAACGAGACGCTGCCCCTGCACCTCTACGTCAAGTCTTACGGCAAGAATATCGACAGCAAGCTCCATGGTGGGGGCCACGGGCGCAGTGGGGGGCGGGCAGGGGACGGGTGGGCACAAGGCGGTGGGTGGGGGGACAGGTGGGCGCAGTGGGGAGCAGGTCGGGGGCGGGCAGGCACGGGGTGACCACTGACGGCAGCTCTCCCCGCAGTGACCCTCTACAACTGCTCCTTTGGCCGCAGCGACTGCAGCCTGTGCCGGGCCGCTAACCCCGACTACAGGTGTGCGTGGTGCGGGGGCCAGAGCAGGTGCGTGTATGAGGCCCTGTGCAACACCACCTCCGAGTGCCCGCCGCCCGTCATCACCAGGGTGAGCCCCTCGAAGCCTGGCCTACACCTTCCCTCGTCCCTGGCATGAGCCCCTCCCTGCTCACCCGGCTCTGTGGTTTCAGATCCAGCCTGAGACGGGCCCCCTGGGTGGGGGCATCCGCATCACCATCCTGGGGTCCAATTTGGGCGTCCAAGCAGGGGACATCCAGAGGATCTCTGTGGCCGGCCGGAACTGCTCCTTTCAGCCGGAACGTTACTCCGTGTCCACCCGGTGAGTGGACGGCCCTGGTCTGGGCCCTGTCAGCTGGGTCAGTACCCACGCTGGGGTTCCGGGTGACTGGGTGGGTGGGGAGGCTGAGGGGGTGAGGGTGTCAGGGTGTGGGGTGGGTCGGGGAGTGCCTGGGCCACACTGCCTGTCGCCCGCCAGGATCGTGTGTGTGATCGAGGCTGCGGAGACGCCTTTCACGGGGGGTGTCGAGGTGGACGTCTTCGGGAAACTGGGCCGTTCGCCTCCCAATGTCCAGTTCACCTTCCAAGTAAGCACCCGGCCTCGGGGACCTGCCGAACCCGGGAGGACCGGGAGGAGGGGCTCTGCCCGCCGCCTCCCCACGACAGTTACCATCCAGCCCAGGACCGAGGGCGTCCTGTGCCCCGTCCTCACCCGAGTGCCCCTGCGGCTCTTTCAGCAGCCCAAGCCTCTCAGTGTGGAGCCGCAGCAGGGACCGCAGGCGGGCGGCACCACACTGACCATCCACGGCACCCACCTGGACACGGGCTCCCAGGAGGACGTGCGGGTGACCCTCAACGGCGTCCCGTGTAAAGTGTGGGTGTCACCGCCAGCTGCTGAGTCTGGTTGGCCCTGGCCCTGGGTATGGAGGGGGGCACTTACTGAGACCTGAGTGGCCCTGAGGGGATGGCGGGGCCAGCCTGGTCGGGCTGGGGCTGGTCCCGGGGGAGGGGTTGATGCAGACCAGCACCCTCCCTCCCCCAGGACGAAGTTTGGGGCGCAGCTCCAGTGTGTCACTGGCCCCCAGGCGACACGGGGCCAGATGCTTCTGGAGGTCTCCTACGGGGGGTCCCCCGTGCCCAACCCCGGCATCTTCTTCACCTACCGCGAAAACCCCGTACTGCGAGCCTTCGAGCCGCTACGAAGCTTTGCCAGGTGAGGCTGGTGTCCCCCCGCCCCCCTCTGCTCCCCACACCCAGCTGCCTCCTCAGTGCCCTTGGCTGACTGTGCTGAAAGGAATGTGGTGGGGCTGGTCTGTGCAGCGGGAGGCGGCCTCCGGAAAACCCCACTGCACTCCAGATCCACTTCCTCCTAGAAACCCAGATGGGCACACCAGAGGCTCCACGCTCACCAGGCCCCGTGTGCCCCCCGCCCACTTGCGGCACAGTCTCGTGCTCAGCACGTCCCACCGCGTTGCCCCTTTGCCCACCGAGACCCACACATGCACCTGGAAGCCCCGTGTGGTCAGGGCCAGGGTGGGCGGGGACGGGAGGGCGGAGGCTGCAGGGACCACCCCTGCCAGCCGAGCCCACGAAGGCACTGCCCTCCGCAGTGGTGGCCGCAGCATCAACGTCACGGGTCAGGGCTTCAGCCTGATCCAGAGGTTTGCCATGGTGGTCATCGCGGAGCCCCTGCAGTCCTGGCAGCCGCCGCGGGAGGCTGAATCCCTGCAGCCCATGACGGTCAGTCCTGGCGTGGGCTCAGCTCTGGCACCGGCCCATGGGATCGTGCCCAGGAAGGGCGGGGTCTGCGCCCGGGGGCTGACAGCTGGGACTTGCCTGCAGGTGGTGGGTACAGACTACGTGTTCCACAATGACACCAAGGTCGTCTTCCTGTCCCCGGCTGTGCCTGAGGAGCCAGAGGCCTACAACCTCACGGTGCTGATCGAGATGGACGGGCACCGTGCCCTGCTCAGAACAGAGGCCGGGGCCTTCGAGTACGTGCCTGACCCCACCTTTGAGAACTTCACAGGTGGCGTCAAGAAGCAGGTCAACAAGCTCATCCACGCCCGGGTGAGGACGGTGCAGCCCCGGGTGTCTGGGTCCTGCTCGGGTCTGGGCTGAGAGCTGGTCCACCTGTCCCTGGTTCCCTCCTCCTCACCCCGACCACTGCCGCCTCCCCAGGGCACCAATCTGAACAAGGCGATGACGCTGCAGGAGGCCGAGGCCTTCGTGGGTGCCGAGCGCTGCACCATGAAGACGCTGACGGAGACCGACCTGTACTGTGAGCCCCCGGAGGTGCAGCCCCCGCCCAAGCGGCGGCAGAAACGAGACACCACACACAACCTGCCCGAGTTCATTGTGCGTGAGCGGGGACTGGCGGGGGGTGCCCCCACGGGACCGCGCTGAACCCGGCCCCCCACACAGGTGAAGTTCGGCTCTCGCGAGTGGGTGCTGGGCCGCGTGGAGTACGACACACGGGTGAGCGACGTGCCGCTCAGCCTCATCTTGCCGCTGGTCATCGTGCCCATGGTGGTCGTCATCGCGGTGTCTGTCTACTGCTACTGGTGAGCCCGCCCCCCGGCTGTGCCAACACCCTGAGCCCTCGGCCCTCCCGCCTCGGCCCCTCTGGCCTCATCCGCCGCCCTGCACAGGCAGGCGTGTAGATCCACCTCCTCATCCGGGCAGCTGAGCGGCCAGCCCCGGCAGAACCTAGGAGGCCCGCTGTGCCTTGCAGGAGGAAGAGCCAGCAGGCCGAACGAGAGTATGAGAAGATCAAGTCCCAGCTGGAGGGCCTGGAGGAGAGCGTGCGGGACCGCTGCAAGAAGGAATTCACAGGTAGGGACCGCTTGGGGGCTGGTGCTGGGGCGCCTCCTGGGGCGGGGATGCTGTGTGTAGCGTGGGGGTCAGGGCCCCACGTGGCCAGGGACGTCTCACGCCAGCCTCCCCCCAGACCTGATGATCGAGATGGAGGACCAGACCAACGACGTGCACGAGGCCGGCATCCCCGTGCTGGACTACAAGACCTACACCGACCGCGTCTTCTTCCTGCCCTCCAAGGACGGCGACAAGGACGTGATGATCACCGGCAAGCTGGACATCCCTGAGCCGCGGCGGCCGGTGGTGGAGCAGGCCCTCTACCAGTTCTCCAACCTGCTGAACAGCAAGTCTTTCCTCATCAATGTGAGCCAGGCGTCGGGCGGGCGGGAGGGCACACAGGTGGCGCCGGGCAGGCTTTGACCGCCGGCCCCTACAGTTCATCCACACCCTGGAGAACCAGCGGGAGTTCTCGGCCCGCGCCAAGGTCTACTTCGCGTCCCTGCTGACGGTGGCGCTGCACGGGAAACTGGAGTACTACACGGACATCATGCACACGCTCTTCCTGGAGCTCCTGGAGCAGTACGTGGTGGCCAAGAACCCCAAGCTGATGCTGCGCAGGTGCACATGGGCGGGGCCACGAGCGGGGCCACGGGCGGGGCGGCCGCAGGGGCTCTGGGGCTGGTGGCGGGTGGCACAGCGGCCTGTTGGGCCCCCAGGAGCCGGCAGGTGCCAGCCAGCGCTGGTGGTGGGGGGCGGTCTAGGGGTGGTGTCCCCGGCCACAAACTCAAAGCCGGACTCTAGCCCTTCCTGTCCAGCGGTTTCAGCTGGTCACAGTGTCAGCCCTCTGCAGAACAGAAGGAAGGTGGCACACTTCCCACAAGGGCTGGAGCTGCCACCAGGTAGTCCTCGCTGCAGGCCACACCCAGGCTGGACAGGGGCGAGGCTGGCGCAAGGGTGGCCGGGTGCTTGGAGGAGTCAGTTGGGCCTCAGGAATACTACGGGGTCACTCGGTACAAGGCCTCCCTGCACCCCCAGGTCTGAGACTGTGGTGGAGAGGATGCTGTCCAACTGGATGTCCATCTGCCTGTACCAGTACCTCAAGGTGGGTTCCACCCCAGCCTGGCTGGGGCTTGAGGGATGAGGCAGACTGCTGCCATCCCCTCCTGCGTTCCCCTATCTGTACGGCACCTTGAGGTGGGCCCTGCCTGGACAGGTTTGCTTCCTGCCCCTGACATGGTCAGCCCCGTCCATGCCTCTGGCCAGGGCTCCGGGGGCCCCTTCCAGGCCCCAAGTCCCCTGACCTCCCAGCCTCCCCTCCGTGTTACTCCAGGACAGTGCCGGGGAGCCCCTGTACAAGCTCTTCAAGGCCATCAAACATCAGGTGGAAAAGGGCCCGGTGGATGCGGTACAGAAGAAGGCCAAGTACACTCTCAACGACACGGGGCTGCTGGGGGATGATGTGGAGTACGCACCCCTGGTGAGCTTCTGGGGTGGGGGCCGCCATGGGCGCCTCGGATCTGGGCTAAGGAGCTTGGGCATCCCCTGGCCACAGATGGGACCCACAGGCCAGAGGCCGTCCACCTCCTCTGTGGATTCGAGTTACAGCCTGCTCTAACTCGGCCTCAGGGAGGGGCCTGGGTGCTGGTGGCTGTGGGCTCTGGAGGCTCTAAGTGTGCGGGCCCCGCATCAGCTCTTCCCGGGCGCCCCCACCTCCTGGAGGCCATACAAGGGCCTGGCACACCAGGTGTGTCCAGGGTTCTGTGCATACATGACCAGTGGGTGTGGCAGGAGCCTGTGCATGTGTGAGACGTGTGTATTCTGTGTCTGTACATGTGCTTCCATGAGCTTGCGTGACAGCCTGAGTGAGCGGTTCTGAGCCGTCCCCGTCTTTCTGTCCTGCTGAGCCGGAGCAGGCAGGGGAAGGGCAGAGTGTGGTCATCTGGGAAGCCTCGGGGGCTCGGAGCCGGGCTGGCGGGGGCCTGCTGCCCAAGGGTGCCGCTGTGGTGGGCAAAGCTGGCGGGGCAGGGAGTGGCTCCTGCATGGTGCAGGTAAGAGCAGGGCCTCCCACTGGGCTTCATCCCGGATGTCTCGGCAGACGGTGAGCGTGATCGTGCAGGACGAGGGAGTGGACGCCATCCCGGTGAAGGTCCTCAACTGTGACACCATCTCCCAGGTCAAGGAGAAGATCATTGACCAGGTGTACCGTGGGCAGCCCTGCTCCTGCTGGCCCAGGCCAGACAGCGTGGTCCTGGGTGAGTGCCGGCCCCTGCCCGTCTGCACACAGGCGCCCATGTGCCTGGCCTGTGTCCTGGGGCGGTATCCTGCCTGGCCAGCTTTCTCATATGGGAGTGGTGGGCAGTGGGAGGAACCTGGGTGGCTGGGGCCCAAGCTGGGCTGTCTCTTCCCACAGAGTGGCGTCCGGGCTCCACAGCGCAGATCCTGTCGGACCTGGACCTGACGTCACAGCGGGAGGGCCGGTGGAAGCGCGTCAACACCCTTATGCACTACAATGTGAGCGTGTAGGCCGGGGCGGGCGAGAACTGGGCACCCTGGGGGCACAGCCCACCCTCACCGCCGTGTTCCCCAGGTCCGGGATGGAGCCACCCTCATCCTGTCCAAGGTGGGGGTCTCCCAGCAGCCGGAGGACAGCCAGCAGGACCTGCCTGGGGAGCGTGAGTCCCTCCCTGTTGCCCGTTTCCTTCCAGCCCCTGGTGGTCAGCGTGGACCATGTCTGCCCTGGACACATGCACCCCTGCCCACCCTGCCACCACTGCTCCCTGTGGGACCCAGGCCCCCAGACCTGGGTAGGGGTCCCTCAGTGCCCGCTCCCCACAGGCCATGCCCTCCTGGAGGAGGAGAACCGGGTGTGGCACCTGGTGCGGCCGACCGACGAGGTGGACGAGGGCAAGTCCAAGAGAGGCAGCGTGAAAGAGAAGGAGCGGACGAAGGCCATCACCGAGATCTACCTGACGCGGCTGCTCTCAGTCAAGGTGGGCCCCCATGGGTGTGTGGGCGGCACCAGGCCGCCACGCTGAGACCCTCCCCCCCAGGAGCCGCGCCCACGGCGTCACGCTGAGACCCTCCCCCCCACAGGGCACACTGCAGCAGTTTGTGGACAACTTCTTCCAGAGCGTGCTGGCGCCTGGGCACGCGGTGCCACCTGCAGTCAAGTACTTCTTCGACTTCCTGGACGAGCAGGCAGAGAAGCACAACATCCAGGATGAAGACACCATCCACATCTGGAAGACGAACAGGTGAGGCTCCACACCCACCCCGCGGCCCAGCCCCGGCTCCGCCTCTCACTTGGGAGGCTCCACACCCACCCCGCGGCCCAGCCCCGGCTCTCATTCCCTGCTGCTCTGCCTCAGCTTACCGCTCCGGTTCTGGGTGAACATCCTCAAGAACCCCCACTTCATCTTTGACGTGCATGTCCACGAGGTGGTGGACGCCTCGCTGTCAGTCATCGCGCAGACCTTCATGGATGCCTGCACGCGCACGGAGCATAAGCTGAGCCGCGTGAGTGGGGTGGGGGCAGGTCTGGGGCAGGGAGGCCTGGGTCTGTCCCCAGGAGGCATCTTGTGAGTTGGGACCTTGTCTGGGGTGTGGATTTGAATATCTTGGGCTGGAGCCCTTGATGTAGGAGGTGACGGGTGGCGGAGGCTGGGGGCACAGGGGCCCGGCAGAGCCTGGGAGATCCCGAGAGCCCTTGCCCTCTCTCCTCCTGAGACCTCTCACCACAGCACACGAGCAGAGAAACTGAGTTTTACTACAGATCACAAAATAAGTAGTTTTCTTTTTTTTTTTTTGAGATGGAGTCTCTCTCTGTCGCCCAGGCTGGAGTGCAGTGGCGCGATCTCTGCTCACTGCAACCTCCGCCTTCTAGGTTCAAGCGATTTTCCCGCCGCTGCCTCCTGAGTAGCTGGGACTACAGGCATGTGCCACAACGCACGGCTAGTATTTTTAGTAGAGACGGGGTTTCACCATGTTGGGCAGGCTGGTCTCGAACCCCTGACCTCAGGTGATCTGCCTGCCTCAGCCTCCCAAAGTGCTAGGATTACAGGCCTGAGCCACTGCGCCCGGCCCATAGTTTTCTTGATGAAAGTGTCAGGAGTTCGGGGCAGGGGAAGCTACCCAGGGGTACTCTGAGCAGCCCCAGCCTGGCCCCCTTGGCCAGGCATCACTGGGTTTTGTCCCCAACAGGATTCTCCCAGCAACAAGCTGCTGTACGCCAAGGAGATCTCCACCTACAAGAAGATGGTGGAGGAGTAAGTCTGCCTGCCCTCCAGGCCAGGCCCCCATGCCCACCCTCGACCCCCTGCGGGGAGGTTCAGGCCTTGGTTTCCCCCACCACCCCCTTTGTGGTCCCTGCCGCCCACACTGTATGATGCTCCCACCCCTGCAGTTACTACAAGGGGATCCGGCAGATGGTGCAGGTCAGCGACCAGGACATGAACACACACCTGGCAGAGATTTCCCGGGTAAGGAGACCACCAGGGACGCACCCACAGCCCTCCCCGCTCCCACTACCCCATGCTGAGCCTGGCCCTGAGCTGCAGGGCAGGGGTAATGTGGTGCTGAGGGGGAGAGAGGGTGGGGCGGGACCTCGAGGTGGGCTCGGCCATGTGAAGTGAGCCACAGCTGCGTGTGGGGAGTATGAGCTGCTCCTGCTTGGAGCCAGGCCCTGCCCACAGCGCCCCCTCCCTGCGGCTGCACCCACGGCCGTGCCCACAGCGCCCCCTCCCTGCGGCTGCACCCTCGGCCGTGCCCACAGCGCCCCCTCCCTGCGGCTCCATCCACGGCCGTGTCCACAGCGCCCCCTCCCTGCGGCTGCACCCACGGCCGTGCCCACAGCGCCCCCTCCCTGCGGCTCCACCCACAGCCCTGCTCACAGCACCCGTCCCTGTGGGTCCATCCACAGCCGTGCGTCACACAGGGAGACACTGAGATGGTTGGATGTGCACAACTCTGCCTGCGTGGGTGTCTGTCTGAGGCTGTGCCACATGGGGGGCCCCAAGTGCCAGCTGTGCCCAAGGCCCCAGCTGCTTCCCCGGGGAGGCCTCGTCCTGGGCGTCCCGTACTACTCCTGCCAGCCCTGGGGCTCCCACAGCCCCTTTTCCACCCTGACTGTCCCGTCACCCCCCAGGCGCACACGGACTCCTTGAACACCCTCGTGGCACTCCACCAGCTCTACCAATACACGCAGAAGTACTATGACGAGGTAGGGTCAGGCCCCCGGGGGCGGGGGCAGGTGGGGTGCTGGGCGGTCCCCCGGTGTGCTCTGATGCGACCCTCCCTCAGATCATCAATGCCTTGGAGGAGGATCCTGCCGCCCAGAAGATGCAGCTGGCCTTCCGCCTGCAGCAGATTGCCGCTGCACTGGAGAACAAGGTCACTGACCTCTGACCTACAATCTCCAGTGCTGCCTTGGGACATAGGTACCTGAGGTACCTGAGAGCCCCTCAGGGGAGGAGGCCGAGTGGCTGTGGCTGAGGCCCCCACCCTCCCCTGGAACGCGCCCCAAGCCGGAGTGGGTGCAGCCGGAACCCGCCCAGCGTCTAGACTGTAGCATCTTCCTCTGAGCAATACCGCCGGGCACCGCACCAGCACCAGCCCCAGCCCCAGCTCCCTCCGGCCGCAGAACCAGCATCGGGTGTTCACTGTCGAGTCTCCAGTGATTTGAAAATGTGCCTTACGCTGCCACGCTGGGGGCAGCTGGCCTCCGCCTCCGCCCACGCACCAGC